>NC_000001.11:48644744-48947774 GCF_000001405.40 Homo sapiens
GAGGCCATTGTGCAGGCGCTGAATACCAGGCTAAAGAGCTTTCGTTCTTTCTGAGGGTCAATGGGGAGCCGCCGAAGGATTTTTACACAAAGAACTGGCACTATTCAAGCAGTGGTTTAGGAACTAGGACCAGAAATGGTGAAGTTCTTGATTCTATCACATTGTTTTGCTCCTCCAGACTCCCTAGCTGCTAATTCTGGGTTACTGTCTCCTCAGAGGCCTGTCTTCACTGTAGAATCAATTATTAAGATCAACTTGCTATCAACTCTAACTTTGAAATGCTATTCAGCTGCTTGCAGGGACAGAGATGAGGAGCTGCCTCCACAGACATCTAGCCATCTGGCCTTTTCTGTGGAACCTGGCTGGGAAGCTCATTTGAATAATTGGTTTTGGCGGTGTGCACTTGTGGGTTAGACACCTGATTACACTGCCAGCCCCAGTGTCCTTTCAGCCTCCACAGAAACATCACTCAGGTTACATAAAGCAGGAGAGAGTCCCTGGGAGGTAAGGGTCTGTCTGGCCCGTGCTGTCACTCTGGCTTTATCTGACTGTGTGGCTCACTCACTGTGTGACCTTGAGCAAGTTACTTAGCCTCTCTGTGGCTTGGTTTCTTCTTTGCTTCAAGAAGGAGAGTGATTCCTGCCCTGCCTACACCACAGGCTTCTTGTAAGGATCTAAGGGAAGATGGGGGAGTTGCAGCTTAGCAGAAATGCAAGTGGAAAAAATTAAAGATTTAGGCTGAGGAGAGCTCAATGTCAGACAGAAATATATGCATGTGGGCTGTATCAGAAGAAGCGTGGTCCCCAGAATGAGGCTTCTGATGACCCCTTTCTATTCCTACTCCATAAATTAATTAGTTCTATGAACTTGAAGGGGGGTACCTAATCTACCTGTGTCTCAGTTTCCTCATCTGTAAAATGAGCATAATGATGCATTTGTTCTAAGGATTAAATGAAACAATTAATGCAAAATGCCTAAAATAGTGCCAGGTTCAGAAGGCTCAGTAGATGTTAGCCATCATCATCACTATTACCATTATAATGATATCCTTCAGTCGTGGACACCCCGCCTCAAAGACAGACAATGACAAACATCTGGAGCACGTTCAGAGGACAGCGGGAAGGACAGGGAGGGGAATGGATTTCAGATTACATATGAAAGGTTGGAAGGCTTTGGGGATGTTTGGCCTGGAGCAGTGGTGGGATTGAGTGGGGAGTGGCGAAGGGTGGGAACACATGATCTTCAAATGGCTGAAGGCTACCATGTGAAAGATGGGCTGGCCTTGAATAATCCTTCAGAGGGCGAGGCAGAAGTTACATGCTGGCAGCTTCAGCCTGAAAACAAAGTGCTGTCTCACAGTCAGAGGTGGCATCAGCACAGCATGATGCCTTGGAAGGGAGGGAACAACCTGTGCCTAGAGGCAGGCAAGCAGAGGGGGCATGGCCTGGATCGGGCACTGGATTGAATGTTTCTCGTGATGCTGTGATAGGGCACCCAGCAGGGAAATGTGACTGGGGCAGGGAAGGAGGCTCAGAGTGATGACGGGCTGGCAGATCTCTCAACAGGGCAATACTTGCTGTGGATCTTTGTTTTCTGTTTCTAGCTTGATGAAAAAATAGGCAGTTTTTATGCTGTTACAGAACAAATAGAACATTGACATGTATTTATATTTTACATGGCTGATTTTAGGTTCTGTTCTATTTTTGGATAGTTTGAAATGTTTCTTCCTCTAGATTTTGAGGTGGAAGAGGTAGGTAGACCAGTTATAATGTGTGTGTGTGTGTGTGTGTGTGTGTGTGTGTGTGTGTGTGCTGGTGCTGGAAATACCTTCCCTGGTGGTTTACCCTCTGCTATGGTTAATGAAGTTTTGTTGTGTAAATCTCTACCTCCTTTTTATGTCTGGTGAACTTATATATTGTCCATCCATCAAAAACCCTCCTTCATCACTATGAGTCAGAAGGAAGTACTCTCTGCTTCAGGAGACAGTGTATCAAGAGGTTAAAACTGGAGCAGCCTAGGGTCAGCAACTAGGGCAAGTTCCGTGGTAATTATGTGCTTCAACCTCCCCCTCTACTTAAAGTAGGAGCATCATACTACCTCCATCATGGGGCTGCTGTGAGGACTAAATGAAACGATACCTATAATGTGCAGTGAGGAGACACTTACATACTAGCTCCTCTTGTATCTCTCAGCCTCTACTGCATCACACCCATATTTCTAGTGGAAACACTGGGGTTCTTATTGGCAAGAACTGCCTCTGATTTCCTTCTGCTTCCCCAAGGCCCAGCACAGGGCCTGACACCCAGCAGGACCTCAACAAACCTTAGTTATACTGGATTTACTGCACTGGAGCATCCTTTGCTACATAAGGATTGCCAAGGCCAAGAGACATAATGATGGAGAGAGTCTGCAGATTGTACAGCATCCATTTCCACCATGGGGTCTGCAGTTCCGTGCTATAACGCAGAATCATTTCTGTACCACCCATAGAGGTCCGTTCCTCCCCACCCCACCTCCACACTCCCAAGAAATACTGAGGTTTTCCAAAGATGAGAAATTTCACAGCATTCTGCTATCTTTTGGGTAACTGCGTATTTTATGATGACTAATAGGCAATTACTATGGTAATATTGCAATTCAGCATGTGTGAGGTTTGGGAAATGAGAAATTATGGGTAACTACTTTGGACTCATTTCTATGGTAACAAAAAGTAATTGTCATTAAATACCAGTTATTCTGAGGCTGTACCTGGTAATTATAGATTTTTATGCCCAGAAACATAAATAAAACCAATAAATTTATTCAAAGGTCTATGACTGTTTACTTATACGTGGCTCTATGGAATACACAATGACAAGCACCTAATTAAGAAATGCAAACCCAACACAGGGTTTCATATTGTTGTACGGAGATGGAAAGTCTGTTTTTCAAATGCAGGCAACTTCTGCATTACCTATGCTCAGAAAGCGCCGTGGGGTATAGGTGGGCGTGGGGGCTTTCTTCTCTGCAAAAGAAGTGACGAGGAAGGAGCTGGCAGAGAGAGTGTGCAAGTGCTGCAGTGTGTGTTGTGGGCATGCTTTCTGTAAGACATTGAGAATTACCAACCGATTCTACACTGGTTCAGCCCATCATCCCCCAACTCCAGTTGCCTTCCAACTAGGAGTTGCTTGCAGCTTCTTGGCTCTGTAATACCTGAAGTTACAATATTCATCCCTCAAGACTCCTAGGTCCCAGATCCTTCCAGAACTCTCTGAAAATATTCCCATTGTATTGTCAGTAGCCATACCATTGTTTTTTGTAACACGGTGGTAAATACACATAACATAAAACTTACCATCATAACCATTTTTAAGTGTAGGGTTTGATGGCATTAAACACATTCATAATGTGCTACCAACAACACCATCCATCTCCAAAATTCTTTTTAACTTGTAAAATTGAAGCCCTATGCCCATTAAATAGTAACTCCCCATTTTCTCCATCCTCCCAGCCCCTGGTAACCACCGTTCTGCTTTCTGTCTGTATGAATTTGATCACTTGAAGAACGTCATGTAAGTGGAATCATACAGTCTTTGTCTTTTGATGAGTGGCTTATTACATTAGCATAATGTCCTCAAGTTTCATTCATGCTGTAGCCATCCCATTCTTGATAGAGCCTCTCCCCCGCGCTTCTACTAAATGATGGAAGGTGCCTTTCATCCCACTTCCCTCTTCCAAGAGAGTAGGAGGGAAATAGGCCAGGCGAGAGAAGTGTCTTGTCCAAGGACAAATAAGAATGCTCAGGAGAGTAGTGAAAATTAGACCCTCAGTTCTCCACTTCTGCCTATAGCTTATAGAGCAAAGGCAATGTGCGGGAGTGTGGCGAGTCCCTGGATGTACCCTATGGCCTTGAACATGGCTCTTCACCTTCTCAGCCTCAGTTTCCCCATGGCTGAAATGGATACAGTAAAAACTGGCTTTCCTTTCTTGGTCACTGTTGTATGACCAAATGTGGTTTTGTAAGTGCCTTTAAAAGTACCATGCTCCGTGCAATAACTAAGTATGGCTGAGAATCCAGTTTGTTAAATTATAACAGCAGCTCATCAGGTTAAAGCATAGCAGTGTTCCTGTCACAACAACATACAGCTAAAACAACTGGGCCAGGAGGCCATGCAGATGAAGGTAAAGGGCTGGGGGCTGACTGCATCTGGCCCTAGTTACTCTACACTGGGCACTGTAGCTTTGTGCCATCGTACAATCACTAAACACTGTTGTTTAGTTCATTTGTTCATTCTGGAAACATGTATGTGAACTTCAGGTCAGTGACTAGAAAGATAAAATATATATCAAGAGCCCATTTGCCAGGTACTGGGGATACAGAGAACAAGGTAAACAAAGTCCTGACTTCACGGAGTTTATAGTCTAAAGTGAAGACAATCATTAAACAAATAGTCACATAAATAAACACATAATTACAAATTAGGGCAAGAGCCATAAAGGGAGAGTACAGGGTGCTATAAAAGAGTGTAATGGGAGACCCACTATATATTGCGATCCCTGGGAAAGCCTTTCTGTGAAGTGGCATTAAACCTAAGACCTGAAATGAAGAGAAGGCAAATGTAACTGAGGTGCAGTAAGTAAGACAGAGTGTATAGTTGCTCTGTGCTTTTACTGTATAAGGTAACTGTTATCTATTGTTATATCATCCAACATAATTGTTAAAGATAGCTACTATAGCGTATACTATAGTTACTATATATTGCTGCTATAAACTTTAGTATAGGCTCTATATACTCTTACTGTAAACCATAGTCTGGTATCATATACAGTAGTCTAGTTAGAAAATGTTGCTGTTCTTTAACATAAAGAGCTTGATCTATCATGGTATAGTGGCCATCTATTGCTATTAAATTTTAGAGTGTACTTTCTTCAGTTCACTATAAATACCACAGAATAGGTACTTGTATTATTAAATCTAAACTTAGCTGATGAAATCTGGGAAATCTCCCTGACCAGCCTTCCTAGATTGGATTATATGCTTCTTTAATGTGGAGGAGTGAGGAGGAGGAAGAGAAGGAGGAATAAATGTTTATTTATAACTTACAGTGTGCTTAGCACTGTGCTTTAAATGCATTATCTCACTAAAAGCCTCATAACTCTATAGTATCTCCATTGACAGATGAGAAAAATGAAGCTTAATGAGGCAATGTAATTTACCCAAGGTCATATAGCAAGTAGGCGGTAGAGCAGAATTGAAATCTGACCTGACACCCAAGTCCATTTTCTCAACCACTGACCTTTACTCCTTCCAAGCTCCTGCCTTCCCTTCTCACACTGCAGGGAACTGGCCTGTTGAACCATCTCTCCAGCCAGCAGAGTGAGGTGCCTCAGGGCAGGCCTGTCTTTGGTTCTCCTCCCAGGGTCTGGCAGGCTTGGTGCTGGCTATCAGGGGAGTGTGGGACTGCAGAGAGGAGCAGGGCTAGGTCAGGCACACCTGCATCCCTGCCCGCTCCTCACAGGCCACAGACCTCACGGGGATGACTTAACTTCTCTGAGGCTTGAGAGTCTGCACGTCCAGAGGGAGATGTTGAGAGAATGAAAGCTAAAGAGCATGAGAGAGAGGCAAAGACCTGGCCACCCGTCTTCCAACATGTTTCCAGCAATTTGATCAGTTCCTGGGAAGTCTGGCTCTCTTTACTGCACTAGAATTCTGAGAACCAACCTTCCTTCCTTCCTTCCTTCCTTCCTTCCTTCCTTCTTTACTTCCTTCCTCCCTATCTCCCTCCTTGCCTCCTTCCCTCTCTCCCTCCCCCACCGCCACCTTTTCTCCTGTACTCAAGCTAGATTTAGTAGATTTTTATTATTTGAATTTAGAAAAACTTTAACAAAGTTAAACAAAGTTCCTCCATCACAGAATTATGAGGATTAAATGAGATCAGTGTGTGAGTGCTTCACAGGCCATTAGATTGGCAAGTAGAATTCTTGGAATGGCATTTCCCAAAATGTGTTTCAGAAACCATAACACTGGTTACAGGGAGGATGTGGACCCCCTCTCACTTAACTTTGGGAAACACTGAGTACTATTTCCCCTCTTAGATTCCCTATGTTTATAAGCATATTCAAAATTTTGAAAAGTCGTATGAATAAAAGAACATGTTTAACTTTGCTTAACTCTGTGTTTCCTAAACTTATTTGAACTCTGAATATTTCCCCCCATAATGCCTTGGCAAGTCTCACCAAACCATGGAAGTACTGCTGTAGAGAGTAGTGTGGCTGGCCTAGGGGACCTCTAAGGCACCTTGAAGTTCTCAATTCTGAGTCTTTATTATTTTTTTATATATTCTCTAAAGCTTTAAGTAGAGAATTCTCATGATTGATAGGCTCTTTGTTGTACAGTTTTAGCAATAGCATTAATGCTTCTGGTTAGAGTTGCTCTCCAAGTCTCATAATGAGAATCACATATTCTCACTAGGAGAATGTTGGGGGTTGAAGCTTCAGGGTGAAACCACTTCTGAGGGTTGGAAATCTTTTATCACGGAGTCCTCAAATCACAAAATCTCTGGGGCTTGAAGACATGTAGAAAGCATGTAGCCCTCATCACCATCCCAGTGTCCATCTAAAGCCCTGAGAGGGGAGGCATTTTGGCCAAGGTCACTGACCTCCTTCAAGCTAGTCCTTCCCGAGACAGCAGATGATGACATAAATAAATGTGTGGAGAGAAGTATTGACCTCTCTCTCTGACCGCTGCTCTTGTAATTAAACAGAAACATTAGCATAAATCAAATGGTCTTTCTACCACTATTATCGCTAACAGTACACTCTGTCCATGGAAGGTGGAAAAGCATCACTCTCAGGCCTGCAACAAGCCATAAAACTTGCGAATGCTAATGAACCATCACTTCAGCCAATTAAGAGTGGAAGCAAAACTGTCTTTAATGAAGGCTTCAGGCATCTCATGGGCTCTCTCTAACTCACACCCAAGGGTACCAGGAAGCCCCTCTGGACTCAGTTGCCATGCTCTTGGAAAGCAGTAAACCAACTCTGTGTAAAACAAGCCTGGCTGGCTGTCAGGAGATCTGGTTCCAGTCTGAGTTAGGCCACGGACTTTGAGTAAGTACTATTTCATCTCTGGGACTCAGTTTCTTCATTAGTAAAGTCATCCTTCTCATCTCTCATATTCATCAAACACTTTTTAGGCATCTACCATGTGCTGATCCCTGCTGCTAGGCATGAGGGACACAAAGGCCATTAAGGTTCAGTCTCTGCCCTCCAGTAGCTTTAAGTACAGTGGAGGACATGCAATGGAATAAGAGTTGTTCGATAACCAGGCCTGCTTGGTACAGTGGCTCATGCCTGCAATCCTAGCTACTTGGGAGACTGAGGTGGGAGGATCGCTTGAATCCAGGAGGTTGAGGCTGCAGTGAGCCATGACTGCACAACTGCACTCCAGCTTGGGTGATGGAGCAAGACCCTGTCTCAAACAAATAAACAAATACACAAACAAATAAATAAATAACCAGGCCTGTGAGAACTCAGAGAAGAGAGTGGCCAATTCTGTTTAGGGTTTAAGGGGATGTTTTCCAGAATAAGGAACATGAACTGAGTTGCAAAGAATTAATGGGATGAAGAAGGGATGAGGGATTTCTGGGCAGCAGGCAGCCTGTATCTTCATACATAAGGTAGCAGGAACCAATAGGACATGTCTGGGGAACTGGGCTTTCCTCAACGCAGCTGCAGCACCTGTTCTAGGAGGAGAGGAGGAGGTGAGGCAGGATGGTGGACACACAGGCAGCAGGGCAGACAATGCCTTGCATGCAAAGCTGGGGGGTCTGAATGTCATCTTGAAAGTCGTGGGCCGAACGAGCTCTAAAACTGTATAATTTGGATGGCGAAGTTAGTCAATGATTTACTGGCTGTGTGACTTTGGGCAAGTCAGCTTAATGTGAAATAAGGGCAATAACACTATCTATCTCAAATGAGTCGGTGTTTTTTTGGCAGATAATCTTCTGGGCAGTGGAATTTTAGGCTGTAAATTATGGTGCTAAGCCAGGAGAAAAGGAGTTCAAGATTTGAGTGCGTGAGTGTGGGGCTGGCTGGTGTGCCCACACTGAAGAGAAATGTTTTTCAGATGACCTGGGATTCTATTCTCATTGATATTCTCCAAGAGGAAACACAACAAAACAGTCATCATTATAACTACCCCACGATATTCTGCAAAACACATTCCTTCCCACCATTTCTTTTGAAGCTCTCACAACTGCCCTTTCAGGTAAGTAATTATTGTCTCCATTATGCAAGAGAAACTGAGCCCAGAGAGGGAAAAGTGGACTCCCCAAGGTTACATGGAAAGTAGGTGCCAAAACTGAGACTAGGTCTCCTGATTCCTGGTCCAGTGAGCTGTCTAGAAAAACCCAGCAAGTGACCTTAGGTGGCTGTGCATGAAAAAGCCAAAGCTAATTAAAGAAATTCTCAAGAGCCAGGGTGAAACTTTCTCTAATGAACTCATGGGCAGCCTCAAAATTCTTCCTCAAAAAATATATCCCGTATTTTTTCTTGCTTCCATACTACCATCCTATAAGTACTTGCTTCCAAGCATTCTCCCCAATTCCTTACCTGTAATTGCCCAGGTAGACTCCATCAGGATTGAGCATTGGTGCGATCTTGAAGACCAGGTATTCCCGGAGGACACAGGCAATAGGGTGCTGGCTTACAAGGAAGTCAATGATCCCTAGGGAAAGAGAAGAGCCCGGTTTAACAACAAAGCATTTCAAGAAGAAGGAAACACATTTTTCTCAGCTTGGAAAACAAGAAGAGCTCAATAGGTGATTTTGGCCTGTGTTGTTATTGGCCACTGTGGGTGTGTGGTTATAGACTACGCGTTATCTGTATAAACTGTATTTACAAATACATTTGTATTTCCAAGAGACAGTTGAAGACGTAACATTGAAGCCCATGGGCAGGAGGGAGAGAGCATTTCCTGCGGTAGAGAACTGGGAGGGCTTCCGAGAATGATGATATTTGAGCTGTGCTTTCAGAGCCCACCTAGTTTCATCACAAAGAGATGGGGAGAGGTGGGCTAGCACTAAACAGTAAACTAAGAGATGCTTTCTAATAGGCACACTTAGTTAAACATTGACATCAGATGTGATAATCACAGGGTCAAGGCCTTAGGGATTTAAATGCTCATGTTGCTGATAGGCACACCAAGAAGCAGAGAGGAAAAGCATTTTAGCCAAAGTCACATGAGCAGAAGGAGGTTTCTTTCATGTACTCCAAATGTGCTTCTTTCCCCATTTTGAGGATCCTCTGTTCCAGGACTCCAGGGATGATTGCCTTCCCGGCTTCTCACTGGCACTAAAATCACCCTGCCTTCCGGTCACCAAATTTAGAAAATTTGTCTCCATGACATTTTTCCTACTGCCAGGCAGTCCCCATGTCCTTTTCTTGAATGGAGCAAATCTTCCCCTCTTCTCCATCCCACTGCCTGTCTTCTAACCCAGGCTACCATCACACCAGGCCTGGATAACAGCCACCACCTATGAAATGAGCCCTCATCGCTGAAGCCAGAAGGATCTTCTGGAAGTGTGAATCTGATCCTGTCACTCCCTCTTTGATATCTTTCTGGTGACAGCCTGCATCTACCCATAGAAGAGGGGGTGAGAAAACAAACAACTCTGAGCCATTGTCCCTCTCCTTATCTCCCCCATATTTCTACTCTTTCATCAGAGACCTGAAAAAGAAAATGGGCAAAATGGTGCTCTAGCATTCCATGAAATTACTATAATGCCAGAAAGTGATAGGAGAATGCAAAACCCTCCCACAATGCAGAAGTGGGGCCCCGTTCCTGCTGGAGAGAGCAAGAAAGGCGTCAAAAGGAAGCCTTTGAGCTGAGCCCTGTCAGAAAGGTAGGTTTGATAGATGGCAGGAGGAAGGCAGCAGGGTGACTAAGAACAAGTGCCCAGTGCAGGCACTCAGCTCTTGGAATGATAACTCGCTCCAGAGCACATTCCAGAGCTGCTGTGACCAGTGAGGGACATCTCAGACTTTTCATTAGGCCAGGGCTGAGAATCCATAGGCAGCTGAAAGCCAGTTGGACATCATTTACTTCTCGGCTAACGCGGCAGTAGACCAGATGCCCTAATTTATTTGTTGGTCCTCATATTAAAGCTGCAGTTTGCCAGTAAACAGGCAGGGTAATGATGCCAGGCGCCCTTGTTAGGGGCTAATAATTGCTTAATCTGTCCAGTAATTGACCCCAGCTCCCGGGGCGGCCCTCCATCAAGGAGCCAGCCTGTGCTCAGGGCCTGGCCACACCGCCTCAGAGAATGGCTTCTGGAAATGGAGTAGCTCATTGTGATCCATCCTCCTTCACAGATGAGCAGATTAATTGGGCTGCCAATTAGGCAGCTAATAAAAGAATGAGAGAAAACAAAGGCAGACCAGAGGCTGCAGCTGCCCAGAGCTCCCTCTCCTAGGGTGGGTGTGGGGCAAGGAGAGGGGAGGTTTTAAGACTCATCTGTTGGTTTGAGGTCAGATACAATATAAAATCATTCCCATTCATCAGGAAATAGGGAGATCTTTCTTTTCTTTTCTTTTCTTTTTTTCTTTTTTCTTTGTGGTGAGAGAGGAGTATGGGGAAGACTGAGAGGGCATGTAAGAGTGGAGAGATGATGCCATCCTGGCCAAAGACCAAAAGCACTGGATGGACCAAGAAAAAAGAGGGACCAGGGGAGCAGAAAGTCTCAGGACCTGAGTTTGAATCTTAACTGAGTGTTAGCTACAGAAGTTACTGACTAGCTTTCCCTGACTAGTTTTCTCATCTTGATATAGGGATAGTAATACCTAATCTGGAAGACTGTTGTGTACCTGTATCAGAGATCCTGTGTTAGCTGCCTGACACAGCACCTGAAAGTTGTGGCATGCTTCAATAAACTCACTTAGATCAAAGGTTGAAAGGCAGTGGGTAGTTAAAAACAGGATTAGTTTTAGAAGTAGGTGTCCTAGTCTGTGAAGTTGACTAACAATGAAATTTGGAGACAAGGATACCGAATGGTGGAAGCCAACAAATCAAAACAGAACTTGGGTTCTAGTTTTGGCTTAGTTACGGGGTGACCTGTAGAAAGCCTCTGGGTCTATGCTTATCTTTAAAATTAGGAGAAAGAATTAAATAATTCTCAAGGATACTTCCTACACTGACATTGTATGATTCCATCTATTTTATTCCTCTCCGCCAAAAGTAGAAGAATCATCTGTCAAGTGAGGAGAATAATCTCCCTCCTGCTGGAAGACACCATCAACCTCCTTGAGATCAGCCTTGTTCCTTCTGTAAACAAGTTTGCCAGGTCCTCTTCTTCAAGCTGATTTAACCAGGAAGCTGGAAAAAAGCAGGATGACAGGAAGGCTGGAAGCTGGAGAGGCCAGAAGAGAAGGAAAAGTGGTAGAGGATTTGAAATTAAAGCTGGAAGTTAGAGATCACTGCCCTGTCCCAGCTTCCAACAGACCAGGATGAACCTCTCTAGCCAAACCTCAACTGAGACATATTTATTGCTGATTTTTTTCTCCTACAGTGTTTGGTTTAGGGCTGGGCACATAGTAGGTGCTTATAAACGCCTATTGATGGATTGCTCCAGGAATTCATACAACTTTGACTGTGTGGGATTAGTTGAACTGATCATTGCTCATTCTACAAACATTCATTGGCACACCAAATTCTGGGCATTTCAAAATGCCTAAGATGGTCCTGCCTCAGAGGGGTGCACAGTAAGGAAGCAAGTCCCCACTGGTTGGCAAAGGCTCTGATGGGAACAGCACATAGCTGTGGGGACTCAGCAGGGGCCTGGGGCCCCAGAAGAGATATTGGAAAGGGGACTTAAAAAATGAGTAGAGTGGAGCCAGATGAAAGGGGTGCCAGGATGCAGCCATAAAAAGAATAAAATCACGTCCTTTTCAGCAACATGGATGCAGCTGGAGGCCATTATCCTAAGTGAATTAACACAGAAACAGAAAACCAAATACTGCATGTTCTCACTTATAAGTGGGAGCTACACTTGGGGTGCACACAGACACCAAGAGAACCATAAACCCGGGATTCATAAAGAGGGGCAGGAGGGAAGAGGCAAGGGCTGAAAAGCTACCTATCGGGTACTATGTTCACTACTTGGGTGATGGGATCATTAGAAATCCAAACTTCAGCAACACACTATTTACCCATGTAACAAGCCTGCCCATGTATTCCCTGAATCTAAAATTTAAAATTAAAATAAAAAGAAAGGAGTGCCAGCGGAAGGTATCCAGGCTGGGGTAGGAAGAGATGGTCTGTTGGTAACGGAAAGCCTTTCAATTCCAGGGCCTTGGCTTCATGGTTAAAAGCGCAGACCCTGAAACTGGACAATCTGGGTTTGATGCCTCTCTCTGCCATTCATTTGCTGTGTGGCCTTAACCTCCCAGTTCCCCAGGTTCCTCATCAATTACAAAGGGGAGAATAAGAATTACTTGTGGGTTCTTGTGAGGATTTAAGTGAGTTGATATAAGCAAAGTGGTACACAGTAAGAATATACAAGTATTGTTTTCATCATTGCTCTTCGTTGGCTTGCTGTAGACATGGGAATGGAGAGGTGAACAAGGATTTGCTGTTCCAGCCGAAAAAAACCTGAAGGCAACTATAGAGCTATTGCCAGGTTTTAAGCCTGGGTCAGATATGGGCTTTGGAGAGCTCCATCCGGCTGCAGCGTGGAATGCTGCTAAGAGGAAAGGAATACTGCAGGGCAGGGCCTCCTGAAGGCAGGACAGAGGTGGAGGTAGGGTGCAGGCATAGCAGAGAGAGCTGGCAGAGGTAAAGCAGCTTTCAGTCAGGAACCAGGGTGGAACATGATAGTGACCTGCAGGGGCTCTGCAGCGGCCAAGGTTCAGAGAGTCATGAGGTGCAGTGGGTGGACAGCAAACAGTGTGGATAGAAGGTGGCACCAATGATACAATGATTTGCCTGCAACCCCGAGAGCATCAGAACTCTTTGCTGAAAGCACCCAACCTTGAGGAACATAAATGAGATTAAGTTTCTGGCCCCTGGCAGGATGGGGCCTCAAAATAGAAACTGAATTCAGTTATAGAAAAATAAGAAAGTTACATTTCCTGCACTTCTTTTTTGAGATTGAGGCTTACTTAAACTTACATTGTGGTTTAAGTCTGTCTTCCCTCCAGGCCATGAGCTCCAAGACAGCAGGAAGAGGTCTCCTCTCTTTGCCACTATATTTTTAGTGCCTAGCTCAGTGCTTGGCACAGGGAAAATACTCAAGACCTATGTATGAAGTGAGCAAATAAAGATCGACCCATGACAACTACTGTATATTCATTAGCTGGACTGACTTGTAATTCTATTGGCTCCATTTCACAGACAGGGAAAGAAAGTCAGGGTGTGGCATCGCTTGCTGAGTGCCTCACAAGAACCTAGTTGGGATTCAGACCCAGTTCTGCTGGCTTCAAAGCAGTGCTCTTTCCATGAAGACAAGATGCACAGAGCAAGGAGTCTATCTGCATGTGATTTGTGGAATAATTTGCATATGCCTGCATGATTTTCTCTCTAGAGAATTCTGTGCAAAATTTATTGTTTCTGTTCTCTGTTCAGAGGCAGTCCTCTGTAGTGGGAAGGGCCAAGGTTTGAAGCAAGACAGTTTGAGGTCTCTGCTTGGCCCAGTGTGTGATGTGCACAACAGCAGCCACTCTAGGCCCTTCCTTGACCTGGCACCAGACCCCTGTCTGCCCTCAGCTGAGTCCAAGGGCCTCGAATTATGGACTCACAAGGAGTCTGGCCCTGATGACCTTAAAGTTCACGGAGTATAAGTCCTCACCCTCCTGCCCCCAACTCTGCCCATTTCACAGATGAAGAGACAGAAGTCTAGAAAAGTGAAAGGCCCCGTCACAAACGCTTAGTGGATCTAGCACCACACCTATAGTGGGAAGCTGTTTGGGATAGCGAGAAGAGGAAGAACAGGTGAAGAAGAGAGGTGGGAGGAAAGCAGAATGGGGGAGGAGCAAAGGTCACTACCTCATTGACAGGAAGTATGAAGCTGTGCTTGGTCCCGGTGCCTGGCAATATTGGTGTTTGTGAGAGCATGGTGTGTGCATGTGTGTGTGTGTGTGTGTGTGTGTGTGTATCCACATCCTCCTCCCTCTTCTTACTCCCACAAAATAACCCTGAGGAGTGAACTTCCTGGGAGAGGGCTAGCTCTTTGTCTCCATAGTCTAGGCCCTGATGGGCACCTTGGCATGTAGCAGCAGGGCTCAGGCTGGGAGGCAGGAGACCTCGATCTAGTCCCCACTCCACCACCAACTTACCAGGTGACATCCAGTGAATCCCTGGACTATTCTGAAAAGAAGAGCTGAGAGCTGCCCAGTGACCTGGTGGAATTCCTGTGGAAGAGTGAAGGTGAAGAGGGGATTGTGGGTACTGGTCAGGCACCTACCTGTGCCTGGGGCTGACCCACCATTGACCTACAACTGTCTCATTAAACCCTCACAGCAGCCCCTTGAGGAAGACATTGCTGCCCCCATTTTGCAGGTCAGGAAATAGGGGCTGTGAGAGGCAAGGACTTAGGCAAAGTCCCCTAGCTAGATGGAAATGGTAGGCTCAAACTCAGGCCCATCAAACTCCAAAGCCACAGCTGTGCCCACTGCCCCTGCTGCCCTTCAGAGCATGGCATGGCTCCCCACAGTAGCATTTCATAAGTGCTGGTTTCATTAATTCAATGATAAAGGGTCTGGAGAGGACAAAGTACTCTGCAAATGGAAATTTTCAATGAAAGTTGGCCCCAGAGTCCCAGGAAGAGTCAGTGAAAGAACATACACTTGACCAAGAGTCAGAAACAAGGTCAACAAGGTCTAGGTCTGGTTCAGGCCAAGCTCCTGGCTTGCAAAGTGACCCTCCAGGTGAGCAGAGCTCAGCTAGTGACCCTCTCAGGAAGGCGACGAGGAAGAGCTGGGGCCCACAGTCTGGGAGGCCCACACCTGGGTTTGGTTCACAGTAAGGATTAGAGGAACCAGGTACAAAGTGCCTCATGGAGGCCCTGGCACCGGCCATGTGCTCCATTAGTGCTAGCTCCTCCCCTACTGCTGGCACTTATTTAGTATTTTCTCTATTCCAGACCATCCTAAATGCTCGATGGATATGAACTGTGTCAGTCTTCACAACAACGCTGTGAGGCAGGATTTCTATTATTATTTCCCTTTTGAGATAAAGGAACTGCGGCATAAGGAGATTTTGTGGTTTTCCCAGGGTTACATTGCAGTAAGGGGAGGAGCTGGGATTCATGCTTCGCAGTGTAGCAGCTTGAGGGATGGCGCTCTCACATGGCTGGCCACAGGGCCACACAGGAGCTCCTCTGACCTCTCCCGTAGTCACTGGAGAACAGGATAGTTTGGCCTCACAGAGGTCATGGGCAGGGTTTGGAGTAGCAGAGTAAGCATCCCACCAACAAGCAGAGTCTTGAGGAATCTGAGCCCTGCTACCCTTGCTGCCACCCCTTCCAGAGCTATGTGGTGACAGGACTTCACTCTACTCCCAGCAGCAGGTGCATCAGCAGCTCGGCGGTGAGAACTGTGGTCCCAGCCAGATGGGCACAACCGGCTTCACATGCCTGTTCCCTGCTCAAGGTCACTGAGCCAGTTAATGTGGAAGAGTTAACAGAACTGAAGGTATGTCAGCATCTGTCCACACCTTGGACCTGCCTGCTATCCCCAGAAGAAGGTGGGCTGATGGGGGCTGAGGGAAGATGGACACATTTAGGGCTATGACTGAGGAAGAAACTCCCAGCTGTGCCCTGTGGGGCTGTGATCGGGCTGTCTACATGTAGCTGAGACACCCTTAGAAAAGACCATGCCTCAGTTCTGTATTGGTAAAGTGGGGTAATGATGCCTCTTACACTGCCTCAAGGAAGTATGAATTGTGTGTCTCATGGGGCAGATACAGAGACAAGGAAAGATGAGAAACAGGATTGGGGAGATGGACTCCAGAACCACACTTGTCGTGAATTAGCCGTGTGACTTTGGGTAAGCCATTGTGCTTCCCTGAGGCTCCGCATCCTGATCTGTAAAATGCACATCAATTGTTGTGGGTGATCAGAACTCAGTTCTTTCAGGTATAAGACTTCACCTTCTAGTAGTTCCCATCCCTGAGTGGGACAAGGGAACATGTACAGGCTTGGGAGTTAGCTAGACCTAGGTTAAAAGCCCCACTCCGCTATTTAATGACTGTGTAACCCTGAGGCTCCTCTTTCTGAGTTCAACGCAGCATTTTTTCCTCACAACAGCCCCATAAGATGAACAAGAAACCCCATTTGACAGATGTGGAAAATGACAGTTGGAGACCAGCCCTAGACCTTACACAGCTCGTGGTATAAAGAGGGAAAAACAAATATGAGTCAAGTATATGATAATAAATCAGGGCAATAGAGATGACCGTTATCAATAAAGATGATGGCCATCTTTAGATCCACAATGCAGGCACAAAGCAGGTGGCAGGAGGGAGTGGGCCAGGGAGGCCCACAGTGGGGGCACTCACAATGAGCCCTGTGAGATGGATGGGGCTTGCCAGGTGGCAAGGAGCAGGCACAGGGCCTGCCAGGCAGAGGGAGCAGCAGGTGTAAAGGTGCACTGGTCAAGAGAAGACCGCCCACTCAAGGTTTCAGCTGTGTGGGGCTGAGTGTATGAGGCTGAGGCCAGAGAACCAGGTGAGAGCCAGATGACAGAGGGCTGGGAATGTCATGCCAGGGAGTTGTAGTTTATTTTGAGAAGCCAGCGGGCAGGCATTGAAAGACTCTGTCAAGGAACAGACATTTATTGAAAACCTACAGAACGCCATTGAGTGTATGAACTCAGCACCATCCAAAGATTCCCTTTTAGTAACAGGGTCTTCAGAGAGCACCTGAGATCCATTCAATTCCTCTCTGCCTCAGTCGTTACCTGTGAAATGGGATGGCAACCCTGCTCTCTGTCTACTGCCCACAGGGGAGGTGAGCACAGGGGTTTGGGCTCCCAGAGATGAACATATTGATGGTAAGGCTACTGTCTTTTTACAAACAAGGACAAAGCAGTTACATCCAATCAGCTGGGGGAAGAGATCTGCTGCCAAGTTTAGTAACTGACAGATGGCGCAAGTAAAGGGGTTGGTAAACCCAGGAGGGACCTCAAGAGGTTACTGCAAGGACAATGCTGGGGAGGAAGAAGGCCAAAGTGAGAATGCTAAGGAGTCAGCTATAGTGACTGGAGCCTCAGTCATGCATCATACAAGCTGGTCGGCTTTGGGCAAGTCACTGCCTCCCTGAAACTCCATCTTCTCATCTGAAATAAAGAGGAAGGCAATCGTGCCTAACTAAAGCATTGTAAGAATACGAACTGGGAAAATAAAGCCCATATTTATTTGCACAGTGCTTGATAGTTTACAAAGCAGATTACCTGCTTCATCTTCTCAGATTCCCACGGGGAAGGCGGTAACATCTGTTGAGTGCCTGCTGTGTGCCAGGCACAGGACTGGGTGTGCTGTTTATATTCATCTCATGCCAGCTTCGTAACAGCCTGCCTGGGTAGTATCATTTTACATTTGAGGCAACTGAAGTCACACTGCTGGAAAGTGGCACAGCCAATACTTGACCTCAGGATTGTCTGATTTCAAATCCTCAGAGGCTTCCACTGCAGTGTGCCACCTCCCTTGAGTTATAGAACCTACACAGGCGTTTCATATCTCTTTGACCTCATGGTCACTTTGAGATTAAAATGAGATAAATTACTTAACTTCTCTAAACTTCAGCTTGCTCAACAATATACATATATATTGCTGACTATAGCTGACTAAATGTAGTATGGGTGAAATATGTAATAATAAGTAAAAGTGCAATTATAAACAGAAACACTTGAGAATAAAAATTATGACTTATTTGCCTCTGGTTGTCTGATGCCAAGTGTGCTTACTCTTGGCAGGTATTTCAAAAGTTGTTTAAGTGAATGATTGAATGAATGAGTGAAGAGATAGTTTTCAGTCATTACCTCCCATTTCACAGCTCTTCTGCCAACATACACATTGACCTGGGGCCAGATTTCTTGCTGTTGTAAACCACTGGAGGCAAGTAAAGCTAGGGAGTGTAGATGATTCTGTATGGCTCTTCCTCACCACAGCACATATGAGATAACTTCGTTCAGCCCTCCCTGTTCATTTATCCATCCATCCATCTATCCATTGATTAATTAATTCATACATACGTCTAGTCAATAAACATTTATTGAAATAAAACCTAATGGAGATCAGGTAAAATCTCTTTAAAGAAATGCATTAAATTTCCATTTAAGATAATGGCTCTGCATGTGGCCACACTGTTCCAGAGATCATCACAGTGTCCCAGTTGGATGTGGGTATAGGATACCTATGAGATCCTGCCACTCACCTTGGCACACAAATGATGAGGGTGTTTCCCCTGGGTGGACTCGTCCTGTGATGAATACCACCTTCTGCTCTGCCCCTTCCCGGAGATTGTCTGTAAGATAAAATGAAAGATGGTTGCTAAGGAGGGCAAGAAAAGCTGAGTCTAGTGGTTGGTGTGTGGCAGGGAACCCCAGAGGGAATGGGCTGGATGTTTTACATTTACCTCTTAAACCACTGGGTTAGAATCATTAAGGTCCAGCCATTGCTGACTAATTTAATTATGTCCCTACCCAACAAAAGACTACATTCCCTTTTGTTGGTACAACTGATCATATTATATTAATATGTAGTATTTATAATCATCCAAGGAAGCCATATGAGTGAATTTGAATCCCAAATCCACTGACTGTGACTTTAGGCAACTTGTGTATCCTTTCCAAGTTTCCATTTTCTAATCTATAAACAAGGATGACAATATATCCTTGTTTATAGGTTATAAACAAGGATTTTAATAGGTTTGTTGTGATGATTAAACAGGCTTACACATTGCATAGTACACAGTAAACATTCAGTAAATGATGGAGTAGAGAAGGTAGCTATTTATATATTAGTAATAGTAGCATCTGCCATTTAATTAGCTCCTTTTGTGTCAGGCACATTATACACATACATAATCCTTACAGGAACATGCTGTTAATGTGTTTTTTTAATAGAGGCAGAAGTGAGGCTCATGGAGGTTATATAACTTGTTCAAGGTCACACAGCTGAAAAGTGGTGGTAGGAGCTGAGATTAGATCCCAATCCCTTGTCTGGCCTTCATTTCCCTTTTATCTTAAACAACTAAAAAACTGGACAAAATATTCAAAACAAGTATTTTCAGACATTGAACAAGAGCCAATGCAAGATAATCAATGAGAGAAGGAAAACAAATGAGATATGCCCTATGATTGCCCTGGCTTTTTGCCTGATGATCCTTTCCAGACCAAAGAGCAGAGAGGGGTATCCTGAGCAAAGCAAAGAAGCCTCACTGAGATTCAAGTTCAGCAGGTAGTAGTTGGGTAACTGTGAGCTCCAGAGAGGGGGAAGCACTGTAGAAAAAGAGTTCCAGAAATCTGTACAGGAATCCTCTTGATTCTTTGTTGGATGTGCATACATAGGGTGACTCCCCATGATGTCAGGAAAAAATGATCAAGGAGCTGTGAACTGCACAGTCCTTAGGGTCACACAGGGCTAAGAATCATTTGAATTCCCACAACTAAAGAGGAAGTCCTCACTGATCATCCAAGGAGAATGAGAATTCAGACGGGCAATGTCTTAGTGGTAGGGAAAAACTACTCTAGACCACCACATTCACAAAGCTTTAAAACAAGTCTCAAAAGGATCAAACTGAACAAAAGAAACTTAAATGCTTGATGTACAAAGCCCAACTCTCTTTAAAGGAAGGCAACAAAATCCAGAGAGTCAAAGCAATGTATAATTTGCAATATCCAGCATCCAATAAAAAATGATTAGACATGCAGAAAAGTAGGAAAATGTGGCTCCAAATCAGAACTCAAGCTCTTTTTGTCTCTGCAGAAGTCTAATTTGTATAATAAAGTTGAACTATTGTGCAAAGATATCATCAGACAAAAGCAACAGCCAAGGGTGGCATTCCCAGAAAGAAACATCTGGGGAAGGATACTCAGCAGTGGGCAGACGAAGGGCTGATTGATACAGAGCACAACAATTACCTGAAGGAAATTTAGAAAGAACATTGAGAGAGGTTGAATTGAAGGATTTATCAATGTTTGAGGATGATCTGGAGGGAGAGAATAGAAATAATTAATAGGATTTCTCCTTCTGAAATGCTGGAGACATGCTATTCTGAACGTGGTTCTTTATCCCAACAGTCACTGCACCAATGTCAGAGATGAAACTAAAAATATTAACCCTATTAAACCTGGTTCTAAAGGCTTGGGACTTGCTTGTCCATTGGGATGATCAGTATGGGTGGAGTCACTGCTTCCCCTGAAAGGCAGCAAGAAATATCATGGAACCAAAATATAGTCTTGAGAACTCACTCTGCTCAGCTCTGTGCTAGGCACCTTTAGGAACAAAGGGAGAGACAGAAGGCTCACCTGCCCTGAAGTTTATTATTTAAAGAGGAATTCAACACCTAAGCATTTCCTGGACTGAATATAAGCTCCTCAAGGAAGAAACTGCAACTTCCATGGGTGTATGGCTAATGTCTTTCCCAGGACCCCCTGCATGGAGTAGGTGCTCGAGGACTGGCTATTGAATTAATAAATAAAAATACTTGTGTAGAAGATGGTTTATAAAGAAATATCGACTCATATTATGTTTTTTAATCTTTATCATGCCTCTGTGAGGTGGACAGTATTAACTCCATTTTATGGGTGAGGAACTGAGGCTCACAGAAGGAAGGGACATGCCCAAGGTCATTCAGCTAGCAGTGGTAGAGTTAAGTCCCAGCACCCAGCCAGTGCCCCTTTCACTACCCTGTTTCATTCTGGATCCAGTAAAAACAATATAAGATTCCACTTCTGCTGCATTTCCATTTACAATTTACACAAGAGAATTTCATTTTATCTTATTGTGATGGAAACTGAGCCGCTGTCTTAGTATTTATATTGCTTTTTCACTTAAAAAAAAATCACCAAGCCCTTTTAAAAGACACTGTCTAACACTGACCCCATCTTCCAGCAGTCCAGAAATGATAAATGGCACTAAGGAGGCCCTTGGTGAAGGCTAACTTTATGGATGTCTCCCCTGACCCCGTATCAAGTCAATTGCATTCAGCATTTCTGCTGACCACAGGGAAATGCAAAATGGGCATTCTATTTGCACACTAATTTTACTGAGCCCTTGCGTCTTCATAAAATGATAACATGGGGCTAATAAAAATCAAGCATCTCGGGTGCTAATATAAGCAAATGTTGATGCAGGCAGGTAACAAATTGCTTTGTCATTTAGAAGGCCGTAAAAGAGCATTATAATCATCTTTAGGCAAAATGGATGGGTCGCCTTTGCTTAGCTTTTAGCTTTCATTTGCAAAATCAATTTAAGGTAATGCAGCAGCTCTGAGGTGGTGACTACCCCACCCCCTCCTGTCACCAAATCTCCAGACTCTGTGCAAAGCCAATTAAACATATTCTTGGTGGAGGCAGGACAGATGAAGAAGAAAGTATGCTTGAACCAAGCCAGGGTGGAACAGAATGCAAACAATGAGACCAAGAACAACTCATAAGAGATAGAACAACTAAAGAGCTCATGTAGGCTGACATGCTCAAGGGTACAAGGGCACACTCAAAAAACACTGGGCAGCTACACCTGGCTCCCCAGTTAAACAGCAGGTGTTTGAAGTAACGTGCTTTGTGTGGCATCCTTAGCATGCACGTGCACACACACATACACAGACACACCTTTGTCACTATAACCCTCTATCATCTGCTATTTCCTTAATCATCACATATTTATTGAATACCTATTAGATGGCCAGGCACTAGCTATTATTATTTTCATTTTACAGAAAACCAAGGCCAAGAGAGTTAAGTGACTTGTCCTAGTTCTTACAGCTAATTTGGCAGAGCCAAAGTCCCAAGCCAGATAGCCTGACTCCAGAAACTGTGTTCCTAACCTCTATATTATACTGTCTTCTAGGAAGGAGGACAATATCATCCCATTGCAATAGCAATTAAGTAATATTTATGTAGCACTTATTCTTTGCCAGGCACTTTACATGCATGATCTTATTTAATTCTCAAAGCAACCCAATGAAATATCTACTATTCTTAGACTAGACTCTTTTATAGATTAGAAAATTGAGATCCAGAAAGGTTAAATGACTTGCCTAAACTTGCATAAGTAGCAAATGTGGGAGCCAGAATTAAACACAGGTCTTTATGATTCTCAAATTTGTGCTTTTAACTACTGTGTCATATTGACTTTTGGAGATTAAAATCACCCTATATGGTTTTTAAAAAAACATCGACAAATTCTTTGTTCATTTCCGCCTTTCAAGAGGTGGAGATGTACTCCTCTGTCCTTCAGTGTGGGCTGGACTTAGAGACTTCCTTCTAACAAATGAAATACTATAGAAGTGATGGTGTGCCACTTCTGAGATTAAGGTATAAAAAGACTGGCTTCCATCTTGGGTGTGATATCTCTTTCTTGAATGGCTCACCCTTGGGGAAGCCAATTGCTATGTCATAAAGGCACTCAGCCTATGGAGAAGCCCACATGGTGAGGTACTAAAGTACCCAGATAGCAGCCAGGAGGAACTGAGGTTTGCCAAAGCCATGTGAGTGCATTTGGAAGAGGATCCTGCAGTGTCCAGTGACTATAGCCCTGACTGACAGCCTACTGCAACTTCACAAGAGACCTATGCCAAAACCACCCAGCTAAGCTGTTCCCACATTCTTGACCCACAGAAATGGAGACATAATAAATATTTGCTGTTTCAAGATGCTAAATTCTAGAGTAACTTGTTAGGCAGCAATAGATAATAGACATCTCCCTGAAGATAACTATATTTCTCCTAGTTGCTATGTAGACCTTAAGTAAGTTTGCATCTTATCTATTGATGCTGACTTTCAATGAGGACCAAAGCCATAATCTCGGAGCCAAGATGTGGAGAATCTCAATCTATTTGGCCAGTTATTATGGATCTGTTGCTGGTAGAGGTAGATGCCAAGAGGCCCCAAAGAGCCCTAGGTGGGTCTCTGAGGACAAAAATCTCCCAGAAGTTCATATTGTCAGTTTTGTTTCCCCATTCCTCCAGACAATGACTTGTCATGGGGATTGAGATGCTAATGCGAAGGAAGAAGGAAATGCTACTGGGAGGGGAATGTGGAATGTTATAATGGGGGAAGCATTTGTTGTTGTTGTTGTTGTTGTTGTTGTTGTTGACACCTGAGCCTTTTTTATTTCCTTGACTTGATTGGTGAAGGCATGATAAAGTCAAGAAAATGCCCTACTATGGGTTTCTAAACCAGACAAGTTTCAGCCTTTTCTCCAGTACTCCAGGGCCCAAACAGGTCCATAGTACTCTTAAGCTGGAGAAACAAGACATCGCTGTAGCAACAGCAGCATGGTTGGCTGGTATTAATCAGAGGGCTTGCTCAGGACTGGAACAGCCCTGGCACTGGTCTCCCTGTGCCAGCACCACCCTTTCCAGTGCACCCTCTGCCTGGATACCAAAATGGTCTTTCTAAAATGCAAATAGGAGCATACCACTTCCTCTGCATAAAACCCTTCAGCAGTGCTCTATTGTTTGCAGAGCAAGTCCAGCCCCCTTAGCCTAGACCATACCATCCCTGTCTCTGGTAGCTGGTGGCTGCCTATCTCTCCAGTCCCTTCCACAGGCCCCAGCCCCAGCTAGCACTCCATGGTTCCCAAGACACGACATGTTCTCCCACACCTCCACACTGGGCACATGTTCTGTTTTCTTCCTAGGATGCCAGCCCCCATCTTGGCCGTCTGGCTTACTCCTACTCAGCCTTCAAGACTTGGTTCAGATGCACCTCCTCTAAGAAGGAAAGGAGGAAACTGATGTTCATCCAGGACTTGGACTGGGCCAACCTTGGTGTTAATGTTGCTGTGTTTTATCTGATTTTATCAGCAATGTGAGGATATCACTGTGTTGATGAGACAGACAATAAAGAGGGAATGGATGTTGTGAATTATAGTAAGAACATGGCCATAGTATAGACATTTATTGAGTATAATTTTATGAGAATATATAGGTTTAGGAGATATCAATAGAGCTTTCCTGGAGGCAGCGGAGAAGCACTAAATGCATTTGGGTAGATATGTGACTTGATGAAATTCCAGACATTCAGGGTTAGCTCTGCCTCAGTGTTTGATGGGTGGATCCAACAAGAGGAAAGGGCTAGGTGAGGGACACTGAGGAGGACCGTGTTCCCTGTGTTTCTTCTGTACCCTGAGGGGGTCAAATGAAAAGTCAGCTGACTTCCCTGGGTAGATGGACTGGGTCTCATAACCAGGTTCCACAGAGTATTGACTGTGAGACCTTGGGCCAATTATTTATCCACCTTGAGCCTCAGTTTCCTCACTTATAAGATGAGAATAATAATCTCTAGCTCACAAGACAAACAATAAGCAAGAGACTTTATATCCCTGCCACATGGCTTCACCTATAATAGCAGGTGCCATTTACTGAGTGACAAGCCGTGGAATGGGGTTCCTCAGCATCAACCCTACAGGTATGTTGAGCTGCAGAGCTCTTGGTTCTGCGGGTGCTGAGCTGTGCATTGTAGGATGCCCAGCAGCATCCCTTTCCTCTATCCTCTACATGCCAGTAACACCTCTCCCTCCAGTTATGACAATGAAAAACATCTTCAGACGTTACCAAGTGTCCCATGTCTCCTCAGAGGCAAAATAGCCCCCAGTCAAGAACCACTCTCCTACAAGAATATTATACTTGATTCAAACTGGCCTCATCATTAACTCTCCAAGCAAACCTTCAGTTTCCCAGACTTTATATATATTTTCCTAACTCCTCCCCAAAGCCTCTCCAGATATCTCCAGACCACTGTGTCCTCACCCTCCTCTGAATTCACAGTTCACTGTCTGGACCCTCATCTGGTCATAAATCATTTGCTGCCTTGGTCAAGCAGGACCAAAAGCCACAACTCAGATCCATTCTGCCTGATGCCCAGCATCTGCTCTGCACTTCTGAGCCTCTGGGCCGTCCTGAGAAAATAGTGGTGTTGGCAAGATTTATTTTCAGTTCCCGACTCGTTAGCATCCTCCACACCCCCATTCCCTCCCGTAGGCTCAGATCTCCCATGGCCTAAAATCTCATATCTAAGTAGTAGACTCATTATGCTTCAGGGTTAGGGATCAAATGTTCTGCCCTTGATGAGCTGGAAGAAGAGAACAGGAATTACCTTTGAAAAGAGTATGTACATGACAAAGAAATACTCCTGAAAAAAAATGAAGCATTGATTCTGGAATATCAGGCGCTGGGGACAGGAGCCTTTCTGGTGTACCTCCCTATCTTCACAAATGGTGTCTTAATATGTCTTGGACATATTAAACTGCTCTTTTGTCTTTACAAAGCAGTAAGGGTGCCTCTGACTTACAGGAGACTCACAGAGGCCATCAGAACTGCACAGCCTGTGAGATCACCGAGTTAAACACCCTCACTATGAAGAAGAAGGGCAGAGGACCAGAAAGAACGAGTGACTTGCCCCTGGCCACACAGCTAGAGAGTAGTCCAGGCAGGTAGCAGCCTCCTCTCACTACACTGGGCTGCCTGGGGCAATGGCCATGCAGGCTGGCACCTGGAAAGTAGCCAGTGGATTCCTGCCAGAGAAGTGAAGAAAAGCTGAAAAGTGATGAGATACAGATCTGAGATACAGGCGGCTTGGGCCAACTAAGATGTTGTCACCTTGATGGTCACAGGAGCAGCACTGAGTTCTTCTCCCCAGACAGGCTGCTCTGTGGGCTCTGGCAGTTTCTAAAGCCCCCTTCCTTGCCATAGGGCTGGAACCTAGGCCTGGGAGCAGGTAGGCAGCCTTCCAGGGCAGGCTAATGGCAGGATAGATAAATAGGGGCAGGCTCCTTCCTCAGGCAGGCTCCCTACCCCTATCTATCTTGATCCCAGCACCCTACAAACACCTCCAGAAAGGCAGAGCCAGAGCCACCTACTCAGAATACCTGCTGAAGTTAGGGTTCCTGGGAAACAGACTCAGAGGCTCTGAGATTCCCATACAGGAGCTTTACTGAGATTGCTCTCGGGAAGGCTTGTGAGAGGTACAAATGAAATAGGGTGGGGACAGACTCAACAGGGCCTTTCAACAATTCCACGAGGAGCTCTGGGCCAGGAGGGCCCTGCCTGGTTGTTTGAGGAGGCAAGGGGGCTGGCCCTGTGTCCTGAATCAATAGGATACTGGATATGGCCTGCCATCAGGGAAGGTGTAACCCCAGTCAGGACTGAGTGCAAGTCCCAGGGAGGAACTCAGCTGTGTGCTCTCAGCTACCAATGCTCCTGGGAACTGAGGACTCAATCCTGAAGATCTGAGCAGTGCATGCAGCATCTGTTATGCCAGCCAGGGTTGCTGAGAACAGAGCAGAGGCTCAAGATCTGAGGTTTCAGACAAGAAGGCTGAGGACAAAGGACTTTCTTTTCTGTTAAATTCAGTTCATATTTTCTTACACTGACCACATGCCAAACTTTGGGCTGGTCTCTGAGAAGTCAGACACTGTCCCTGCCATCCAGGAGCTCAACTGCTCTCCTGCAAGAATACTTTATTCAAACTGGCCAGTGGAGGAGAAAGATCAAGACTTGTGGTTATAAATTTGAATTCTAGAATCAGACAGAAGAAGCATTAAATCCAAGTCCTGCCACAGGTACGTATGTGACTTTGAGCTCTAGGATCTTTCATTTTCTCATCTGCAAAATCAGGATAATAATAGTATCAAACTCATAAGGATCTTGTAAGAATTAAATGAGACAATGCTTCAGGTCTATGTATATGACTTGATGCATAGTAAGTGTTCAAAAGGATACTTACAGACACTGAGAGGTGACTTGGTCCAAATGCCTGACCTTACAGATGCAGAAAGTGAGGTCACTAGACAGTAAGCAACAGGAAAGCCACAACTTTGCCTCTTTCACAATTTGTATTCCCAGTGCCTGGCACACATGATGTTCTCAGTAAATACTTGTGAAGTAGTATTTGTTGCCCTTTGGTTGAATGAGTGTACCCAGCTAGAACTGAGTGCCCAGGCTTTCCCCAATGTGCGCTCTGCTTTTTGAATCCACCACTGGCAGACCCCAGAAATTCCTCACCAGGTTTAGTTTCAGGCTTATTAGCAAATGCAAATTGAATTATGAAGTGCCCTTTTGCAACAAGGACAACAAAAACAGTTTCCCTAGGAAAGGAGGGCATGGAGAGGTGAAAGCTGGGATGAAAGTCTAAGACAATACATTCTAATCAAACTTGATAAATATGTAAATTAAAGCAGCTAAACAGTTGGCTTTGACAAATGACTTCTCCGTAATGGATTTTTCCACAGTAAAGGCAAGAGTTCAGCCTGCCTGCTAGTCACAATAAGAGCCCTCTCCTGCTTTCCTGGCAATGCAGGCACATTGGGCAGGCACTGGGATGCTAAGAGGCAGAGTGGGAATGAATCCTTCTTTTAGTAGATGCCATTGGTTGAGCATCAGCTAGCTGCTAGGCATGGCCTTCATTGGCCCTGCAAGAGACATGGGAATCCCTGTCTCATGGATGAGGGAGCCAAGATAAAAGTCAGTAAAGGCTGGATTCACCAGACTCCAAAGCCTGATGTCACTCGAGGAGCCAACACAACCACTTGTCAAGGAACATAAATTCAGCCCCTCCAATGGTTTTATTGTCACCTGAGGGTCTCACCAACTCAAAGTCTTACAGCTGTGTTTCCCCTCCCAGGACCTGGCCCAGTGGAGGTGTTCAGAAAAGATCTGTTCCTTAACTTGCCATGCAGTTCCAGTGGGCCCCTTCCCTATGCCCGCTCTCAACCTGTTTTCCATCCTTAAAACGAGCTGTTGGAGTCATGCCAGCTGAAGGCCCAGACATCACAGAGTAGAAATGTGTGGTCAGATTGCAGATTCTCTGGAAATACATGACAATTGTCATTTTAAGCCACTAAATTGGGGAGTGGAGGAGGTTGTTACGTATTAATAACTAAGAACAATTGTTATGAAATTGATGATGATTCTAATGGGTTACAATACAACAGTCAAGTAAGAGGTGGCTGAAGAGGAACCGTTTTGAGCAGTTACTGTGTACCAGGCACTTTACATACATCAGGATCCAAGTCTTGCCAGGCCCTTTGAAATTTGTATTGTGAGGGCTCAGTACGTTGCCCGGGGCTGCCAGGCTAGTAAGACTCTGAGCTGGAATTTGAACCTTCTCTATCTCAGGAGACTAGTCTTTCTTTTGACATTCCCAAGGGGAAATTTGATTCCCCAGCTATACTAAAGAGATGTTATTCTGTTTGTACTTATGTGCAGGCACCTGCACACATCTGCGTCTGACTGAAACTCCTACAAATACCTGAGGTTTTGTACAAAGTTATTAGAGTTGAGGTGCAAACAGAAATTCAAGTTAAATGGTTTGTAGCCTTGGAAGGACATTATTAATACAATTTCCCCAAGCAGAGAACTGATATATATGAGCACTCCAAGAGCTTCAGGAAAAGTTTCCTTGTAGGCCTGGGAGTAATGTGATCCTGACCCTGAGTGGAAGATCTGTCTTGCCCAATGCTGGAGGAACTCAGATTTGAAGAGTGTTCTTTCTTTCCTATTGAGATCTTCATTGAGTTGTATAAAAATACCACTTTCAATCTCAAATCCCCACTGGCATTTTTATATAAGCACCGAAAATGCTACTGGGCTTTGGAGATTTCACTTAATGAAGGAAAAGTATTTCTATTAAAGAGTGTAATTTTTTTCTCTCTCTCAACATGACATCTTCAGAGGAGCCAGAGAAGCTGAATTGTTCTGGGCTGAGAAAACAAACCAATTGTTCTGGGCTGAGAAAACAAACCAACCCATGCCTTGCCCACGAGTTTGTTAAACAGACTATGGAATGGCGACAGCCAAGGAAGGCAAGGAAGGGTCAGTCATGAGGGAGAAATAAGAGTAATGATTCTGAACCAACTCCCATATGCCCAGGACTATACAGTTTATGAAGCATTCAGGTACTCAACAGGGAGATTACTTCTGTTGCCACTGCCCAAGCTCAACACCGCCCCCATTGCATGTTGTCTGAACAACCACAGAAGCCTCCTGCTGCTTCCTTCCTCCCCTGTAGCCCATTTTCTGGCGGATGGATCTCACTCCCGTACTCCCAGTCCTGCAGCGGCTTCCCCATACACTCGAAGTTAACCCAGGCGGTACTCCCTAGCCCGCTTGTCCCCTGCCCACCTCCCACGCTCGCCTCTTACTGTTGTTTCACCTACTCATCACACCTCCTCACACCTTTCTAGTTTCCTCACACCTCTGTCCAGAGGACGCTCCTGGGTCCTCGGAGCTGGCTCCTTGGGGGCATTAGCTCCATGGCAAAGGGAACTTTGTCTTGTTAATGGCTGTGAATCCCTGCCATACATTCACGCTGGCCGCATATCTACCATGTCAATAAAATACAGCTATCGGTTATTGAGTGATGTCTGCTGGGGAGAATGAGGACCAGAGGAATAAGACTCAAGAGGTGGCTGGGATCAGCAAATTGTCCAAGGTCATATAGCTGGCAAGTGATGAGAGCAGAGTAGACCCAGGTCTGGTTAACGTTAAAGCTGGTGTTCCTTCTCCCTCACCCCAAGCCGTCGTTCACTCACAGAGAGGCCACAGAATGCTGTAGGTGGGCTGGGGGTGTTGGGCGCGTTGGGGCGGGGAGGGGGGGGATGGGTGGGTGAGCATGACCTTAGGTATGGCTGTGCCTGATTTAGAATTCTAGCTCTGCGACTTACTAGCTGTGTTGTCTTGGGAAAGTCACTCAACCTGTGAGTGTCTCAGTCTCCTCATCTGTAAAATGGGAATAATAATATTCATCTTATTGGGTGGCTGTGAGGACTAGATGAATTAAAATAAAGTACTAATAACGGTGCTTGTCACATGGTAAGTCCTCAATTAACTGTGGCTATTATTAGTCATTCTACATGTGTTTCTTGAGCTCCCAGTCACTCCCTCCCCCAGGAAGCCTGCTTCACCCCCAGGCAGTGAGTCACTCTCTGCTCTGTTCCCTCCCAGCCCCTTCTGCTATTATAGCAATTGCCCAGCAGTATAATAGTAATTTGCTTCTCTTTCTGTCCCGCTTTTCCCCTCTGGTGACTCTGAGCTTTTTGGGGGCAGAAGCCCTGTCTTATTCATATCTTCCTGGCACTCATTTTCTTTGTCTCAGACAGAGAAGGGCATTTTGACATGGTTGTTTTGATGTAACGGTTTTGAAATGGCTGCATCTAAATGTAAAATTGGTTTGGAAAATTACTAGGTACTGTGTGAAACAGACCCCCCCGCCACACCCATCGCATGTTGGATCTTCAGTGTCCTTCACTCCCACCAATTCCTTACTGTTCCTGCCATCCTCATCCCCAGCCTTGACCCAGAGCCCACCCTGAGCCCAATCTCTTCCCTCTCTCCCCTCCCTAGACCCCCTTGACAGAAGCGGAGCTCAAGGATGGGGGAAATTCTGGGATGAGAAGAACTAGCCTGAAATGTCTCCATGCCACATTATTTGCTAATGTTTTTTTAAGAAGTTGAAGGTGTGATGGTTTATTTTCTCAGCTGTGTCAAAATGTCCGCATATCAAAATAGGTGAGTCAGAGCAGCCTCATCAACGTGGCTGAAACAAAAGGACAATGTCAAAAAGATATGAAATCTGCATGGGAAGCCACCTGGCATGCAATAGTCCTCAATAATGGATTTTAAAACATCCATCATTGTAAGTGGATTAACAAGCAATCAGCTACACTTAACACCAACTCTCCTGTAGCAATTACTTTTTGTTCCAGTGAGGAGGATTCTACCACCATAAAAATCAGAGGAGTTAAGGATGCTGTCTGATATCACACAGCAGTCACAGAACAGTGACCATTAGAGCTGAGTATGGTCTAATTAATGTCACCATTTACAACCAAGACTCTAAGACAAAAAGTGATTTGACCAAGGTCTCACAGTGAACTGGATTTTTACATGTTAGATCAGAAACATTTGAGCAGTTCTTATATAACTTCTCCACCCTGTGCCCTAAATTCTAGGCCATGCCATCACCAGCGAATGGAATCTTTCTTGAATAAAATAAATTATAAAAATTTAATTCACAGGATATGTTTCCAGAGGGTGTTTTTATAGAATGCCATTATGTGCTCCTCGAAAAAACTCCTAGGATAAACCTGGATTCTTTCTACAAATTCTACCTCAGGTTATACCTGGGGTACATGGAAGTAGAGCTGGACAGACCTGGGTTTGAAGCTGTATGGCCTAGGTAAGTGGCTCCGCCATGGTTTCATCAGAAACTAGGTAAGGAGAGATGTATAAATCACAGTGCTCCACAAAGGTAGCTTTCAGTATTACTGATTTCAGAAACCTTCAGTCCTACCTTCCACCTTCTGGCAGAGCCATTCATTTAGAAAGGCTTGAGTGGGGGGTCTGAAGGTCTGAAGGTGCTGGCAGGTGCTGCAAGTGTGACCTGAGAACCCAGAGGTGAATGAGCATAATGGTAACAAACAGGGACTCAGGCACAAGCGCAGTGACTGCGCTGCTCTCTGAGTGTGTGAGCCCAGGCAAGTTACTTCACTTCTCTGTGCTTCACTCTTCTTGTCCATAGAATGTGGATCATAGCAGACTGTCTCACAGGAACGCCCTCAGGAGGAAATGAGGTTGTATTTGTAAAGCACGTAGAATAGTGCCTGCCACATAGGAAATCTGATATAAATGTTTACTGACTAATAGAAATACCTGATTAAGAACACCCAGTCAGGTGCTCTGCGTCTGCAGAGGGGAATGCTCATCTTGGGCCCTCCCTGGTGAACCATCCTGCAGAAACAGGCTCCTGTGGACAGTTCCTTCACGCTTTCCCCTAGGTATGTGAGGCTAATACACTGGCAAGAAACACGGTTTATTTTCTGTTTCTTAACCCTGGCTGCTTATTAGAACCATGCAGCAGCTTTGTAAAAATACTGATGCCCAGAACACCCCACTGACTGCCCCCACCAAGATTCTAGTTCAGTGTTCTGGGGAAGAACTCCAGCAAACTGTTCTTCTAATTTGCATTGTGGCTGCAAATTGTGCAGCCACAAGGAGAAGAGGACCAGTGGTCTAGTGTGAGCTTGGCCCAGGCTCTCTGCTCCCTGGGTCTCGGTTTCACCATCTGTCATAAGAAGGGGCGGAGCTAGGTGGTCTCTCAGTCCCCTCCAGTTCTAAAACACTTAAGCTCAAGAGGATCAGAAGCCCCAGTAAGTGGCTGGGGCTGGCTCTGATAACACCACTTTGGTCAGAACAACAGGCAAGGGTGTGGGGTGAGTAGACAAGAGAACATGCCTACATCAAGCAAATAATTTTTCTCAGACACAGTCTTTTCCTTGGAACAGGACAAGAAGTACCAATATAATAGACGTGCAGTGTCTCAGGGAACTCACAAAGCTTCCTGCAAGTAGATTGGATTTGTAAGAAAACGTAAGCTGCATGCATGAGGAGAAGGAGAAAGACATTTTTCAAAGGATGAAGGAAGAGGATTAACATATTCGCCACCACAGCAAAGAAGGGGTCCAAATACATGCATGTCAGGGTACAGATCCAGGCTCCTAGGAGGGTAGGAGAAGGGAAAGGAAGGGAAATCTCGGTGGTTGAGCACCTGCTCTGTGCCAGGCGCCAGGGGGCGCATTACTTATATAAGCTCATTGGATCCTGCCAGCCTTGCAGAACGGCTGGCACTCTGATCTCTGTCCTGCAGGCAGGTTAAAGAGCTGTGCCACTGGCCCCAGTCCACATGATGAGCAGCTGCGACGTCAGTCTAACTCCAAAACCCTGCGCTCTTCCCTGACAGCTTGATGCCTCACTTATCCAGAGCTTCCTGTCCTTGTAACGTCACACACCCAGATCACAGCAAAGAGCCAGAAGGAAGCAGAAAAGCCCCTAGAACAGTGCAAGCCAGACACACAGGGACCACAGTCAGGGTCCTGTCAAGCCTCAGGAGAGGCCTCCCAACTTTTTGGGGACACTAGGGTGATGGGGAGATACCTCCGGATTTCTGGAAAGAAGGGGCAAAGCTCATTGTTAGAGAGCTGGTCCACAAACACAGAGGGATGCAGAATGGGAACTGGTAGGCTACTAGGAGACGGGGGCCCTCCCAGGACACAGTTTCTGACTGCCTGACACTACGAACACGTCATCGAAAGGAAGCAGGTGTCAGTTGGCTGTGCTGCCGAAGTACCTCGGGAGCTCTGATGGGGCAGTGACAAGCCCAGCCTGTCTGTCAGGGACAGGGCAGCCTGACAGCGCTAGGATGGTCAGGCCTTCTCAGCACAGCCAGCACCACGGTGGGGTAACTGCACAGCTGCTGGCCACAGCCAGGGGACCTGCCCTCACCCATCCCGCCGCCCCCGCCCTTCTGCCCCACCTTTGCTCTCTCCAGTTGCCTTGTGGATGTCACTCAGCTTCCCCTCAGCTCTTGATTTGAGAGAAGGGCCAGGGATCATGCTTAGGACCAAACTGGCTCCACAGCACCCCTCTCTTTACTTAAGGGACTGAGGGGGAGAACAACACCTGTCAGAAAAATCCCAGTCCCTTCCACTCACACACATCTTGAGAATTTCCCCGGAACCCATGCCCTCTCTTTGCTCAAGGTCAGAGCCCTGACCACAGCCCACAGTGGACTGAGCTGACCCGGGCCAGATTGGGATCTTAGCTGTCTCCCTCCACACATGCCCTCTTTTGGCACATAGTAGGTACCCCATATGTGAATGTTGAAGTGGATGGAGAAGCCCAGCCTGCTCACTTTAAAGCCATGCCTTCAAATAGCACCCAGTGACTAGCTCTTGCGTTTTAATGGTGCAAATGTGGCAATAACAAAGGTGGTAAATGTCTATTTGTCTTCCCATCTTCTAGCAAGGCCATTCTCCAGTTCCTGAGTTCCCCATGGTGTCCTTTCAAAGCCCTTCTCTTTAATGCCAAGTGGAGGAGTTCCAGACAGCAATTTGCATTTTCAATTCTAGAAATCATTAATATTTTAAAGCTGCCAGCACCATGGTTTATTAACACACATTTCCTACCTGCTACTGTTAAAGGGAAACTTTCTGTTTGAGAAAATTTGAACATGGGGTGATTTCCCAACTTTGGTTCAAACTCTGCTCTCAACCCCTGCTCTTAGGACCACATGGTCTAGTGTGGGAGATGGATATGCAAGTTGACAGTGGAATTCTGAGTGCTCACTGAGTTGATTGAGGGAAGCACGGGGTACTGGGGAGCCCAGAGGGAACCCCCTGGCTCAGCCTGAAGGGTGGGCACAGGGTTCTTAGAGGAGGGCTTCTGATTTTAGGGTAACATTTGTACAGATTGTGGAAAGAATGTAAGAGAATCAGAAGGCCTGTGCATAGACACTGGCTTTTGCAACTACTTTGAGTTGTCTTGGCAATAGATTGAGGTTAAGATCAAGGGTCTCTGAGTCAGACAGGCCTGGGTTCAAATTCCAGCTCTGACACCACTGGCTGTGCAGCAATAATCATGGCTAATATTATTTGAGCTGTTACTGGGGTGTCAGAGAGAAGGCTGCCTGACAGGCCTAGGACGATGAAGCCTGCTCAGTACAACCAGGGCCACAGTGGGGGTGATCTCAATGGGTGACCACAGCCGTGGGAACCTGCCTTATCTATCCTCTCCACCTCTCCCTCCCAGCCCACCTCTGCACTCATCAGTGTGGGTGATTTCTTTTAATTCTCACAACCACCCTGTGGGGTCATTCTTGTCACCCTCATTTCACAGAGCAAGAGACTGATAATCAGACTCACTTGCTCCAGGTCACATGGCTAGCCAGTGGATAAGCCAGGATTTGATCTCCAAGCACTGAGTTCTTCTGCTCCTTATTCCAGAGGTGGTTGTGACATTAAGTGGCACATCTACATTAGCACGGCACTGGCACAGGTCATGCAGTCAGCAATGGTAGCTACTATGTTGCTTTTATCACCTTCTAAAGCCCAATTTGTTAGTCGCTTTTCCAATAAGCCCACCCTGATCTCTGCGGCCAGAGGCCGCCGTGTGTCCCAGCTCACGGTGCTTAGTAACTGCTGTCCTCTGTGTGCTATACCTCTCCTGTGCCATGGCCACCTCCCCTGGGGAGAGACTGCATCCTCTCCCTTTATGTTCACTCCTGGCAACCACCACACTTCTTGGCACATTGTAAGGCTGCAGTCAGTGTTTGCTAAATGGAATTGAGAGAAAACACTGTCAGCCAGATCAATTCCCAGAAGAAATGTTTTCCAAAGGTCTTTAGTCTGGGCACATCAATATAAAAATGACGCAGCTATAATTTGCTTTCAGATTCAGACTGGGAAGATGAACTTTAACCCTGTCAAAAAATGAGAACAAATTAAATTGAAGCACAAAGTCGTTTCCCTTGTTCCAGGGCTCTGGATTTCTAATTAATGTGCAGCACAATTCTGAAGGCTGCAAGGGGATCAGTAAGATCGTGTCCGTTACCTTGCAAACTGAGTAGAGCTCAAGATAGAGCTTTTTGTTTGCTTATTTGTTTTCCTTTCCTGGGATGTATTGTGCTTCTTGTGGTACAGGTTCATAGATGAGAGCAATCCCAGGCGATCAGAAAAAAAATGATTGCTAGAAGCTGACCTTGTACAAAAGAACACACAACAAAACAGCTCTCAACACAATCACTCCCCGACCCTGTCCCAGAGGATAGCAGCTTAGCCCCAGGAAGTTAGAAAAACCACAACGAATTTCAGTGGCACATGCTGAAAAGGTGACGGCCACCTTGTGGCAAGGCCGAAGAAGAATTCCCTCCGTGACTAAGTGCTGATATTTAACTCAGAGTTTTGGCAAGGCGGCTCTGGGGATTTGGCACCCAAGGCTCTGAAATATCAATATATGTTCGGAGACTGTGGTGAGTGACAAGGATCTCATTCAGGCAATAAAGGGGCAATCAAATTAAGTTACCAGCTAGGAAAGGAAACTGACCTTGAACAAAGGGCGAGAGTGCAACCTGGGGCAGAGCTGTTTCCAGGAGTTGGCCACTGCTCCTGCTTGCAGGTAATAGAGAATGGGGCAATGCTCTTCAACCCGTTAATCCCCAAACTTGCATGAGTGAGAGTCACCTGGTGTACTCATTAAAATTACAGGTACAGGTTGCTGGGCCCCACTCCAGACCCACTGAATTAGAATCTCTGACACAGGGCATGGGAATCTACACTTTTAAAACTAGTGCCCTGGATGCTTCCTGTGTTGATAAACCTGTGGAAATTACTGGCTAGAACACCAATACTTTCCTTATTGGATCCTCTGGTATACTATCTGGCCTTGGGCAAATTTTCCCTTCTCCAAACTTTCATTTCTATATCTGTAAAATAGGGATAGGGACCGCTGCCTCTCAAGGATATATTGTATTTGAGGAAGAAATAAAATGAGTAAGTCGGGGTGCAGACAGCACCTGGCACTTAGGAGATGTGCAGTGCATGTGAATCCTGCCCTTGTAGGTGTGAAGAGGCCACTGTCTTCCACATCAGGCCCCCAAAGATGCCTTAAATTTCTCTTTCTGCTTTCAAATTTTTGGCCCAGAGATACTGAGCATCAGCCTCAAATGCTCCTGCCCATCAGGGAGGATTACTGGGGTGAGGGGGTTGGGAGCTGTGCCCTTTCTGTGGAACCAGTACCACAGGACTCCAGAGCCCTCAGTGGCAGCAGGATATCATGACGGTTTCTTTGGGAAGCTCTGCCAGGAAAAGCCAGGGTCGAGTTAACCTCCCAAGTCCTTGATGGAATCAGCCCAGGCTGATGACTAATCTTCTAGGTTTCTTCTCCCCACTCCTGGCTCCTGCCAGGTCTCTTAACAATCCCAAAACAGTAGACCCGGTCCAGGGACAGGGGCTCTCAGCTCAGAGTAAGGCCTTGAGGGATGCGTTACCTCACTCTTGGCTCAAGTCTGCCAAGAGATAGGATTAACTGGGGAGTGGGGGAGGGCCTGGCAGTCAAGAGACCTGAGTGAGGAGACAACAGGCCAGAGACAGTGTGTGATAGGCTGAACTGTGTCCTCTCCAAATTCATATGTGGAAGTCCTAACCTCCATTATCTCAGAATGTGGCTGTATGAGGAGACAGGGCTTTTAAAGAGGTAGCAAGGTAAAATGAGGTCATAATTAAGTTAAAATGAGGTCATGAGGCTGGGTCCTAATCCAGTATGACTGGTGTCCTTGTAAGAAAAGGAGATTAGGACACAGACTTGTGTGAGCACAGAGGAGTGGCCATGTGAGGACAGGGGAAAGATGGCCATTACAAGCCAAGGGCTGAGGCCCAGAAGAAACAGCCCTGCCAATACCTTCATCTCAGATTTCTGGTCTTCAGAACTGTGAGAAAAGAAATTCCTGTTGTTGAAGCCATGCAGTGTGTGTATTTGTTATGCAGACCAAAGTCATACAGAGGGCCAGGGACTTAGGCTTTCATGCTGGACTCTTTTCCCTGGCTCTCTGGCTTGGATTTTGGGAAAAGACTCCCTCAGTTTTCTCATCGGTAAAAGAGGAAAACAATATTGCTTACAGGTTAACAGCACATCTCTTTTTTTTTTTTTTTTGAGACAGGGTCTCACTCTGTCACCCAGGCTAGAGTGCAGAGGCATGATCATGGCTCACTGCAGCCTCAACCTCCTGAGCTCAAGCAGTCCTCCTGCTTCAACCTCCTGAGTAGCTGGGAATACACCTGGCTAATTTTTAAAATTCCTTGTAGGGAGGGGCCTTGCTATGTTTCCCAGGCTGGTCTCAAACTCCTGGGCTCAAGCAATCTGCCTGTCTTGGCCTCCCAAAATGCTGGGACTACAGGTATGAGCCACAGCGCTCAGCCAACATAGGGAAATCTCAGAGGAGATAATACTATAGGTATGGCCTGGTATACAATAAATGCATGATACATGTAATCTCCCTTCCCTGTTTAATCGTGTCAAGTTTGGCCAGCCCTGTAAGCACTCTGAAAACCTCAGTTTTATCACATAGGATATGAGGATCACAACCCTTGTCTGCCTCATTTAATGGAGCTGGTGGGAAACCCAGTGAGATAACATAAGGGACAAGGTTTGAGAAAATATAAAGTACTTTATGGATGAGAGAAACCATGGCATCCAGGAAAAGCAGGATGTCACCTTCCCCAAGAGATGCTTTAAAATTGAGAAGTATAGAACACTAAAAAGAACAGTGGGTTTAGACACAGGCTTTGGGTCCAAGTCATAGCTCTGCCATTTCTGTGAAATTTTAGACACCTCACTCAACTTCAGTTTCCTGCCTACAAAACAGGGATGATGACAGCTGTGATGGAAGATGCTAATACTTTGCATTCAAATGTCCACCAAGTCCCAGGTGGTTCTGCGGACTTGTCCAACTCAAGAAGTTTTCCCTCCTGCCCCCAACAGCATCATGCTAAGGCAATGTCTGAGGAACCACTCCAGCTCCGGAGAGAAACTCTACTTCTTTCCATTCAGAATCCCATTCTGATACTCACATCGGGGGCTTCTAAAATCCTAACATAGAAGACCTTGGCATTGGCCTTCCTCAGCTTTCAACTGGACTGACAGAGCCCAGCCTTCTGCCACTCCACATGTGCAGTCCACACAGAGTCTCATTCTAAATCACAGTTGACCTCTAGCTTCTACCCGCCATCCATCATGACTCAGAATCAGGATGAGGGAGAGTATTTGGGATGAGGCAAAACCACCACAAAAAGCGTGTTCAAAAAAAATCTCTTTCCAGCAACTTGTATTCATGGGAGGTTGTGTGTAAGGCTGGGCCTCAAAGAGGGTCTGAGTAGAGGGGTGGATTTGCTGTCCTCAAGGGACTTCCTAATTCTAGGTCGTCTGGCTCCATTAACAAGCAAAAACATTAAGTTGTCAGGACTTGAACCACTGATCAGAAGGTGAGGTCAGAGCTTATTGATGAGCCATGGAGCATTAGCTCTGTAATTACCTACCAGTCAACAGCTGACTTGTCAAAACCACACTGAATGTAATTACTTTCCACTTTGCTAGACTGGAGAATGAATGAGGAAGACGGCCTAAGTCATCCTTCCAGTTTTGAGGCAACATTTTGAAAATCTAATAAGAAAGCACTCCTTGGCAGTCATATGGCATTCTAAAAATGTCCTGGAAAATGTGCCCAGAGAAACATTATTTCTCTGGCTCTGCAGGCATTCAGAATCTGGCTGCCTAGGCCACTGCGTATACAGTCCCAGAGACCCAGGCTTCACATCCCAGAAGGAATTGGGAAGAGATGAGGGATTTTCCTTTCCATGCCCAAGGGCTATCACTATGACTACAGTTAAAGACTCATGGGTGTGTCTATTCTGTGCTGAGCATCACAAAGTGCTCTCAGTCTTCACTGAAGTCAAACGGATTGGCTCCTTCTCTTAAGCCAAGTCTGTGAAGCCCTGGACAGTGGTGAAGAGAAAGCTTGCCAAAGAGGTCTATGTTAGTGAATAGTCCAAAGAAGAAGGGAGAGAAGGGGAAAGCAAAGCAGAAGCAGAGAGAATCCAAACATTCTCTGTCTTCAGCCCCCGCCAGAGCACTAACGTAGTCATAGGCTGAGTTCTGACCCCAGACTCAGCTGACACCAGGGCTAACCTTTGACTGGGCTATTCAACTAAGCTTTGCCTCAATTGTGGTTTGGAATGTGACTGGTAGTATGAGGATCAATTAGAGTTCAGGGAAGAACCCTGCTTATTTGGCCGTCCACTTGGAAGCCCGGAAGAAGGAGTCAGCAGGTACCTTAATTCAAGTGCCACTTATGCCTAACATTGTGAAAAGGCAACATGCATCTAACAGTTTAAAGAGGGTGGCCTAAAAGGCATCAGACACCAGGGTTAATCCAAAAATAAAAACTTTTTTTTTTCTTTATAGAATGCCAATCAGAAAACAAACTTTGAGATCCTTATCCATTAAAAATAAGGAAAAGAGAGAATCCAAGGAAAACTACTTTGGTGCTAGACTATAGGAAATCTAACTAGGGCAGAATCAATCTAGACTTCCTACAAAATGTTCTGTATAAAGCACCTTGCTGTGGTGGAAAGAAACAGGTAATCAGAGGGCCCAGTTCAATTCCTGCCTTCACTTCTCAGGCCTGAGAAAACACTGTGCAGGAGGAGCTCTGAAGGCAAATGACTCCTGAGGCAGGGCAGGTGAGTAAAGGACTGGAGCAGACACTCTGGAGATATAGGCTGAGGCAGAGACATGGTGCATGGTGCACACGGCCTGTCTGGAGGGGCCAGCCCTCCTCAGCAACTGCCAGGAACTGTCTGGTAGGAATGAGGCCCCAAGTTCCACGATCCTTTCATAGAATTTTTCAAATTTGAATCAGTCAAATGAGACCTTGACTTCTATATAAAATCTCTAATTTCTAAGTATTGGAAACTAACTTTTTAAATTAAAAAATAATGTCCATGGGGCTAATACATTTTTATTGTAAGCCATGGAGCCTTAAACATCTTACAGAGATGTTTTACTATCTCATTGTGTCAGTATAATTCATTCTTTAGGTCTCACTTGTCCCTTCTTAGGAATTAGACGAGAAGACTTCTCTTCAGCCTTCTGCCTGTGCCATTCCAGGAGTCATGACCCCCCCATAGCCATCATCTCAGGAAGCCTTGTCAGAACAAGATGCCTTGGGCTCCATGTGGGCAGGCGGGTTAATCTTCCACCCCTCCATATCACCAGGAGTGGAAAACTGACAGTACTTACTCCTAGCTGTGCAGCCTTTGAAAAATTAGAGTCTATTGCTGCATCTTTGAAAAAAGACATAGAAATGCTACCTTGAAGGACTCTTATGAGCATTACAAGGAGATGGCATATGAAGAACTAGCCCACGGCCTGGCATATGGGAAACTCTTAGTAAATGGTGTCTCCTTTCTTCACCTAGGAAGTAGGGGTGCAAGCAGGAAAATGAAAACTGAATTACCAAAATAATTAAATAAAATCTACCTCCCATGAAGTCAGAGCCAGTATCTCTTGATCACCAGCCTTAAGCTCTGGATCATGATGGCAATAGTCACAACTAAAATTGTTGTGGAGCAGCATCTTAGAATCTACTAAGCTCTGTCATGCATCATTTGCCTTTCACAAAAGCCCTCTGAGTTAGGCTTGTTGTTGCCCCCATTTTAGAGATGAGAAAACTGAGGCTCAGTATGGTCAATTGACTTTTATGTAACTGTTTCATTGAATCCCCTCCAAATCCCTATGAGATAGCCATTGTCATCCCCATTTTACAGATGACAAAACTGAGCATCAGAAAGGGGAAGTCACTCAGCTTGTTAATAACACAGCCAGGATCTACTGGTCCTTCATATCTTAGCTTAGTTATTACCGCCTCCAGGAAGACTTACCCACAGTCTCCTTGCCCTCACCTTGGTTAGGTGCCCTGCCTCTGAATCCCCACAGTCCACGCATGGCTTACTTCCTCTGCTGAAGCAAGTTCACATCAAATTGTTAATGAACTCTTTACCTCCCTCTCTAGATGGATGCTCTTTGCACTTTGTCTTGCTCAAGTTTGTTTAGAGCAGTGCCTGGCACATAGCAGCAGGTAAGGAAAATGTGCTGAATAAATGCCTAAGATTAGGACTCCCACCTCTGGCTTACCCATTATATCGTTCAGCACACAGCGCAATGCTTTGAACATAGAAAGTGTTCAATGAGAATGTGTTGAACGAGTAGAAAGATAACAGAAAGGAAGACAGGAGGAAGAAAAGAAGAAACAAGAGAAAAAAGGGACTAAGGAATACAAGAAGGACAGGCAGGTCTAGCTCTTTCTACCCAGCCAGGGCCCCCAAGGAGCTGTGACACACGGTGGGGACTTTCGGCCATGCACAGTTTGGTGGACATGGCCTCTAGAAGTCCTGAGATCTGCCATGGATCAGTTGCTTGATCTTGGTGAAGTCACGTCCTCGCTCTAAGCCTCAGTGTCCTCATCTAGCCACACAGTGTAGGATTCAACTCAGCAACCTCTGAGGGCCTAGTCAGTGCCCAGACTCTGCCCCAAGGCCATCCTGAGTGACTCTGGAGATACTTCCACAAGGATTGGGGGTCGCCCTTTGCCTGTCTGCATTGACAGGCCCCTGGGTGTGTGTATATGTGTTAGGGCTCACACCAGGCTTAGCTGTCTGGTCAGTACCAGGTAATACTTGCAGGCAGGAACAGTGAAACTCATAGGGAGGGGGGACCAACACAGAGGGGCAGGGGGTGGGGCAGCGGGGCAGTCAGGTAAAGGACAGACAGGCAGGGAGACACTCATGAAGTCAGAGACAGACAAACAGCGGCAGATGAAGCACAAGAAGAGAACCAGACCAATGTGGAGAAGGTGAGAGACAGCGCCGCAGGCACACAGAGAGCAAGGGAAAGAGAAGAGGAGGGGGCAAAGAGAAAGGGCTGGGAGGCAAGGCCAGGGGAGCTGCCAACCACTGGCATCAATTAAAAAGTTAAATGGGTATCCAGAGACTGTGAGGCTTGGGACAGAGCAGGGCTGCTTAATGGAGAGGAGAGGCGGTGGAGAAAAGGCCCCGGTGGGCCGCGGGTGGGCGGGTGCTCTTGCTAGCAGGTGATGAGTCTGTGCTGCGGCACCCCCACAGGCTGACGCAGGGAGGCCCTGTGCTCACACTTTCCTTCACCTCTCAGAGAAATCGTGGAGGCAGGGAGCGAGGGGAGAGGCCATCCATGCAAATGAAATGTTCTGGTCTGGTGATCTCAGATGGGGCTGACCAGGCTATTGTGGAAAAACTCCACAGACCAGGCTGGAAACCCAGATCTGCTGACCAGCAGCTGTATGACCTTGAGGCTACTTCCTGACCTCTCTGAGCCTCACTGTCCTCCTGTGAAATAGGGGCATTCGTGTGATCTGCTGCCTCAGTGCTCACAGAGTTTCCAGTGATTACACAGGGTGGTCTGTGGCAGGCCCTGGACCAGCACCCTCGGCTGGCACTCCTGCCTTCAGGTCCTGCTCCTGCAGACCTATCCGCAGGTCTGGCAGGCTTCCCTGAAGTTTCTGCTCAAGCATCAGCTTGCAGAGAGCCGTCCCTGGCCACCCTTGACAGAACAGCTGCTCCTCCTCCAGCTACTTCCTTTGTTGTCTTTTCTCCATAGCACTCATTACCCCCTGATGTGTATATATTTATTTTCTTTTCCTTCACTAGAATATAGGCTTTAGAAAGATGTAACTGTCATTTTATTTACTGCTGTATCCCCCAAACCTAGAACAGTAGGTATTAAATATTTGTGGAAGGAAGCAAGGAAGAAGGAAGGGAGGGATGAAGGGAGAGAAGGAGGGAGGAAGAGAAGGAAGGAGGCAGGAAGGAGACATTTATGCCACTGCATTCACAGGGTCCCTCAGTGGATCGTGAGAAACTAAACATGTTGGAAAAGATGATGGAGTTGAGGACCTCTCACTCCACTCAGTCTGGGCTGGTCCTCCTAGTGGGTGGGACCTAGAGCTCTCTCTATTCTCAGCCCTCCCTAAGCTTCCAGGGCGCTCCTCCTTCCTGCTTCCTCATCTCCATGCCTCCACCCTTGGTGCACCACCTGGGATCCAGAATGTATCCAACTGCTTCAGAATCCTGAAGATGTCTTGCCTGTCTTTAAGGCTTAACTCTTGTTCCATTTCATGCACCCATTTATTCAACAAAGACATTGCTGAGTGTTTGTTGCTGAGAAATGATACTATGATGTTATGCAGTCCTTGGCCTCTAGGGACCCAGACTCCCCCAGTATTAGAAGACAAGCCTCGTTCCCTTTGCTTACACTGCAGGAAAGGTCTGAACATTGCTGAGCCACTGCTAGCATCTTCACAGAAGATGACACAAAGAGCATTCCTGAGATTAAGGAAGGCCTCCCAGCTTTGGACCAAAAGCAAGCAAGGTCTTGTGGGTGGAAAATGGTTTGGTCAGAGAAACTCCACAGATCCAGGAAGAGCATTGCAAAGCTCTTTTTTTTTTTTTGAATTTAGAAATTCTAAAAAGGAGACACAAGAGGGAAGGGGAGCCTGTGGCCATCTGTGGGAAGAAGTGGGGGTGTCAGTTGCAGGGAGCAGGATCAGGATGAAAGTTTCTACTTTTGAGCCTCAGGCCCAGCTTGGCATCTATCAGGCAGTGGACATCTAGAACCCACTAGTATCTAGGACATTTAGGCAGGATCCCCATTCAGAAAGAAGATCCATTGTGGTGAAACCCCGTCTCTACTAAAAATACAAAACTTAGCTGGGCTGTGGTGGTGCACGTGTGCCTGCAATCCCAGCCACTCAGGAGGCTGAGGCAGGAGAACTGCTTAAACCCAAGAGATGGAGGTTGTGCCACTGAACTCAGCCTGGGTGACAGAGCGAGACCCGGTCTCAAAAAAAAAAAAAAAAAAAAGAAAAGAAAAGAAAAGAAACAAGATCCACTCCCTGTCATGGAGTCCTTATACTCAGAAAGCCCAGCAACATGTATTAACAGGAAAAGGACTGGGCCCAGACAGCTGCAACACAAGCCAGACAGTGAGGAGGCTGCATTATGGATGACGGTCACCTACCTACCTACCTACCTACCTACCTACCTTCCTTCCTTCCTTCCTTCCTTTCTTCTTTCCTTCCCTCCCTCCCTCCCTCCCTCCTTCCTTCCTTCTTTCCTCCCTTCCTCCTTCTGTCCTTCTTCCCTTCCTCCTTTGTTTCCTTCCTTTCTTTATTTTAACAAGTATTGCCCAGGCACTAGGGCTGGGGTAATCTTCAATGAAGAGGGTAGCCATCACTCACAGCAGCTGGGAAATGGGTATATCTGCCCATTAAAGGGAACTTATCACACCATGTTAGAAAGTTTTTTCATTATCCCGAAAGTACTGTGTGTGTTGGGATGAGATGGCCTGTGACTTGAGGGGTGAAGAGGCTAGTCAGATTTTAAAAAATAAAATTTAGCCAGGTGTGGTGGCATGTACCTGTAGTCCCAGCTACTTGAAAGGCTGAGGTGGGAGAATCACTTGAACGCAGGAGGCAGAGGTTGCAGTAAGCCGAGATTGTGTCACTGCACTCCAGCCTGGGCGACAGAGTGAGAGACCCTGTCTGAAAAGAAAAAGCAAAATCACTCCTGTTGTGGAGGAGAGGTGACACCTGGTCTGGAAGCCTCTGAGCCAACCCTCCTTCCTGAGTGGTTGCATGGGCTGCACTGTTATAACTCGTTATGGTTTTTGGGGGTCTCCCCACCACACCATCAGCACCTCGAGGTCAAGAGGGCAGCAAGTCTGTTCCTGCGCCATGGAGCCCATCACATGGCCCAGGCCTGGTTCTCAGAGTGTTTGCTAAATGAGTGATTGTATGCTAGTTGAATAAATGGAGAAAGTCAGGGCCCATCCAGGCCCCAGCCTTGAAGACTTGCATTAGTTTCACTGGACTGGAGGGTCATGAGCACCAAGTGTGTACTGAGCTGGAAGACCAAGTTTGAGTCATCAGTTCCTTTGATTCCCAGAACACCCTTTGATTTGGAGGATGGGGTGGGGGGCGCAGAGACTCTCAGTTTTATCATGTAATAGATGCAAAAATAAGGAGGCAACTTTCCCAAGGTTTTACATTAAACCAGGGGAAAGATTAGGATTCATTAATCCTAATCTGCCATCAGATGTCAGAGAAAGAAGGACCACTGGAGAACAAGTGTTCAAGCCCCTCCTTTTCCAGATGAGAAAACAGATTGCTAGAGAGGGGCTGAGTCCCACTAAGGGTCACACTGACATTAGTGGCAAGTCACATATAAGATGTTTTCACATATAAGATGTATTAACAGGAAAAGGACCTTTTCTACTTACGTCCTATTTTTCCATACAAAATAGGACGTAAGTAGAAAAGCCTCATTTGAACATAATCAATGTTGGAAATCTATCCTAGTCAGGTAGGAGAGTAAGCAAAGGGCTTAAAGCCAGACTTGGACCACCCAGCAGAAGAAATACACATGTCACAAAATGTACTAAGTGTGGCATCTCACATTTTCTAATAGCCCTCTTAAAAAAGTAAAAAGAAACAAGTGAAGTTAACTTTAATATATTTTATTTTAGGCCGGGCATGGCTCACGCCTGTAATCCCAGCACTTTGGGAAGCCGAGACGGGTGGATCACCTGAGGTCATGAGTTCAAGACCAGCCTGGCCAATATGGTGAAACCCCGTCTCTACTAAAAATACAAAAATTAGCCAGGTGTGGTGGTGCATGCCTGTAATCTCAGCTACTCCAGAGGCTGAGGCAGAAGAATCACTTTAACCTGGAGGTTGCAGTGAACTGAGATGGCGTCCCTGCATTCCAGCCTGGGCGACAGAGTGAGACTCCCTCTCAAAAAAAAAAAAAAAAAACACATATATGTGTGTATATATATATATTACATATATAGAAAATTTTACCAAATGTATCTAAAATATTTTAATATATAATCTATATTAAAATTTTTATTAGTGAGATAGTTATATTTTTTTATAAGCCTGAAATTCAGTTGTATATTTCACACATACAGCACATCTCAATTGGAAGAACCACATTTTAAGTGCACACACGGCTAGTGGCTGTGTATTGGACAGCATAGGATTAGAGTAATCAGGGAAGACTTTCAGGAGAAAGGAGTCCTGGAGGAAGGAAGAGTATTCAGAAAGGCAGAAAGGAGGCAGAAACCACGACAGATGGATGTAATGTCATGAGCGTTAAGAATGAGAATGTTCGCTCAGGGAGGTACTGGGCTGTCTGGAGTTGAGTCATGTGGGTGAGAAATTGGGGTTGGAGACCTCTGAGTATCTCCTCCCTTGTTCTACACAGTTCATTCCAACTGCCATGATCATTTGCATAACTCTATGGGGTAAAAAGCACCCTTACACTCACCATGCATTTATATCTTCACACCAGCCCTCTAAAATAGACCCAGAGCAGAAGACAGCTGCCCAGCCTCACATAGCTGTTAGTGCTGGAACCCAGCCTCCCTCCTCTCCCCTGCTCCTCTCAGAATACCAGCTCTGCCTAGAAGCCAAGGGCCAGAGGAATCTCTCATCTGAGCCCCACAAAAGCCCGTGCCTTCCACCTCTGTGCCTTTGCTTTGCCTTTTACTGGACCTACCTTCTCTCACCCTCCTTGTGGCCTGATCCTCCCGACTCTGCCCAACTTGGGTCTTTCTTCCTTTGGGAAACTCATTCCAACCCTTGTCATATCAGAATCCACACCATTTTTTTCTCTTCCATGCAATTCTACTAGGAAGAATCTGAAGTTTTATTGTAAAACAAGTTTCTAAAGATTTTTCTAATCAGGTTGTTACCTCCCTCCCATTCAAAGTCTAAGAGGGAGGAAGGAGAGAGGAAGTAGAGATACAGGGGGAAGGGTGTGAGAGACCCTTTACCAAGTCCCTGATGTGACAGCACAGAAGCAACTAATGGCATAGAGTGGTATTTTCAAAAAGAATGAAGCAAAATCTAGCCAGGAGTCCAGTTAATTACGAGCTCTAAAGAGGCACTGACAGCTTCCAGAACCAGTACTGGGGGCGGCACGCTGGGGAGCTTTGGAAGTCTGCCATGCCAGCCTCCCACTTGGACCTGCAGGTAATGCTGGGGAGTTGGAAAGGCTGTGCGCGCCTGTCTGTCGAGTCACCCACACAGAGAGCAATGCAGGAGGCGGAAAGAAGTCTGGGAGAGGAGCGTGGGCTGGCCACCCCCAACGGAACCATAAGGGGAGTAAACAGTCTGTTTGCAAACACAACTAGGACCCCTCTTCCCATCAAGGCAGAGCTGGATCCAAATCCTGATTCTATCCATGTGAGGACTGTGATATTCAGCAGGTCAGGGCTTCAGCTTCAGTCAGCTTGTCTATACAGGTGATCCAGGGGTGATCCAGGAAGTCAAAAGAGCTTGTGTTTGTTGTAGAGCTTGACACATTGCAGGTATCAGTTGTAGGCTAGTGACCACCTCTTTGGCTTTCTCTCTCCCTCCATCCTCTCACTCTCTCCTCTTCTTACACAGGGAAATGGATTAGGAGGGAATTATAATGCTCTCTGTAAGAAGCCCGCAATACCACCAATAGCAGCTGATACATATTGAGTGTTTACTCTCTGCCAGGCACTGTTGTAGTTTCTTACCTGGATTACTTCATATAATCTTCTGAATAACCCTATCCAGGAAGAGTAAGAACTCTTATTAACTGGCCCATGGTCACTGAGTTGGTAAAAGAAAGATGCAGGATTCAATCCTAGGTCACCTGGCTTTGCAGCTCCCACTGTTGATGTAGCCCACCAGAGATACCTACTCATTTCTTTGTATATTCAAAGCTCTTGGTTGCTTTCTTAAAGCGCTGATACTAATCCTTATCTGTTTGTCCTTGCTTAATCTCCTCAGCAAGTCCCCGGACCCTGGGCAGGGCTGGGTGTAGATTGAGTGCCCAGTGAGCATTGGCTGGGAAAGGGAGTGTATCTGAAGACTATTTGCACAGGAAAGATATTTAGTCCGATCTCACCATCAACATGACAGAGAGGAAGCCAGGCTAAACCAGAGGTTACATTTCTTGTCCCAGTTGCTTAACACGGTGGTGGATGAACAGAGAATTGCTCCCAGAGTCCTTGACCCATGGCTGACCTGCTTTCCCTGTCACAGAGCCCGTTTGGCCAGGTGGTCTCCGCGCTGACCTGTCGGCTGACTCCACAAAAGGAAATTTCACGGTGGCGTGTGTGCATGTAGACAGGTCAAGGCGTGCTTTCGTGCAAGGCAGCCTGGAATCAGCAGGAAGCTCTCCTGAACTCATCCCTGTGCCTTGCCAGATGGGCACTCTGCTGGGCAGGTCACTGCACCCACACTGTTCAACTTCTTCACAAGACCGCTGGCCAAAAGGAAGGATCCAAGAACAAGCCTGGTGACATCCATTTCTCGGTCACTTCACAGAACAGCCGTGGACCCCAAAACATAAAACCCCTTTCTAAGTCTGCAGGAAACCTGGAAGGGCACTGACAGCCTTCCGTGACTGCAGGCTCTGCCCTGATGGAAAGTGGGAGGCAGCCTGGTGAAGTGAGCCCTCCTGCCGGGTACTGGGCAGGGCTCCAGGGGGCCACGGAATTGCGAGGATCTGGATCTGGCTTCTGAGTCTGACTTACCCTGACCTGCATGGGCTATACTCAACCAACCCCAGTCTCTGGACCCACAAGCCCTTCTTACGTTCCGCCTTTGTACCTGCTCTGTCCCCTGACCTGATTTTTTCCCTATTCAAAAAAAAAAAAAAAAAAAAAGCGGCAGAGCCTGTGGTTTGGGGTGTGGCAGCTCTCACTGGCACTGCTCTCCTGGACTCTTGATATACTAACACATGTACAGGCAGTTGTCCTCCTAGTCCTGGTGCACAAACGAGCGTACCTCACCCCTTAGGAATCCTACAGCAGCAGAGAAACGGTGGTGGGTAGGAAAGGATGGGTGAGGATTGAGAGAGAGGATATGAATATCTGTATCTGACTATCACTGGAGATGCAGAACTACTGACAATGTTTTAAAAAAAGCATCATGGATTTAGATGCCAAGTTCACTACTTGCTAGGTGTGTGTGTAATTTAACTTCTTTAGCTATGTGTGCAAATTAACTTCTTTAAAGTATTGCCGTTCTTGATCACAAAATGGGGATAATCATCCTATCTTCCTCATAAGACTGGAAGAAATAAGATGAGATGCTGTATGCAATCCTGGTACTTTGCACAGTGCCCACCACAAAGTCAGCCCATGGTGACTGGGGGCTCTAGTTTCCTGCAATGGTCCTTTCATGTTTCTGAGACTAACAGTTTTCCTCTAGGAGCAAGGAGAATTGCTTCCTCTTTCCCTAATATCATGCTTAGGCATTCATTCATCCATTTATCCTACCAATATCCATCAGCTTCCACTCTGTGCCAGGCCCTGGGCCAGGCATTAGGGGTCCAGAGGATGATAAGACACCATCTAGCAAGACCCCTTGAAACTTTCCTGACTCTCCTCTTCTGACTCAGCTGCCCGACCCCCAATAACCCCCTCTAGCAAATGAAAGTCATTTTTTGAATTCCCACAGCAGCCTCTTGCACACACCTCTGTACAGCCCTCATCCCACCATTTTATAATCACCAATGTGCCTTTCTGTCTCTTGACCACATTAATTTAAATAAATCTCACTTGGTTATTCTAACCTCTCTCCAGTTACACTCCTCCCCACCCTACTGGCTCTTTTCTGTTCAAGGATTACACTATGGAAGATTCAAGAGCACGAGATTCTGTTTTTCTCAGAGTCCATGACTGTGTCACTCAGAGAATATAGGACTCTGTGACGGGGCTTTACCAAGATTCTAAACTTCAGGTTCCTGACTGGGAGAAAGTCCCCTGCTGGAAGGTGTCTGCTTCAATTCCCCTGCATTTGCAGAGACACACAGAGCCCTGAGAGCCTTCCAGTTCCTAGTTCCCCAGCTGGTGAAAGATGCCCACATCAGACTAATCACCTTCTAAACAAATGGCACAGTGACAAGCAGGGTTGGGGGAGAGCTGGGGCCGCACAAGCTGATGTTTTCAATTTAGAGGCCATGCATTATTTACACTGCCATTATTCCCCTCAATTTGACTTCACGCTTTAGCCCTAATTTCAGTATAATCAAAGCCAATGAATATTTAATCAGGATTGCTTCCAGAAATTGAGTAATGCCATTAACACAATGGCCTCAGGACTTCAAAGCTGCTTTCCTTCAAATGCATCTGACTTACACCTTTCCCCACCCCCTCCCCTTTAACCAGTTCTATTTCGGAATGGAAGGGAGTTTGGGACAGCGGACCGGCCCGTTACAGCTTTGCACAGATGTCAGAAAGGTGGCTGGTACAGGGGAGCAGTGCTGGAATGGGAGTTTGAACACTGGCCTCAGTGAGAGGGACTCAGAGGAGGACAGCTAAATTCTGTGGGTGGACCCATTTTAAGGCACCCCCATTTATGAAAATACCAAACTTTAAGCCACATCCCCAAGGTGCTGCAAAGACAGACTTTTAGTTTCTAAGCACAGCCAGGTTTGGTAAGTACTAGCCTAGACCACCACCAACCCCTAAACCTCCTACACCCCCATCCCCACTCTTCACCAAGAGTGGACTCCACTTGACCCACTGGCCTGCATGGCCAGGGAGTTCAGCGCCACCTGGATTCATCTTTAAACATCTCTGGTTGAAGGGCCTTCTCATTAGGAGCAGAAGCCCGCCTTCTAATGCTACAGGCTGTCTGCGCTGGCCCTGACCCTGTCCTGGCCCCACAGAGCCAGGGTGCTTCTTCTGTCCCAGGACAGCTGGGAAAGGAGGTATTCGAAATATTAGAGATATTTTATCTCTCTCTGTGTCCTCTCCCTCAATTAGCCAGCTGCCAGGTGCCCAGCTAGGGTCTGTGGGGGATGCACACACATCTGAACCTGCCTCCACTTACCCCCAAGAGGCCACGTGAGCAATCAGGTGATCGCACAGATTTTTCCAAAGCACTATTACACTTGTCACTCACGTTGAGCTTGGAAGGATCCACATCATCGAGCTGGTGACCTTCCCAAGGTCACTCAGCCAGGTGGCTCTAGGACCTGGAAGGATCTATGGGTGTTAGATGTTAAAACTAGGAGCTTTCTTAGGACCTTTAGGTCAACCTTACCATACAAAAAGGGAAATGAGGCCCAAGGTCATACCTGGACAGTGGGAGGATAGGGCTTCAAATACAGTTATTGGGGCCTTAGATTCCTTGCCTGATGTCTTTTCCTTTATAAAACCACCCCCACCACTACTACCACCACCTGTGGTCACCAATGCAGGAAGAAATACCCAACTGCTTGCTCACTTGAAAAGCGGGACACAGGACTGAGGAGATGCAAATATTTCCAGGAGGGGCTTCACTCAGCATCTGTTGGGAGATCAGGCATCACCGGAGTGAGAAAGTGAGAGAGTTGAGGAGTTTATAGAAATTACAGCAATGTGGCCTACAGAGATAGCTTGGTCTGTAGTGAAAATGAGAGGTAGTTGTGCTTCAAACACGCAGAATCAAGGGTAGCCCTTGAAATATCTTAGCCACCTCCCGGTGTCCCTGACTTCCTTCTCCGTGGCCCCTCCTCCCTGAGGAAGCCCTTGCTGACACCCTTTGCACTGGTGGGTGTCCCTCACCTCACTCCCACAGCTTGTGTGCTCACCTTCTCCCCCTCTATTGCCTACTGCATGCACCCAGGCCTCCCTCCCTAGACTGCAGACTCTTTGAGGGCAGGGGTGAGGCTGACATGTTTCTATATCTGGGTAATATTCTGTAGCTGTCACCAACTCAGCCCCTGCCAGTAGAGGATTCAGCTGCTCTTCACCAAGCAAGACAGAAGGTTGTCTAAGCTTTACTATTCTGAAGGGCCAGGGAGCTTACCACGGCCCGGGTTCATCTTTGGACATCACCAAAGCACCACCTGGTTCATTAGGAGAGGAAGGAATGAAAATGCCCCGTGCTGCCACCTGCTGGTGACTTCCAGCATGGCGCCCTGAGAATCCACTTTGTTCTTTCTACAGAAAGGCTAGGGAAAGGAAGGGATGTTTATGGAGCCCCTGCCAGGTGCCAGTGCTCTACTCTCTAGGTCTCACTTAATCTAGATAACAATTCTGAAGGGCAGGCATTATCTTTCCCATTTTACAGATAGGTAAAGTGAGGCTGAGAGAAGTGTGGTAATACAATGGTAAGTAGGAAGCAAAGATGAGACTTGGGTCCCCATCTACTGACTTCTGGTCCAGTGATTTTTCCAGTGCTTCAAAAACTAATCCAGATGAATGGATCTATAGCTGAGAGATTTCAGTACTGACCAGAAAGATAGAAATAGCATTACGGGTTTCTAGCAACTTCCTTGGTATCCCTGAAATCACACTATGTAACCATTCACCTACTCCATTAATTCTGGCCCTTGAGACATACCCAGAATAAAGATACAGAAAGAATGGTGACAGAAACCTCTCTAGATCTGGAGCCTGAAATCACTTAAAGAAGTTTGGGCAAATGTCCTGACACCTGGGTTGATGCAAGAGGCTAACTTCCTGGTGGTTTATGGAAAAGGTGGCTGAATATTTGAGAAAAAAACGTTATATGCAGCTTCTGAGCCTCAGCCACCCAGCCTGACTCTGGTCACAACTGGATCCCTCAGCCGGATTCCAGACCAAACCCCAAGGCCAGTTACCAAATGACTACTGTCACGGAATGACTCCTAAGGCTGGGCCATGGCTGGACTGAGCCTGGAATAGCCCAGGCTCTGGACTGTGTTCTCCCTCCACTGTACCCAGGCCATGGTGACCCTCCACTCTGGGAAATCTGCCTCCATACACACAGCTAAGCCTTGGTTTGGGGGTGACCTCAGCTAGGCCATGGGCACTGAGGATGGTTACCAGGCTTGGGGCCAGTCCAAGAAAAGATCAGTGGGATGCAGGGTGCAGGGAAGCATAGAGAAGCAGCAAAGAGGCTGGAGTGGACAGGGAAAGGTGGTGATAAACCAGAGCATGGGCCTGGCAGGGAGATGAGAAGAGGAAGGTCACTACGGTACAGTGGGAGAGAAGCCCAATAGCTCAGAGCCTTCAAAGACCTCCTTACCCAACACCAACATTTTGACTCAAAGAAAAAGGAAACTGCCAAGGCCACCTGAGATGTTGGTGGCCGAGACCAGATCAGAACCAAGTGCCTTTTGTCCTCATCCTGAGCTCCTCCACTGCTCACATGGGGAGCTGGATCACTGTGATGTTTCTGTCCTTTAGTCCTGCCCAGCTCACAGCAGCCCTGTGTACTTGTGGGCCACAGATTCTTATCTCCATTTGATGAATTGGGAGACCAAGGCTCATACAGGAGACAAACCTTGCCCAAGAAGAGGGCATGAAACTGAGCAGTGTCTCCTGGCCTCAAGTCCCACCTACTATGTGCCCAGCATTGGGACAGGTACGTTACATGTACACCATCATTTCATTTTCACAACACCCTGGCGAGGTAATGCTGTTGTCCTATTTTATAGATGAGAATGCTAAGGCCCAGAGAAGTTAAATAACTGGTCACAGAGCAAAAAAATAGGAAGGAGAGCAGTGTTTAAACCTAGGTCCAGCTGATCCCAAACTGCTAGCTGCCCTTAGAAGCTGGAATCACCTCCCCACATCTTTAAAACAATTTAACTCTCATTGGTGCTAGTAGGTTGGGGATCCTCTGTGGACCATATATTTCTCTAGCTGCATCTCTACATCCAAAGATTTTCCTGGTCTCTCATGCCTGCCTCTAGGAGGAGGACATCCATAATTCTGGTCCTACAGCCAGACATTGTCCCAGCATGTGGGGCTCAGCTTTCATTTCTATCCTGTCTCAGGGGGAGCTCTGCATAGGACCCAGGCTTTGGAGTCAGGCAGCAAGGGTTTGCCTACTGGCTAGGTTGCTTAATGCTCTGTGGTCTTAGGCATGATACAGACCCTTTTAGCCCCTGAGTTTTGTTCTCTGTAAAATAGGGACAATAATGCCTACTTTGTGGCGATGCTGTAAGAATATAAAATTCTTGGCACATAGTAGGCACTCAATTAATTATCGTTTGAATATTATCATTTTTACATTTATGTCTGTGTCTTTCTCTGTACAAGATACTGTTTGCTGTCATGCCCATATTCCATCAGCCCACCTCATGCAACCTGATGTTCAACTACCAGCATCTGTACCTGATGCCTCTCTCTGGCCATTGGAATCCACTCTGTCCATATACATGGCAAGACAAAGGTGCCAAAGAATTTACACCTTCTTCCCCAATCCAACAGCTCTCAATCAATGACTGATGAGAATTTGTGAATAAATTACCCTGGCTCTCTTACCTTTTGTTGGGGATAATTGCAAGGCATATTCTACACTGTCTCCCAGAGTGAGCAGCATTGAACCTCAGTTGTCCACAAAGGGTGAAGTTTTCAGTAACTTACCCTTGATTGGCTTCCTTCCCGTTTCTATCTTATTTCCCATTTCCTCCTGGTTTTTCTCATTTTCCAAAAAAATTACTTGCATTCAGGGTCTTGTCTCAGGGTCTGCTCTGGGATAACCCAAACCATGCACTCTCATGATACTATTTTTATTTTATATACATACATACATATACATATATAAATATACATTATATATATATATTTAGAGACAGAGTCTCACTACGTTGCTCAGGCTGGTCTCAAACTCAAACTCCTTGGATCAAGCAATTCACCTGCCTTGGCCTCCCAAAGTGCTGGGATCATAGGCATGAGCCACTGCACCCGGATGTTAATGACACTATTAACTCCTCTGTGCCCCTTTCCCTTCCCCTTGCCTCCACCTAGAAGGTGCCCAGCAGATAATTTCACACACAATAGAGTCTATCAAATGCCTGCACATTGCTCATAGGTTCCCTCCATTTTGGCTCCCAGGAATCCAGCTATTTGGGGCAATGTCTGTAGGGCAGTTCCTGAAGCTGGAGCAAGTTATCCAGCACATCCAGGCTCCCTCTGACAGTATCCTGTCCATGATGCTCCTTGTGCTCTTCTTCCAGGATGGTTAGCAAGGAGAGGGCTGCACAGCACAATTGAAATGCACAGCATTTGCATGGAGCATGGGGCTTTGTTCTGACAGCAAACAAGGGAAGTCTGCCATATGTGGAGGCTCAGCTATCAAGGGCTTCACTTAAGAGGAAATTAGCCTCAACATTCAGAGGAGGGAAATGTAAAATGATGTCCCCTTCTGAGAAAGGCAGTGTGTGGACCTGACAGGTAGGAGGGCATGTGTGGTCTCAACTGGCTGCCACACTATCTGCATGTCCCTCTGCTGTGTTCCAAGATTATTTCAGCATCCCAAGTGCAGGGCCATCTCTTATCTACCCACAAAAGAGCCAAGAAGGAAAGGAAGGGAGCTAAGAAGTTTTGATCACCCACCATGTGCCACAGACCTCATATACACTACCTCATCTAATCCCCAGAAAAGTCAGCAAGTCTGTAATTATTATCCCATTTATACAAGGCAGGAAACTGAGTCTCAGGGAGGTGATGAATACTGTCCATGGCAGGTCTTGCAGTAAATGGAGGAGTCAGGCTTCAAAGCCAGGTTTGTCTGACTCCACTATCTTTGTTCTTTCCCTTCTCCTCCCACCCCAACGAGAACACAGTGCCAGTGAAAGGGCTTGTAGCATCAGAGATAAGCTGAGATCAAAACTCTTGGCTGAAGTGCAGCGTGAACATTCTGGGGGATTTTTCTGTTTGCACTAATGCCCAAGCCCAGGAGTGGTGGGAAAGAGCCTTTGGTCCATCTCCCCATGACCCTCTGGCCACACCTGCATCTTTGCTCAAGCTGCCTCCTGCTTGGGATGCTCCTCCTCAGTCCCTCCCCTTTAAGAGCCAGCCTTAGTCTTCCAGGAAGCCTTCTCCTGCCCCTTCAGACCTCTCTTGCTTCTCTTTTCATCCACACATTCAGACCTGGGAAGAGGCAGCTGATCCAGGAGAACACCCACCCTGTGGGGTGGGGACACTGCTTCCTGGTCCTATCTGTGACTCTGTGTGACCATAGGCAGGTGTCTGCCTCATTTTGGTTCTCAGTTTCTTCATCTATAAACTGGGAAGAATAATACATGTTCTACCTAATACCAGATTGGCTTTTTTTTCTTTTTCTTTTCCTTTTTTTTTCTTTTCTTTTTTAGAGATAGATCTCATTGTATTTCCCAGGCTGGAGTGCAGTGGCTGTTCACAGGTGCCATCATGGCGCACTGCAGCCTCAGCCTCTGAGTAACTGGAGCTACAGGCACACACAGCCACATCCAACCCAGGTTGTTTTTAGCATCAAGTTAGATAATAGACATTAAAATGCTTTAAAATTGTTAATGTATAATACACTGGATGATGATTAACAGCACTGGGTGATGATTAATAACTTGATTCATACTGAGGGTGTGTTTTGTGCATTCACCAAATAGTTTTTGAGCACCCACCGGATGCCAGTTCCTTTGTTGGGTTTTATTGTTGAATAAAACAATAAAAATCCATAATTCTGAACTCTCAGTCTACTAGAGGAAATAGACATAAATGAATGAATGAATGAGTTAATGAACGAATGAAGCACATAAAATTACCCTTCATTGAATGTTATACTATTGGTATAGTAGCTGACTAGTAATATTTAACATGGCATCTCCCATCTTTCCATTAAAAATTTCATGAAGACATAAAATAACACAAAATGACAATAGTCATATGAATTGTCTAATTTGGGGGTGGGTAATTTCAGCACTCCACCTCTGACTATTCACCCCCATGCCAAACTGTGTGAAAACACTTTACTTCCTGCATGTCCTGTCCCTAAACCTTGGATGCATTGAGCAGGAAAGCAGGAGTCCACCGGTTTAGACGACCCGCCTTCTGCTTTCTGAGCCAGCCAGAGCCTGAGTCCTGCACTGCCCTCCCTCTCCCTGGCCCTATGTTCCCCTCTTCTTCTTCTTTGTTTTTTTTTGTTTTGTTTTGTTTTTTGTTTTTTGAGTCAGTCTTGCTCTGTTGCCCAGGCTGGAGTGCAATGACACGATCTCTGCTCACTGCAACCTCCACCTCCCAGGCTCAAGCAATTCTCCTGCCTCAGCCTCCCAAGTAGCTGGGATTACAGGTGCCCACAACTACGCCTAGCTAATTTTTATATTTTTAGTAAAGACAAGGTTCCACCATGTTGGCCATGCTGGTCTCGAACTCCTGACCTCAAATGAACCAACCGCCTTGGCCTCCCAAGCAAAAACCTGGGATTACAGGCATGAGCCACCGTGCCTGGCCTCTTCTTTTTTAACATTCACTCAGAAATGGCAACTCTAAGCATGCAGCACAACAGGAAGTAGGGGATAGGCTGGCATCCAGGAACACCTGGACACTTAAAGAAAAGCCTGGTAAACAGGGATGAAATAGAAAGTGCATTGGAGGTAGTGCATGCTGCAGGGAAGGAGGGTCTTTTAGGTACTATTCTGGGCAAGGAGGAAGTACAAATTGCATTTGATTCCGTAGTCAGAAAATCTAGAAGTTGACCCTGGAGTAAAACCAACTTCAGGCAGGCAAAATCAGCCCACAAACAGAACTGGGGCAGGGCACCTTGACTTGAATTTCAGGTCTAAATCTGGAGATGCACATCCCACAGTGAGGGGTTAACAGTGCTTTACTTTTAAGCTTCCTTTTTGCAAATGCCAGGTCTGCAGAGACTCTGCTCTATTCAAAGATGATTAAGCAAAACAAAATAAAACCTCCAAGAAACAAAAAATGGGCCTTTAAAGAGATACACTACAGCAAAAAGGAAACATTGCCCTAAAAACTTAGAGAAAGAGAAAGTTGAAAGAAAATCGAGAATGCTTCAGAGACCATCTGCTTGGTGTTCTTCAAGAGATGCAAGAAGACTTGGCTTCTAAGAAGAGAAGGAAGGAGGATAAGATAAAGGCAGAGATGCAAAGGAAGCTGAAAGTAAGACAATACGGCAAGTCGGGACAAAATAAAATACCACATTAAAATTCCCATGGCAGTGAGAAAAAACAGAATTGACACTGCAGAAAACTGAAACAGTGATGAGGACAAATTTGAGCAATTCTCAACGAATGCAGAAAAAGAGGTCATAGATGAAGATAAGAAAGGAGATGATAGATACAAAAGAAAAGAATAAGTCTAGATTCGAATTATCAATATTCCTGGTAGGGATGGGGTATAAAATAAAAAAGAAAAGTGACAAATACATAATAGGGAAAAAGGACTTTCAGATACAAAGCAAGTATCTACTTGAGTCAAAAGCCGAAAAGAGATCAGTGTTCCAGGCAATGTTAATAATAATAACCAAAAAGACATAGTTAGCTAGATCTTGGCAAAATAAACCTCAAGGGTTATGTGAACACACAGGTAGGAAAACAGGTGGGCAATTAAGAAACAAAAACCCATCTCTGAATTTTCCTTAGCACTAGAATCAGAAAAAAAGAGTTATCAAGCATTGAAGGGGATATCAAGAAAAATAAAAACATATAAAATTCTATGTTGTATAAAGAGAAGTAAAAAATTATTGCTTTGTTGTTAACTGATAATTAGAGAAATATAGATACACACCCATGCATTGCTAAAGGATGGGGATATGTTCTGGGAAATGCCTCATTAGGCAATTGCATGGTTGTACGAACAGCACAGAGTGTACTTACACAAACCTAGATGGTATACACTACTATATACCTAAGCTGTATGGTGTACCTATGGCTCCTAGGCTATGAACCTGTACAGCATGGTACTGTACTGAGTACTACGGGAAATTGTAACTCAATGGAAAGTATTTATGTATCTAAGCATATCTACACTTGATCTTGCCAAAAGGCCAAAAAGTGATCTATCTAGACATGTTTAAACAGAAAAGGTACGGTAAAATATAGTATAAAGATTTAAAATTGTATACCTCTATAGGGCACTTACAGTATAAAACAGAGCTTGAAGAACTGGCGGTGGTGAGCGAATGTGAAGGCCTTGAACATTACTGTGCACGAGTGTAGACTTTAGAAACACTGTTCACTTAGGCTACAATCAATTTGTTAAAAATATTTTTCTTTTTCAATAATAAATTAACCTCAGTTTACTATGACTTTTTTACTTTATAAACTTTTAATTTTTTTAACTTTTTGACTCTTAATAACACTTAGCTTAAAATACAAACACATTGTACTCCTGTACAAAAATACTTTCTTTATATCCTTATTCTATAAGCTTTTTTCCATGTTTAAAATTGTTAAGTTTTTTTTACTCTTTAAACATTTTTGTTAAAAACTAAGACAGGAACACACACATTAGCCTAGGCCCACGCAAGGTCAGGATCAACAATATCACTGTCCTCTACCTCCACATCTTGTGACACGGGAAGGTCTTCAGGGGCAATAACAGGCATGGAGCTGTCATTTCCTATGATAACAATGCCTTCTGGAATACCTCCTGAAGGACCTGCCTGAGGGTGTTTTTATAGTTAACTTCTTTGTATAAGAAGGAGTATCCTCCAAAATAATAATTAAAAGTATAGTGTAGGAAGTACATAAGCCAATCCCACAGTCATTCATTATCATTATCAACTATGACGTCCTGCGCATGATTGTATGTGCTGTACTTTTATATGACCGGCAGCACAGTAGCTCTATTTACACCAGCATCACTGCAATCATGTGAGTAATGCTTTCTACTACAATATAGCAATGTCTGCGCTGTCACTAGGCGATGGGAATTTTTCAGCTCCATTATAATCTTATGGGACCACTGTTGTACACACAGTCCATCTTTGACCAAAACATCATTATGTGGCACACGACTATAACTGTATGTCACACATTTTAAAGCATGCATTAGGGAATGAATTTACAAAGAGTACTTTAAACTTCTATATTAATTTTAAAAATAAAAAACAGTTTATTAAAAAAATAGAGAAAACATTAAGAGCAAAAAATGTATAAAAAAGAGAAAGTATACAATTGGGTGACAAAGTCAAACAGCAGATATGAAATGATGGTAAACAGTCTGAATTATTCTATTAGGGGACAAAAATTCCCAAGCTAAAATGAAAACATTAAATTATGTGCAACTTACAAGAGATAAATCTCATAAAAATTGTTAACATTTATTGCATACTTGCCATGTGTATTGCATTGTACTAAGCATTTCACATACATTGTCTCATCTAATTCTCCCAATAAACATATGAGGCAGAAATATCATTACCCTTGGGTCTCAGGTTTGGCAACTGCAGCATAGGGGGCTAAGTAACTTGCCCAGGTCAAACAGCTAACTTATAGTAGAAATGAGATTTAAATCCAGTCTGATCTCAGAGCACAACTTCTTAAACATTACCTTCTTCTGCATCTCAGGCAAAATTACACAGTAATGTTAAAAATTAAACTTCCAAAATGTTTTAGGCACACCCAATTAAATAGAAAGCAGAGGTGACAATGTTAATCACAAAGCAGAATTTGAGGCAAAATTATTTAACAAGGAAGAGATTGATGGTGTTAAGTTGATAAAAAGCAAAATTTATATTGAAGATTGAACAGTGATGAACCTATTGCACCCAACAAAACATTCCAATTTAAAGCAATAAATATTAGAAATTCAGGGAGAAAGCAACAGAAATTGTAGCAGGAGGTTACATGGCATACATAGAGAACAATAAAAAGTGAATTTGGTTGTTTCCAGTTTCAGACATTCCTACTTAGGCAATTAAAAAGTATATTTAAAAAGCAAAAAAAGAGCAACACAAAACTGATGATGTGCTTAACTCCAGGGTAAACAAAGTGATAGGGCATTGAGAAATATGTTGGTAATGTTCTAATTCTGGGGTTGGGTAGTGAGTTTGCAAGTGTTCATTATATGATTATGCTTTATAACTTATGGACCTATATTATTTTATATGTATTAGATATTTTAAAAGATGAAGAAAAATGCCAAAAGGAAACTTAAGTAAGGAAAAAGATTTGAAAAATAATAAAGTTTACTTAATGACATGTAACAATTTCTACTCTACAAACATAAATGAATTTGGTAAATTCCAAATGATAAAAAGATATACAATTTTCATTCTCAAAATATAACTGCTAAAACCAGAAATAAGGAACAGTGTTTCAACAACAGGAATAGCTGCAGCTAACTGCCACATGGAAATTGAAATCACTTTTCTAAAAAATATTATGTCAAAGAATAAAAAAATACAACTACAAAATATTTAGAAAATAATGAAAATAAGAAAACAATTTATCAAACTAATGGAAAGCTGCAAGTACATAATTTGAAAAAGAACCAAAAAGAAACCTGTGGAAAGCAGTAGGAAAGAAGTAGTAAAAATGTAAATAAAAAAAGTTAGAAAACAGAAAAATAGTAAATTTGACGACAAAATCCAAGAGCTAACTCCATAAATTTTTGTTAAATAAATGAATGCATCAATGACTAAATGATGAGTGCATTAATAAATGAAGTGACTATCTGGGGTTCCCACATCTGAATCCAGAGCTGTTACCTGGATATGGTATCCAAGCTGTCTATGCTCTGAGGGTCAGCCTCTGACATCCGGAATAGTCACTTAAAGAGAAAACTTTGAGCCATCTGGTCATGTTCCTGAGGTCGTTCTTGAGTGAAGCACCCCAGCTAGGAAATCAGTCATCTCCCAGGCTCTCCTTCCTGTCCTGAACTTGCCTAAAGAGTTAACTTGGCTGGGAGTGGTGGCCCATGCCTGTAATCCCAGCACTTTGGGAGGCTGAGGCAGATGGATGGCTTGAGTCCGGGAGTTCGAGACCAGCCTGGGTAACATGGTGAAACCCCATCTTTACTAAAAATACAAAAATTAGCTGGGCATGATGGAGAGTGCCTCTAGTCCCAGATACTTGGGAGGCTGAGGTGGGAGGGTCGCTTGAGCCCAGGAGGCGGAGGTTGCAGTGAGCTAAGATCATGCCACTGCACTCCAGCCTGGGTGACAGAGTGAGACCCTATATCCAAAACAACAACAACAACAACAACAAAAACAGAAAAGAAAAAGACTTAAGTCTTGGCCTAGTAAGAAGAAATTAACCAGCACTGGGCAATTGTGGGAAATGGCAGCTCAGAGCCCCACTCAGAGCCATAACAGCATTGCCAAGGGATGAGAAGAGAGAGCTTCCATTGACACTCTGCCATGTGCTTGGGCTAATCAACACATGCCTTGGGCATCATTTTCCAGAAAGAATTTCTGGGCTGCTCTTGGGCATCCCAGTGCTCTGTCAAAATAGCCTCTTGAATTATAAAACCACCAGTGACAAAGACTAATCTTCAGAAAAACTCCCAGAGGCTCAGTGTGCTTTGTGGTGAAGTCTATCATTACATAAGCCCAAGCTCCATGGGCTGGGAATTGGGTGTTTCTCTACAGCGGCTGATGGGAACTGCCAATGTGAGGTCTCAGGTCATGAAGTCCACACCAGACTCTGGCAGTGACACACTTCAGCTGGTGTTTAAGTAAGGGCCATGCCAAGCTGTCTATCAGGTTCTCACATGCCTGACCGGGGTGATTTCTGTTGTCTCATTTGAGTTTGGGGCCACATTTTTGGCCCCTATAAATATTTTACTTTGTGACTCTGAGAGTGATGCTCTCTGAATGGAAAGGGGCAGGGGAGGAAAAGAACATTGGGTGGGCACTTTCCATGTCTTAAGTGTTTCCTACACATTCACTCATTTAACCCCGTGATGTGGGCAGTATTGTTGCCATTTTTCAGATGTGGAAACTGAGGCTTAGAGAGAGGTGAAAGGATTTTCCAAGGTAACATGGGATTTTCCAGGGTCTTGGATAAAAATCACACATTTGTGTTCTTTCACAACCGAATCCAGAGTGAGGGTTACCTTTGGTGGGAAAACTGCCTGGATCTTCCAGCCCACACCCAGGCTCAAAGAGTTGCCCTCTGCTCAGCCTGCTACCTCAGGTGCCTCTCTGTGCATGGGCCAGATAACACCCAGGGCAGGTGATGTGAGCAATGAAGGAGAGCTGGGGCTGGAAGGGTTGTGTCAGGGACTGCAGGGACCCTGAAGAGGGATTGACCATTGTGAATGAGAGGAGCCGTTGGGGCTTGATGAACCACAATGATTCTGAGACAAGGCAGGGATGTGGGAGGGCATCTCAGGCAGAGGGCAGCATATTCAAGGGCCCAGAGGCACAGTGAGAAGGACAGTGGGATGACAGGGAGAGCCATGGTTGGGTGGGTTTCTAGGAAGGGCCCTAGAGAAGATCCCTGCTCTAAAACACTTCATTCTGCCAGCAATGGCACCTACTGAAATCTTCTAGGCAGGGAGGTCATGCTTACAGCCTTGTTTTCAAGGGATTATCTGGGCTACCAAGTGTGGGACAGAATGGAAGGGCTGAGCCTAAAGCTCATTCCCTTCTTTCAGGAAGAAAAGCCTCCAAAATACGATAGCCTCTGAGAGGTAACCTGCCACCACTAGTGACACAGAAAATAAGTCTCTCTGGTGCCAGTGACTTTTCCCCACTGGCCACCTCCCTCTGCCTCCCTTGGCCTCCCTGTCTGGGACCCAATCAGGGGATGGCTGCTCCAGCCTTTCCTGCATACTCAGTCCTGGGGAGGCTGCAAAGTCAGGCAGGACCAGGGTGAGAAAGTTGGAAGGGAAGAGGGGAAGGATGGCCACATATTGCCTGAGGACAAAGACACAGGCCTGGCTGGACTCTTATCTCCTTCTCACTGACTGGCCGAGTGGCCTCATGGAAGTCCCTTCTCCTCTCCGGCCTCTGGGTCTCTATCACTAAAAGGAAGGGCTCTTACTTGGATAAGGTTCCCCTCCACAGTGATAGCTACTATGCTATCAGTGACTCTCTGGAGTGCAGCTCCAAGCCTGCTTCACTGCCACTTCACCTCCGCCTTTCCTTTCACGAAGTTCAACGAAATGCCTATTCTTGTACTAGGCTCTGAGCTAGGCTTTGTGGCTACAAAGACAGATAAAAATACTACTTGTTTACCAAAGTGTTTGTATATGTTGTTAAGTGAGAAAAGCAGGCTACTCAAGAGAATGTCATATTTATGTGTACATATCTTGTGAGTGTGTGTATACAACAGATATGCTACACACCTACACACCGAATAGAAAACCAAAAACACATACACTAATCTAAATAGTTATTTGAGAGGCAGTGATATTTCTTTATAACTTTGGGCTTCCCCACCCCCCAAATATTCTTGCATTGCACTTTACTTTTCAAATTAAATAGCAACAGCTAACCTTTAGTGAGCACTTACTATTTGCCAGGCATTATTATTATTATTATTATTATTATTATTATTTTGAGATGGAATCTTGCTCTGTCACCCAGGCTGGAGTGCAGTGGCATGATCTCAGCTCACTGCAAGGTCTGCCTTCCAGGTTCACGCCATTCTCTGGCCTCAGCCTCCTGAGTATCTGGGACTACAGGCACCCGCCACCACGCCTGGCTAATTTTTTTGTATTTTTAGTAGAGACGGGGTTTCACCGTGTTAGCCGGGATGGTCTCGATCTCCTGACCTCGTGATCCACCCACCTTGGCCTCCCAAAGTGCTGGGATTACAGGCGTGAGCCACCATGCCCGGCCTGCCAGGCATTATTTTAAGAGCTTTGAATAATTAACCAATTGAATCTTTGCAAGAACCCCATGAAATAGGTCCTGTTGTACACAGACCCACTTTACGGATGAGGAACCAGAGGCACAGAGAGATTAAATAATGTTGCCAAGGTCAAATAGCTCCTAGGGTGATGAAGACAGCATTCAAGTCTCCAACAGTGGCAATCCGACTGGAAAGACTGAACTTTCACTGTCACCACAGGGCCTCTCACAAGCAGCAGTTGCAACTATGAAGAAATGCGGTTCCCCTGCCTTGGAGGGAGGAGAAATATGAACACTCATTCACATCAACAGGGAGGGCACTGAGGTTTACCTGAGGCACAGTGGGGTTGTGTGGGACTCTGAGCTCTGAAGTTCCCCTGGGAAGGGCTTCTTACTGTACTTACAGTGCCATGGAGGATGTATTCACTGGAGGAAACTAACTTTCCCAGCTGAGAAAGAAGCAGAGAGAAAAGCCTAAAGGTGGGAACTGTCTGGGGCTGCCCAAAGAAATGCAGGAGCCAGAGCGTGGGGTGGTTTGCTTGTGGAGAGGAAGGCGGGCATGAGAGGGAAGGCTCACAGGTGATCACATGCCAGATACAAAGGCCAGATTGGATACCAGTTGAGCTAAGAGGCCAGGCTTTGTCCTAGTACAGCAGGGAGCCATGGAAGGTTTACCAGCAGGAGAAAGACTGGTTAGACTGGATTTAAGGGTCCTTGTTAGGGGAACCTCCATTCATTCTCCATCCCTGCTCCCCTCTGTCCCTCTTTTCTTTCAGTGTGGAGGCAGGGAAACCAGGAGCCTTCCTGTTCAACATGCTTTCATACCTTGCCTATAGGCCCTGCGCTGGGAAGACCTAAAGATGAGTAAGACTGGGTTCTCCCTACCCCATTACAGATTTTACAACCAGATATAAAACCATTATTAGGACATAAGGCAGCTCTTTGAAAGATGGCTGGAATTCGCCACCCCACCAGCCTACCTATGGAGCTTCTGCACATCCGTTAAGATCCAGCTCAGACATTACCTCCCCTAGGAAGCCTCCAGTGACAAACCTCTCACATGGATTTCTCCATCTCTCCTCTTTGGGACACGCCTCACTCCTGGCACTGTGCATCCTTGTCTGTCTGTCTGCCCCTACTGCTCACCCCTGATCACCCTTGACTGGAGGTCCTCCAGGGCCTGACCGCAGGTGATCCACCTCCAGGTCCCAGGGTCCAGCTCCAGCCCAGCCCATGGTCAGCATCCACAGAGTCTACTGACTGGAGGATGACAAAGGCTGGGCTGCACTCTTGGGGGGCTGTGGAGGAGCAGGGATCAGCAAAGGAGGAGAGCCCTGAGGTTCAGAGATGCTGGAAAATGCTACATATTGGAGGTGAGACTAGCTTGGGCCTTGAGTGATGCTACTACCAACTGAACAAGTGCTTTAATGGCCTCTTATGCTTTTGGGGTGAGCCTGTCAGTTCCCATCTGTGTGAGTTTGTGGGTCCCAGCATTCCTTGTCTTACCAGGGAAGTCATTAACCTTTGGTGTTAAATGTGACTTGTCTGCATACAATCAGGGAGATAAGCACCAGGCACCGCTATGTCAGGAAAGTCCCATTTGACATTCTGTCTGTTCCTGCTAATTAACAGGCCCAAAGAGCACACGGATGGGCTTATCCCAGCAATTGCTGCTCACCCCCGGGGCTGGATCTGCACGGTGTTGCCTGCCTGGGTCGAGTATGGAACCAACCCTCTCCCCAGCCCACCGAGCTCCAAAGCAAGCTGTGCCCTTGCCCCTCCATTCCTGTCACCCCTCTCTCACTCCCTCTCTCCCTTCCCTTTCCCCATAATTTCTCCCTCTCTCCCTTCCCTTTCCCCATAATTTCTCTGAGAGTCCTTATTTCCTCTTGCCTGGACCCCAGAAGCAGCACCCTAACAATCTTCTTGCTTCCAGCCTGTCCTGTTCCAATCCTCCACGCTGAAGCCAGAATGAACTTTCTAAAATGCAAACTGGAGTACATCCTCCTTCCTGGAAACCTTTCCACAGCAACCCAAGGCTCTTGAGGATGTGGCTCCCATTTTGTTCTCCAACCTCCTTTTCCTGAACCACCTCCTTTTCTCAGTCATACTCGCTCTGGCCCCATCTGTGCTACTCCCTCCTCTTCTTTGCTTTTCTGCTTCCTCCTTTCTCTCTGAATCCTAAAAGCTCCAATCCAACTCAAGGCTCCCCTTCTCCCCCCAGGAAGGGGCCCATTCCCTTTCCTGAGGCTCTGAAGCAAGCTTTAGTGTGTGTGGGCTTTCCACACATATCCCTTCCTTCTTCTGTTCCACAAACCTGTGTTGAGAAGTACTGTGGGCCAGGCACTGTGCTGGTCACACTCAACCATCCTTCCCTCCAATCCTCAACACCACGCTGGGAGGAGGGAGACAGGCTCTTCAGGACCTGGCCCTTTTCTAACCTGCTTGCCCCACTCTTTGCTGCTTTTTTCCCCACGGGTAGGACCCTGAGCATATCATTTCCCCTCTCTGGCACTCAGTTTCATCCTTAGCAAAATGAGGCCTTTACCTCTCAATGTTGTTGTGAATTAAAAGTAATAATAATAATAGTGATAATAATAACATAGAGCTCTAAACACAGGCCGGATGCTGTTCTGTGTGCTTTATATATATCAGCTCCTTACCCCCACAGTGTGGTCTGCAGGGTTAAGGGACTTGCTCAGCTGCAGGCCTAGCACCCAGGAAGCATCCAGTAGCTGTTGGCATCACTGGACAGTCACACCTGGCCTAGAGGAGGCGTGTGAGATGGGAATACACCAGGCACGTTCTGGGGATGGCACACAGATGAGCCTGGCTGGAGCTCAGGGCTCATGTTTGATAAAAGATTAATGAAATTATCAAATTGACCTTGTCAGTGTCTGCTCAATCCAATTACATAGTTGTGGCCCCCGTGAATGGGGTTAAAACAGGAGTGCACATGAGAGACACCAAAACAGCAGCTATGAGGGAGATGGCGGCCACCCAGGAAACCCTGGAGGGAAGTCAGTGCTGCCCATGTACCAGTACCTGTCTAAGAACTGCTTGTCACTCCCAGGGGTGCAGCATCCTGTTACTTTGGAGAGACAGCAGCTGAGCATCCACTAGACAGGGATGCTTGGTACCGTCAACTGATGCCCACACAGTGCTGGGCTCTGTGCTGGCACAAGACTCATGGTGAGCAAGACACAGTCCCTGCTCTTGAGCAGTTCTTGTCTGGTAGGTGAGACAGGGAGGGAAACAAAGAGAATTCAGCAAAGTGAGCAGTGCCCTGATTGATGGCAACCCAGAGAAGGCACACAGTGATCAACCTGGACTCAGGGAGTTTCCAGAAAGATGGTTCCTGGGCTGAGAAGTAACCCAGGAGCTGGCCTAGAATAGAGAGAGATGGGGAGGGTGGGAGAAGGGAGAGCCATTCTTAGGGGACAGCCAGGTTTCAGTCAGGAGGACTATGAAGCAATGCTGTGTAAAGCAGCTGAGGTTGCGGAGTTCATTAGTGGTGGAAAAGGTTGGGGTGGGGGTGCTGCGTCCGCAGTGGGAAGCACAGAGCAGCTCTGGCACTGGAGAGGAGAGGTTAGGGCCCATTGGGGTCACAGGATGAAGGGTATGGTGAGTTCTGTGAGGGCAGTTTTCCAGAGAATGAGCCCTAGCAGTCCTCTGCGTACGGGGCACTCAGCCCTCCCTGGAACAGTCTGCAGAGCCTGGATCATGTGGACATTTGAGGAAGACAGAGCATCAACTACAGCTTGACCAATTCAAGGCTCTAAGGAGGACCCTAAGGAAGAGGCTAGGTGCAGAGCTGCTCCCCTCTCTGCTTGGCCAGTAGCACTTAGTCTTAGCATCAGGGCCTGCCTGCTATTCCCTCTCATCTGGGATAATGTTTCCTGGAATCTGTCAGCTGAATAGCCCTTTTCAGTTTACTGAGTTTACTTACATCCCTTTGACAACTGGATCTGCAACATAAGACTGTGCAATAGATATCTTCATTCTTCCCATTTTACAGCTGAGGAAACTGAGGCCTAAGGACACCAAATGCCCCTACCCAAGGCTTGCTCATAATGGAAGTACGACTCATGTGTATTTATTCTGAATTTAAATCTTGAGTACATCTCATTACTATAACATGATCTTTAGAGAAAGAAGGTCGAAAGCTGGATGTGTTGGCATGAGTCGTCAGTGGAGATGGACAGACCCTGAGAGGCCCTCACTTCATAGGCCATCACCTGTCTTACTTTGAGAGACAATCCTGCCAACTGTATTTCTAGGGCTCAATGGGGGCCCCAAAACATGAGAACTACATTTGGATGTTGCTTTCAAAGTAACTCATGTTTGGCCAAGGATTCCTATCAGAACAAATATTTCTCCATGGCCCCTCCACAGTGCCACCCCAGGGAGGACAAATCTTCAGTCCCCTCCCAGCCAATGATATCACTGTCCACCCACTCAGCCAAGCCACAAACCGTGGAGTCATCACTGGGTCTTCCTTTTCTCACCTTCTACTTCTAATCAGCAAACCATGCTGGTTTTAACCCAAATATAGAATTCTGCTTTCATCTGTCCCATCCACCCCTTCAATCTCTCGGCCCCTGCCTTTGCTCCAGCCTTCCACATTTCTTGCCGGACTATTAAGCCCCCTCGTTTCTGTTCTTCCTAACTCCAGTCTCACCCCTTCCCATTCATCATCTACGATTCCACCAGAGTGGTCCTTCTGAAACACCAATCTGACCATGCCGCTTCCTGGCTCAACACTCTTCAATGACTCCTTGTTGCCACCTCAAAGTGAAGTCCAGCTCCTTAGCTAGCCTATGAGGCCTGTGTGCCCCAGCAGGTCCTAGCCCCGACCACCTGTGCAGGTCCTCCAGCAGGCCCTGCTTGGAACCCATGCTCCAGACCCTACACTGAAGCTCTCATATTGCTGAAGGGACACTGAGATTTTTTAGTCGCTCATTCATCGATTCAACTTTTCAGCCCCTATGATATGCTAGACAATTTTCTAGGCCTTGCTCTTAGGAAACTTACAGTTTAGCTGAAGATGGAATGAGACAGTATTCAGATAAACACAACAGGATGAGAGGAAAATAAAGCAAATAAAGCAGAGGAAAAGGACGAGAGAGTACCCTGAGGTGGGGTGGGTGCCGGTTCAGACAATGTGGACAAGGACAACCTTTCTGAAGAGGAAGACAGAAACAAAGAACTGAAGGAAGTGGGGGTAGCCTGAGGACTGCTGCAGGGAGAGGACTTGATAAGCACATACCTTGCCTCATACTGCTCCCTCTGCCTGTAATGCCACCCCATACCCCTCCTCGGGCCCAGCTCTCACCTGAGAATCAGCACAGCAGTTGCCTCCCCTGGGACACTCAAGGAGAACCAACCAGTCCTTCTTGATGTCCCTGAGTGTCCCACATGGCTTCAATCCAGCCCAGTAACACCCATCCCTTCAATCATTCATTCATTCATTTCTTGAACAAAAACTGCTTGACTAGTCCCTGGGTGCCAGGCCCTGTGCTATGCGTTGGGATGCATCTGTCACTTCCCCCTGCCCTGTGCCCACGAGCTCTTGGGAGGCAAGAGGGACTTTCTCTGCTCTACCCCATTATCCTGGTGCTAGTGCAGCACCTAGCCCAGAATGGCTTCAGGTGAGTATTTGCTGAGTGAATAAACATTTGAGATCATTTTATTGAAATACTTCAGAGTAAATTTGGAGACAGGCACTCCTCTACTCAAGAGTAATTTAATAACCACAAATGCCTTTAACACAGTGGGGAGGGAAAAAAATGTGTTTCCTTTATTGCTGCTGTTAAAATAAATGGCATTTTAAATAAATATAGCATATAGAATGTGGCCACATGACGAAATAAATAAATATCTGGTGAAATTATGCATTGCAAAGCAGACTTTTCTGGTCTTTTGGTTATTAAATTTAATCACTTTTGAGCTGTGCCTCTACTCTTTTTTTCCTAGAGGCAGGTATGCTTTTGATTAAAATGTGGGCCCCAGAGCATTTTCACAGGGGGAAGGGTGAGCTACATCCCTTGAGGAACTGCAGTGGAGCAAGCCAACGGGATAACAGGGCCAAGGCAACAGCCATGATTTGCTTCTAACTTGATGGACATGTTTATCCCCAGATAGAGTGCACAGCAGTCACGGGGCATATGGAAATCTTGCAATTAAAGCAAACTCTAATTAGAGACTACATATTTAAAATACAAAGGAAGCTTGGAGTGGCAGCCACTCTGGTTGGCTCTGAAACATGATTATCCTACTTCAGTCCCTGCACTGACTGGATTACGAGGAGGGAAACGCATCATGTTGCCACACATGGTTTCTTGCGGTTGAGGAGGGGGAGATCTCTGACTTCCCAGTCCATGAAGTTTTGGAATCCAACAGACTTGGATTTGAATCCTGGCTCTGCCCATTATTACCCCACTGGCCTCAGCGTCCACATCTTCATAATGGGAATGATGACAACTATATCATAGGGCCAAAGAAAGATCAAGTAAAGGCTTTGTGGGGACTCAGTTCAGGGAGTTTATTGACCAGTTAGGTGACTTACATTGCATTTGCCCCTGCCCCCATCCATCCAGCTCAAGAGTGTGCCTTGCTTAAGAGCCATAGGGGAGAGACTGGGAGGGATGAATTCTTATTATGTCATTCATCGTGCCCATGGGGCTGAAGGAACAGGCTTCTTCTCGACATTTGTAAGTACCTGAGCAATCAATTTTATGTGTCCACAAGGGGTGGGAACCTGGGATAAGTTGTTTCTCCTTAATTCAAATGGTCCTCAGGAGCAAGGCGGTGGGTCAGTCCCGGGTCAGTGGAAGGCTTGGGGCGAAGGTACTGATAGCAACTCTGGTTAGCTCTGGGATTCTGGCCTAGAGCTGGCATTTCCTGAGCTTGGGCTGGGGTCAAGAGATGAATTTGGAACTGTCCCTGCCTTCAATAAAAAGTCACAATCTAGTCAGGAAGACAGGTAAGAAGGGGCACAGAAGTGCGTAGCACCAACTCACATTCCTATATTTTACAGTTCAAAAAGTGCCTTCAACCGATCCCCGATTTAATCCTCTCAAGAGCCTGTGAGGGAACAGTGACCCGCTTCTGACTTTCAGCTTCAGGCCACGTCTGTATTTCAGCTACACAGAAGAGCAGGCGCGGATAGTGCAGTGCAGTGCCCCATCCCCACACACCCGGTACCCTCCCAGGTAGAATAAATCAGAACCTTTTTGCTTTTTGCCTTTTTTTCTTCTGGCCTCTTTTTGGTTTATTTGTCTTAAACACTTAAAACATTACTGAAGCCTCTTTTGCACTCTTCCCCACACCACTCCTGATAAGGACTATGCCAAAGTTGGCATGTGTCCTTCCTGCCTGAGTGTTTATACTCTGACTGTGCATGTATATGTCTATAAACAATCCATAATAGGTTTTGCACATTTAAAATTTTACATACATAGTCACAGACTCTGTTTCACTCTGCCACTTGCTTTCTTACTATACATTATGATTTTCAGATTTATTTATGCTGATACATACTCCTCTAGTTCATTTTTTTTGTTTGCTGTATTGACATTTCACTCTATGATGAAAGTCAATGTGTGTGCGTGTGTGTGTGCGCGCGTGCATGCAGGTAATTTTCCTGTTGGTGGGCATTGGCTTCCACTTTTCCACTTTTTCTACCATCCTGCATTGCTTTACATGGGAAGGAGGATTCAAGGTGAATCTTGAAATGGCTAGAATCCAACCAGTGGAAGAGAAACACTTCTCTTTGCCATATAGCACAGGGCCTGGCACCTAGCTGGCTCTCAGTCATTGCTGATTACTAGAGGCATTGAGGCTTTGATGAAAAGAACAGTGGACCTGGTCTCAGAAGGACTTGCTTTTGAATCTTGACCCTCTCCCTTTTTAGCTGTGTGACACTGGGCAAATAATCTAACCTCTCTGGGCTACGGTATCTTCATCAGGAGAAATATAGACTATAATGCTAAGTCCCAAATACTCTTGATATGATTAAATGTATGAATTATTTGCTGTAGCTTCTGACATACAGGAGTTCCACAAGGCTAACTGAATAATTTCCTGATTCTAGGCTGGGGAAAGGATGTGGGGAAAGCATCGGCATGCTCCTGTTGGCTGCCCTTCTCACTCAAAATGAACGAGGGAATGAAAGAAAAAGAGAAAAGAAGAAAACAAGGCACCTTATAAGCATAATTGAAAACCTAGGACAGCAAAACTTCCCTCCAAATCTGGCCATAGTTCCATTCCATCTGTGGTTTTGATTGGCCAACACTGGAAATCCCAGTAGGGTCTACTTGGCACTGGACTGGGCTCTCTGAAGGGCAGCCCCACCCTGCAAAGCCTCCACCTGCCCTCCTGGGCCCTGTGGAGGGCAGCAACAGGCTGGGCTACACAGTGTTAAATCTCTTCCTCTCCAAGAGATTGGAGCCAACAAGGCTTTCTGCTTAAATGGCCTATAAACACCTCCCAAAGCTCCCTAGCTCAGAAAAGTGCATGAATCAGCAAAATGAAAATAATTTAAAGACCCACTGGAAAAAAGAACCCCAGATTCTTTTCTCCACCAGCAATGACAGCCTCTCAGTAGTGACTGTCATTCTTCATATCCAGGGCCAGGTGCTTCCCACTAGTTTTGGAAAAGAATGTATCAGGGGCTGGAATCTGCTTCCTGGTGGGAGGGAGAGGTGGGGGCAGAGGAAGAAGGAAGACTAAAAATCTACTTCCCCACCTGGAGTGCTCTGAGGTTTCCCAACCCTGATTTGGGTCATGGGATGCTGTCAGGGCCACACCACTTGTGGAGGTTGTGGAGTAGGGACCTTTGCACACATATTATAATTGAGCCTGTATAACTGAGGCTCATAGGAAGGAAGTGACCAGCCCACAGGCTCCCACAGGTGGAGTGTGACACCCTAACTAAGTGCTCATGCTCCCTGCTTCTATCACTCTGATGGGAGGGCAGTGCCTGTTAGTGAGCTCCGACTACATACCTGCCGTGGGATGGGCACTTTAGCAACAGCCTTAAATGTTGACATTGTTATTCTTGTACTGAACGTAATACATCAGCTCCTTGTTGCTAATAAATCTCAGGATTCAGACGGTTGTATGACTTAGCCAAGGTCATGTTCCTGAAACCCACACTCTTTTACTCCACATCCCATGCTGTTCCCACAGTATTAAGGAGGTGGCTCAGGAAAGACCTGACAGAGACATGTACAAACCTGAAATGCGCCCCCTTCCCCCAAACACGTTTGATCTCCCCTCTGGACATAGGGTGGATGCTGTGTCTGACACACCTCCATGGGCTGAGTGGTTCCAGGGTCCAGGAGCTGCATGAAGGAGGTGCTCCTCTGGACATAGTTGCCCTGGGCACTCCCCATCTGCACCATTGCATTGTGGTGCTCATAGTCAGGTTCCCACCTGGCAGTGCCAGCACTTAAGGAGGAAGGGGGGTGGGCATCTGCCCCTCATCATCTCTCACCTGAGTTATTCCCCCAATAGCCTTCTCAACTCCTCCCTCTCCCTCCAAACCATTCACCATTCTGATGCCAGCATCATTTTTCTAAGGCACAAAGCCCCACCCTTCAGTGTGTCCATGGTCTTCAGAGTCTAGCAGCTCAGCCTGGAACCAAGGCCCTCCATGACTGGGCCTCTACCCACCTCTCCAGCCTCATCTCCCACTACCAGCTTCACTTTCATACCTTGAAACATCTGAACTCATCCTATCCTCTTCCACCTCTTGCCTATTGCTCACAATAATTATAAACACTTATGTAGTGCTTTCTATGTGCTAGGTATAGTTATAAGTGCATTTTAGATATTGGCTTAATGCTCACAGAAACATGAAGCCTTCCATTTTATGGAAGAGGAAACTGAGTCCCAAACCAAATAAGTAACTTGCCTGAGGTCACAGAGCTGGTAAGCGGTGAAGCCCATAGTCACATTCTGACAGTGAGAGGTCAGAGTTCTCAAACTTAACTATGGCCAAATCCTTTACTTCTTTCTTGACTTGGTGATGGCCTATCAAACTTCAACCCATGAGAACAAGAGAAGAAGGCCTCATGACCTCCTCATGGAGGGCTCCCTTGATCCCTCAAGGCCTTATACCCCTAGGCGGAAATAACTTTTTTGGTATTTATTTCCCATAGCATTTCCTCACCAGGAACCAGGCTTCTAGGGAGAGGTCCATGCCATCCATACTGGCTCTGTACTGGCCCTGGGGACTCAGAGATCAACACAGGGTGGTCCCTACCTTAAAGGGCTTAGTCCAGGGAGAAAGACAGACACACAATGATGGGACAGCTTGATGAGGCTCTACCAGAGGTCACAAGAGGTGCCACAGAGCAGGGAGAAGGGTTCCAACCCAGGCTGGAGATGGAGCACAAAAGATCTCCTGGAAGGAGGAGAAGAAGCAGGTCATAGAGCAGAGGAGGCAGGAGAAGTTTCAGATGGAAAAAACAGCTTATGACAATGTTGAGAGATCTAAGGTAGCATCTAGCATGATCATTAAGACACCAGACATTGGAGTCACACAGGCTTAGATGCCAGTTCAGGCTCCTCCAGATCACAGCTGTGCCATCTTGGGCAAATTACTCAACCTCATTAAGTCAGTTTCCTCATTTGTGAAATGCAAATGGTAATAGTACCTGCTTCACAGGTTTGTGTGAGAATGAAAAAGTGAACAGTGCTACCACATAGTAAATGTTCAATAAATATTAGTTAATTAAAAAACATCACCATAACTATATCTCTTGCACCTAGCACAGTGTAGGGGTTCAGCAAACATGTATAGAGATGAATTAACACAGTCCTGCCTGCAGTTCACTGACAGCCTTGTGAGAAGAGGGAGCTAAATTAATATTACAATACAATCCTCTGAGTGTTAAGGTACAGGGAAGACTGGGGCTGGGAATGAAGGATGGAAGAAGATTTGGAAAACTAGAGAAGGGAGGGAGTCCTTTAGGAATAGATGGTAACAGGCTCTTAGAGGAAATGATATTTAATCTGAGCCTTCAAGCCCAGAGAGGATAGTTTTTTTTTTTTTCTCCCAAGGTTAATGATCTAAAAGAGGGACAAGGATGAGTTAGAGCCCCAGACTGAGCAGGGCCAAGCAGCTGAAGGTAGAGAGGCAGAGGAGCTGGGGGAAAGTGTAAAGCTTGAGGGTGCTCCACAGGGGAAGGAGAGTGTGGATAGTGCAAGGCCATTTATAACTGGGCTGACATATGGCTGATTCCAGAAAATCATTTAAATTGAGTCACTCTTTTCCCAGAGGTGGGAGTAGGGTAAGGTTTATGTGAGGTGGAATTAGGGTATAGTGTAAGAGACCCTCACAGTCCCTGTGATCACTGCAATTCAGACCCTAAAGTCTCCAGAAATGATCTCAACATGGAAACCACATTTCTGCTGAGTGCTGGCCATAGCTGCAGGTGGCCATGAATGAGAAATGCTGAGGAAATCAATGGCAGGGAACCAAGGACAATGATGCAGGGAATGCCACCTTGACATTTGTTCCCTGTGTGGCTTCTCTGATGGCTGCTGCAACAAGGCCGGTGGGGTCCAGTGTGACTGTTGGCAATACGGGCTCACTAAGGATTTCTGGGTAAACTTTAGGTGCCTATTCCAGGGGTGAGGAGGGTCCCTGGCCCGGACTCCTCACAGAACAATCAGTGTGGGGGTGACCCAGGCCCTGGATATTTATTACCTTCCTCTCCCCATTTCAGCACTGCCCAGATCAGGGACCCCTGTGGTCTGACACTAGGCAGTGGCCAAGGCCTGGGCTGCCTGAGCTCAGCAGGCACAGAGCTGTCTTTCCAGCACTGGGACTGAGTTGTGGTGACCCCAGGTTTGTCTCTGCTCCGTTGCTCTCCCTCCATCTGTAGGGTCCTTCACTGTCATCCAGGCCTGGATTGGGCCCCAGTCTCCTAATAGGTCTCTGACTTTTGTCATTTATTCATTCAATAACTTTTTAATGAGTGTGCACTATATGCCAGGTTTTGGGAATACAGCAGTGAACAAAACAGAAACCAAGAGGCTAAAGTGGATGGTGAATGGAATTATGTTACAGTTTGTGAATTATTCAGATAATTCACATAAGAAGAACAGAGAAATTATTCAGATAAGAGGAACAGAGAGAGAGAAAATTGACAACTTGGCATAAGTACTGGTCAATAAATCTGGTTATTGTTTGTTTATTTGGGGTGGGTGGGTGGGTGGGCATTGGTGAATAGGGAGGGACTGGGGGGTCTTTTGTATTTTAAACACAACTTGTAAAGAAGATCTCGACCAGCTGAAATGTTGGGCTGAAACCAGTAAGATGAAATGGAACAGGGACGAATGCAAAGTCCTGTATTTCATTTAAGAAATATACTTGAAAATTTTACAAAATTAAAGGATGGGGAGGACTAAAGAGCTGTTAAGATTAAAAAGGAGAGGAAAATAAGAACAAAAAGATTTCACATTTACTGAAGGCTGGAACTGGGGTCGAGTGGGGACTGCAGGTGTGGCACAGTGGCAGGTCAGTATGACTACCCAACAACTGCATAATGAGTAGGGGGACTGGGGTTGGGAGACTTTAAGAAACTTGTCCTATTTCCTCTAATCTAATAAATAGTGAATGCAGGGTCTCAATTCAGTGTCAGTCTCTCTGGCTCCAAAACTGATGCTCTTTCCATTATAACACGGTAAACTGAAGGGACAAGTATCGTGTTAGCCAAAAAGAGAGAATAGAGGACTGGTAACATTTCCCTCACCACATACTGTCAATATTACCTTACTGAGCCTTATTGGCTCAATATGAGACAATTCTATTGCTAAAGATGCTAATTCGAAGTCGGAGAGTAAGAGGTGACATCTTGCTGACCAAACTCTTCCTGGAGCACCATGTCCAGTCCTGAGTCTCATCTACAGGGGCAGATCCGTAAAAGAGCAACCAGGATGGTCACAGTTCTCAGGATTAGGGAACTAAGATACCGAATGCCTAGAATACTTTACTCACATTATCTTACTTAACTCTTGACATAATCCTGTGAGATAGATATTACTATTCCCGTTATTAAAATGAGAAAACTGAAGCTCGGAGAGGTTAAGAATTTGTTTAAGGTCACACACCAAGTGGAAGAAACAGGATTTGAACACATGGCTGTCTAAATCCACGCTCCCCACTCTTTCCCATGTAGCCTGCCACACATGCAAAATGGTGAAGCAGAATTTGAGCTATTTATTAGTTGGTGAGGAGATATGACAGCCACCTTCAACTCTACAAAGGGCTGTGAGTGGAAACATTCTGTGTGGCTTGAAAGGGAAGAATTTGAATGACTTTGAAAGTCTCAGGGAGGTAGATTTTTAGCTCAATGGAATAATATTTTACTGATGGCAATAACTGGATGGACTCTTGGGTGGGAATATGAATTCCTTGTGCTTGGAGGTATTCAAGCATGGTTTGGAATGGCATTTGCTTATAATGGGGAGGAGATTCGGGTGGAAAACCTCAAAGTTCATTTTTGATCCTTAGATTCCATGAGCCTATGAAGCTGCCTGGCAGAAAGGGATCAATCTCTTCAAAAGAAGTGAAAATATCTATTGGTTTGTCTATTTGCAGACATACAGGCGAAAATTATATGCCCAAGTTAACACATTGGTCCATAAGAAAACTAAACACAGAAAATGAAATGGATTCTGCTGAAACTACTTACAGGTTTTAAAGTTTTCCTTTTCTACGAAGAAGTAGCCAAACTCTGGAGAGATATGCAGTCTTGGCTATAATAAAAGAAAATATAACAAGGGTGCTATTTTTCACCTATTAAGTGGGCAAAATAATTTAAAAAGTGGTCACACCCATTATATATATCAAGAGTGATAAAATGTCATTCCTTTTGACCCAGGTACAACCACTTAAGAGAAAACACTGTGAAACAGAAAAATCTTCATCTGGGTTTAATTTATAAAGAGTCTAAAAATCCAAGGAAGTGTAAATGGGCCACTTGGGTGGCAGTGAGTAGGGGCTGAGGTAGGTGAGGGGAGCTGGAAGCCGAGGAGCGAGCTAGTCAGCATGCACGGGGGAAAGCCCCCATGTATGGAGAACTATGGGATAAGCAGAAGATGTCCAGAGAGCCAAAGGTGGGTATGAAAGCCAAGGTCACTGCATACGGGGTCAGCAGGTTAGGAGGAGCACACTTCAGTAAGGAATGAACAGGTGTAGGGAGAGAAGAGAGGAGAGGAAGCCCAACATTAACACTGACAACCATTTAGCCCCTCTCTTGGGGGGCACATTAATTACACTCTCATTACTCCTAATAACCCCATAACTAGACCTTATTTCCTCCATTTTGCAGATGAAGAAGCTGGTGTTAAGAAAGATGAAGTAACTTGCTTCATTTGTTGGTAAGTGCTAGAGTTGGGAACTAAACTCGCATGCATCTGCCTCCTAACTCTAGCTCACTTTACCCCTGTGTGTGATGAAAAGTGTGCAGCCAGGCCCTTCACAAACCCCTGATCTGTGGGTTAAGGCTTGGGCAGCTGACCAGGTGGTTTACTCAATTGCAGCTTTATGTTGGTCCACTTTGTGGATGTTAGAATTGATAGTTATGAATTTTATGGAGCAATGGTGAAACATGTTAAATGCAAAGGGAAGGATACAAACCTAACTATGTGCTATAATCATAGGTATGGAAAATACATATTTTCACCCTTGGAAAAAGACTACATGAGATACATCAGAGTGCTTTCAGCAGTGCAGTTTGGGGGGTATTTCCTATTTTTGGCAATAATTTCTATAAAGTAGTTTTTCTCTATAATTACAAAAAAAATCGCAAGTTAGAAATGCCTACAGGAAGCATACAAGCACCTAAAAAGTCACCAATATACTTTCCTAAGCAAGGAAATAAAGCCAAGCCCCATCTTTCTGTTTCATCTGGTATCAGAAAACTTGTTGCCAGGGCTTCTGAAGACAGTGCCCAAACCTCATTGATTCAGGTCCTGCCAATTCAGTATTGACAGTCTTCTTCTACACAACTCACTGGCCTGGCACAAGAATCCAAAGACTCTAAGTGTACAAGTGAGGGAAAAATCATTTGAGCCTAGACAGAAAGTCACCTTCTGATTGTGTGCAGCTGAACAGCATTTGGTGGCCATGAAGAGGAATTCTAAACAGGTGTTAGGGCAGAGTCTCAGTTACTTAAGAAGAAATTTACTCTCAATGTCAAATATCCTCAGGCACATTAGAAAGACCATCAGTTTGTTGGCTCCCCATCCATTTCTTTTTAATATAGGGAATACTCTTATCCTTTATTTTAATGAAGGTCTTCTAATGACTTTAACTGATATTTTTCGAAAGTGACATCTGTGTTAAAATACACATTCCCAGCCTTATCCCAGACCTACCGAATCAGGCTCTCCAAGCCAAAGCAGAGGAAATTTGTATTTTAAGCACCTCAGCCAATTCTTAAGATTGGGCAAGTTTGTGAAACACTCTACCAAACAAAATGAATTTGAGTTTTTATATGTATTTGAATGTAATAAAACTGCAAATGTTTATAAGCAGTACTATCATTCCCAGTCCCTCCAAATGGCCTGAATTAATAAGATTGTTTTCCATTGACTAATACTTAGGTTGGGTTTCCCCTAAACATGTCCTGAGATTACGTGACTAGATTCTCAGCCTAGACCACAATTTTCCACTCATCTTTCAGGGAAGAGGTAAAAGGGCAGGTTTTTCACAGACCTGAGTTCTGATCCAGGTCCACTGCTGACAGACAGCTCCAGGACCTTGAGCAAGAAATTATTTAACCTTTTTTGAGCCCATTTCTTCATTTGTATGGGTGTAAGAATGATGGTCTTGCCCTCATATTACAATAACAAGGCACCATGTACACAACAGAGGCCAAACCGTCTCAGCCTAATTAGTGTGTGAAGCCTCCCGATTACATCAGAATTGGCTCTTACAAGCATGATTCCTTGTTGCATCTACTTCTGATTTCATTCTGCCTTCTACGCTAAGGATAATAACGAACATCTGCAAGGGTCTTTTTTATTTATAGAGCCCTTTTTTCAGATATTATCTACATTACTCTCCACAACAACCCTGAATTAGGGATCATTCTCTCCACACCAGAAGAAACAAGGCCCAGAGGTCAAGTGACCTGCTTGGAAGTGGCGAATCCAGGATTTAAACCCAGATCCCATAATCATTAACTGCCCTGTTCTCTTGAATATATGCATCAAACATTACGCAAAGCACTTTCAAAAATATCATAGCATTTTTATTGTAGTTATTTCCACAACTATTCCCCCCTTAACCTAAAAGCACTTGTAAAGCAGGTACCATATTTTATTAGTCTTTAAGGAGAAATGCAGGGCCTCTGGGTGTTAGTGTCTTTGTTACTCACAGAGAGAAAAGGGGATGAGCTCAACAATGATGCAAAGTTTTTTTCCAGCATCTCACGCAATCCACACAACTCATGCCTGAGCTTCCCCATGCCCTTAAATGAACATATCTTATCAAATATTTATTGAACATCTATCTACTAAGTGTCAGGAACTTTACTTTGTGAAATGAGTTAACATACTATGTTAAACACTTAGAAAAGCCTTGGCACATATTAACTATCTGTTATTATTAATATTATTAAGTTATCCACACGGCCTATGAGGTAGGCATTATTTTCCTCCTTATTACTGATAAGAACTCTGAGAATAAGTTTAGTTAACTGAAAGACAATTAAAATAAAAGTTCTCAAAGTGGCAGCCACCTCTCCTACTTACTCCAGAGACCCTGAGCTTTTGGTTACAGACTACCAATTAATGGATGACCCATTAGAGAAACCAGAGGCCACTTTTCTAACCAACAATAACAGCCAATAATCAGAAATGAGTAACAGTTGCCAACATTTATTGAACACTTATCTCTAATCCTTGTAGCACCTCTGAAAGGTAGCTATTATCTCCTTTTTGTGAAATAGAAAATGGAAACTCAGAGAGGACAGGTTAAGCCCAAAGCAGGCAGGGGAGCCAGGCTTGGAATCTAGACGCATCGGCCCAAAGCCCTTGCCCTTTCTAATATGCCATGCATACTTCACAGGCATTACAGAAAGCAAAGTGCAAATCAACAGGAAGTTCTAATGTGGTTTGCCAGAATGTGTGCCAGGCACCTTAGAGACTCAGTAACAGAATAAAGAATGAGATAAAAATTATGTAACTTGAAAGAACATTTGAGATACAAGATAGGATGAAAGAACCGATACCAGGTAACATTGCCCCTAGTTCCTGAATGTAACCCTATACTCATCTAACATTATCACCCCGTCTTCACCCCTTTACAAAGATGGATTCAAATTATTAGGGAAGCTGAATCTCAGATCACCTTGAGTGAGAAAGGTGACTGGTCCAAGATCTGGCCTTTGAAGTCAGAGAAAGAGATCTGCTTTTGAGACAGCCCTTCAGATCTGTAGAAAGCAACCACATCTCTTAGGAATTTTCTCTCCTTCAGCCGGAATATTCCTTCCCTGAAAGGAAGGGCATGCCAGGCGGCACAACACTCTGGTCACCCCCACTGTATATGTAATATACTAAAGAAATGAGGATAAAGACTATCTACATCAAAGAATTAATGAAAATTTATTATAGAACAAAATAGAGCAACAAAGAAGTCCTTGGATAGTAAAAATATCCATTCAAACCCCAGTCAAGTGACAGGCAACTCAGGCAACCTTATCCCCCTCCAAGAAGAGTGTTTTCCCCATTCCCAGAAGGACACCAGTGCCAGGCTGCTCCTGAGTCTCAGCAAAGCCATCTGTCGTCTTTGGAGTGTCCACATTCAGAACAAGCCGCTGACCCCAGAACCCGATGGATCCCTGCACACACACCACCATGCACGGTGGGGTCTGATTTGGACGGCACCATCGCTCGCAAATCACATGCCACACAAGGAAAACACGAAAGCTTTATGAAAAATCCAAAGTTTATTGCAAATTGTATTTTGCTTCCCTTCGTTCTTCATTTTTACAGGATTTATTGATATCCATGATTTTTTCACAGATGTACTTGTTGACTTTGGAGAGTCTCTGTGCAATTTCAGTTTCATCCACAGTTTCTTGTGCTATTCTGTCATACAAACACTCTAGACGGGGAGAAGAAACAAGGCCAAGGATTAATGGTGAATTCAAGTAAAAATCTTTTAAGGAGGGTAAAAGAAAATGTACCTCCCAACATACTTCCCAAATACCAGCTTATGTATCTGGCATAGCTATATTTTAAAATTTGCATCATAGAATGTACTTAGAAAAGAGCAGATATACACTGTAAATGTACTCTTTAAAAGTAATGATAAAGTGTCCACGTGTCCACCACTCAGTGGAGCAGGATACTATTGGTTCCTCCCAAGCACCTGCAGGCCCCTCCCTAATTCTTTCCTCTCCACCAGAGATAACCATTCTCCTGAACTTTTGCCTTTTTTTTTTTCTTTTAGTGTTAACACATGTATGTATCCTTAAATAAAATAGTTTATTTTCCATTTTCAATCTTTTTATAAATGTGCCCACTCTATCATTCTGACTTGCTTTTTTTTTTTTTTTTACTCAAATGTTATAGTTTTGAGATTTACTCATGAAAAATACATTTGTAGGTCATTCATTTTCACTGATGAGTAGTGTTCTATTGTATGGCTCTATCACAATTTGTTTTATCCATTTTATTGTCAATGGATACTTGGTTTTGCAATTAAAAACACTCTGGCACATGCCTCTGGGGAAGACATGAAAGAAATTCTCCAGTATCAGCCTAGGCGTGGACTTGCTGAATGTTAAGATGTGTGCATATTCAACTTTATTAGGTGATGCCTGGTAAATTGCTTTCCAAAGTGGTTGTGCTGACTGGCACTCCTAGCAACAGTGTATGCAAGTAGTACTGGTTGCCCCATTTCAATAGTACTTGACATTGTCACATTATTAAGGTTCTGACAACCTGGTGGGTGTGAAGTAGTGTCTCACTGCTGTGATTACTAATGAGGCTCAGTACGGCCACTCTCTTACTGAGTCCACCATTTGCTGTGATAAAGCAAAAAGCCAGCTCCAGACAAGGTCTGGCTGGAGCCCGACTTCAATTGACTGCCTAGCCTGGGGACCTGGTGCAACTCACTGCCCTAGATTCCTCACTTCATAAATAAGGATAACAAACTACAGAGCATTTTTTTTTAATGCTGCCATGAGGCATGTGGGATAAACATGTTGCCTTTTTCAAGTTGTAAGGAATACTACACCTGTATGGGGTTGTTCTGAGTATTTTATGTATTTACAACTATTAATTCCTAGGGCCTAACACAGTGTTTGGCACAGTGGCAAACTTAAGTAAACATATGTTAAATAACTGAATAAATGCTTTTCCAGGGATACCTAAGGGAACACAAATATTCTGGATGGAAGAGGACTAGGGCGTGGGTGGTGAATGTACCACGGGAATGTGTAATAATGGGCAAAACCCTTGGGGACTCTTTGAGCCTGAGTTTTCTCAACTAAATAGGAATGACAATTCAACCTTGAGGAATTGCTATGGAGAACAAGCAAAATCTTGTCATTACCAAACCAGCTCAGAACAGGGAATTGTCTCAGAGATGCAGAATATCAACACTAGAGGGGATTGTGAAGACTAACTTGTGCTAACCTTTCCACTAACATATGAGAAGCCCAGGCCTGGAGAAAGGGAGTAGGTATGGGGCAGAATCCACTGCTACCTGCCCATATGCTGAGCCCTTCCCTGGGCACAGAGCCAGCCAGTCTGCCTCCTGTTGCCATCCATGCTGCAGGTGCACCTGCTATAAGCATTCTTTCTCTGAGGCACCCTTTTCTTTCCACCGAGAAGGGTTTTGCAAAGAGAAGCCTTTAAAAGCTTTTAATTGACCTCGACCAGTCACTTCCTGACTATTCCCAAGCCTGACTAATCCTCACTTCATCTTGTCTTGGCCTTTCCATAAGGACTGAGAGACAAGAAGGTAGGAGGCCCTGTCTCTCCAGTCCCACCTCTGCTATATTCATCATCCTTTTCAACCTATTCCACCTGTCAGGGACCTTGCTCATCTCTGCTTAAGTCCTCACCCTTCACCTGCCTAAGCTCTACTCATTCTTCCAGATTCAGCTTTCTTGAAACCTAGTATCAGACTGAGTTAGGAGACCCCACTCTACCTAGAACTCTGTGCTCCCACACCTGTCTCGGTTTTTCTCTCTGTCAAAGCACGAATCACAATCTAATAAAACTGTAACCACATTGTTTCCCCCCAACAGACTGGGACACTCAGGCATTCCCTCTCTACCCCAGGCCAGGAGAAAACAAACACCCATAGTGACTTTGTAGGAACCTGAACCAAATGAGGGAGACAAACTGTGATGAGAACTGCTTAGAAGTTGAGATATTCGTATCTGATTCTAACCCTAGATGCTGTGCAACCTCTAGGGGGGACTTCTCTGGGTCTCGGTTTCACTATCTACGAAAGTAGCATTTCAAACCAGAGAATCTAAGAAGATTCCCCCAGCTCGAAGTCTCTAATTGTCTGCAAGGTAATAATGGCAGGTAAAGTGGCAAAGGAGACAGAAGGAGAAGGCAGGAGAGTGGGTGTGGTGGCCCTTGGAGCCCCTAGCATTAGTCAGGGAAGTGGTAGAAGGAGAAAGGTGCAAATGGAGGAAGGTTTTTGGAGGAGCCCCCATAGAATTTCAATCATTCTCATTTCCTGTGGGTAACAGCACTGAACGAAAAGCTTCTCAGGTTGATTAAAAGGCTTTCGTTAGACTCTAGATATTAATCACCTGCAGTTGCCGGGAATGTCTCCCTCTGCGAGGGAGCATTTGAGATTATTGCTTAATTAACAAGGTTTATAACAGTGCTAATGTGTCCTATTAAAAAAGTTATAAAAATTAACCGGAACGCAATGCTGAGGCTCATTTAGAAAACTCAGACACTCCACAAAAGGTCATTTGACCTTAATAGGTTTAACTGTCATTCTGGAGCTTGTCATTAGAGCAAGACTCTGCTTCAGCTCTCCTGCTTTTGTCTTTCCAAAGCAGCGTCAATGTTTGCCCCATCCCTCTGCTATCGGGTAAGGAACTATTTTAAAATCAAAGAGAAGAAGAAGAAATCCTCACCAACTCTGTGAGCATAAAGGCTTTTCTATTTTTTTATATGGCAAATGTGACTACATGTAACAAAATCAGACAAAATAAATACAAACAATCTCAATCCAGCAGACAGCTTGCATGGGAAGAACCAACCAAATGCAATCTGGAACAGCTCAAATAATTAGGCTAAAAACAGTGGTTATATTGTGGGATAGGAGACAGATGTCAAACCTGCCTGTCTTTAGTAAAAAAAAAAAATCAACATTATATTTCAGTAATACAAGAAACCTCTGGTGACAGCAGGTAGCCTGAAAGCCCAGTTCAGCTTGGCTGTCTCTAATCAGATGTATGGCCTTGGGCAAGTTAATTTCCTTCTCATTCACGTACAAGGCAAGCATTTATAGGCAATAAGGGTTAGACAAGTCTCCTAGGAGGCAAAGATACAGTAAGAAGAGAACTGAGGTAGGCACTGGGTGCTCTAAGATGAATGACAGCAGCATCCACCCACCCCAAAAGGTCAGAGATGATTTCCTGAAGGAAGGCTCACCTAAGCAGATCTGGGTGGTAAGCAGCAGTTAGCCAGGCAAAGCAGCACAGATGGAAGGTAGGTAGTGGGACCTGTGTTCCAGGCATCCGGAAAAGTATTTGCAAATTCCCCAAGGTGACAGGGAACAAGGCTTGTTCACGAAATACAGCAGTTCACCATGGTAATAACTTAAAGTTCAAGGGGAATACTGCTGAAAAATAATACAGGAGATATAGCCAGAAACCAGATTACACAGGTGCTTCTATGGCATGTTTAGAAGCTTACCCTTCAACAGTGAACATTCTGAACAGGCTGTGACTGGGTGGTGGTCAAGGGATATCTGGTTTCTGAAGATTGCTCTGGTTACATAATGGAGAGAGGAGTCTGGAAGCTGCCAGAGTAATGGAGGGGAGAAATGAGTGTGGGCTATGAGAAGGGCAGTACTGTGGAGAGATGCAGATGGTTCTCTCCATATTTGGAAAAAGTAGAGAAACTTTAAAATGGCTTAGAAAATGGGGGAGTGGATCAGCAGTGGTTTAAGAGAGATTTGGGGCCAAACAGATGGGTAGTGAGGGATGTGGAGGAGTCAAGGATGAGACCTGGGTGCCTGGCTGGTGGTACTATTCACCAAGACAGGGAACATAGAAGAGGCAAAGGCTTCACAGAGAAGGAGAGGAAGAAAGAGAGAGAAGTGAGCAGTGCAGTTTTGCCAATGTCATGTGGGCATCTGTGAAGAGATAACCAGTGGGCACTTTGATCATAGATCAAGAAATCAGAAGTGTGAATTGAGTCAAATACAGATTTGGGAATCATCATTCATTGAATCAACAAATATTTATTGAGCACTTACTATAGGCTAGCCCTGAACAAGATGCTCATAAAGTTTAATTCTAATGGAAGTGGGAGAAGAAAGAAAATTAACAAGTAAAAAAAGTAAATAGGAAATGCTATGCAGAGACTTGGAGTAGGGTGATGTGACAGACAGCAATGGAGAGGCTACTTTAGACTGAGTGGCTGGGGAGGCCTCTCTCAGTGACAGGGAGGGAGGGCACGCAGATCAGGAGCAAGGGAGTAGCAACAGAAAGGACCTGGAAGAAGGCCTCCAGGGCTACAGCACAATAGCAAATGGGAAGTGTGGTATAAGATGAGGTCAGAGGCGTCCCAAAGGCAGATCATCTGTAACAGGTGAGGAGTACAGATTTCAACCCAAAGTCAAGGGCACACTGAAGGCAATGGGAACAATAGGAAGTGAGGAGAGAAGCTGAGGAGTGCTTGGTAGGATCAGCGAGAAGATGGCTGGACACAGAGGAGAGGGCCCATCAAGGAGACTGAGAAACCAGAGAGATGGGAAGAAATCCCCAGCGTGCAGAACAGGTTTCTCAGTGAAGGAGGAATGATCGTGTCAAACAGTGCCAGTGAGACTGTGAGAAACACACAAGGATTTAGAGACGAGGAAGTCACTGGGGACCTTGGTGAAAACACATTAAGCAGAAGGCTGGGAGGGGAAGGCAAATGGCAAAGGCATTACCAGGGAACACACACAGTGGGTGTAGCTCGTCTTTCCAGGAGCCTGCATGTGAAAGAAGGGAGATATGATAGCAGCTGGGTGACAGAGTGCCCTTTAAGGAGGGTTTCTTTGCTTTTGTAAGAAATGAGTGATCAAATATATTTACATGATGCTGGGAAGGAACCAGTAGTAGAGCAGGAGCATAACTGAAGGAACAAGGTACTTAGGAAGGCAGGTGGACTGAAATCCAGAGCCCAGATGGAGAGAATCACCAGCCCCAAATAAGGAACTCCTTTGGGACAGGAGGCAGGAAAATGGAGGACATAGTTAAGTCTGTAGGTGTGATGCCTCAAAACTGTGGAAATTCCTTTATTTTCCTCTGTGAAAGAAGAGACAAGGCCTATCTCTTTGATTGATGCGAACTATCATATTTGGAAAAAGTAAAAAAATTTAAAAACGGCTTGGAAAATGAGGTAGTAGATCAGGGAGGGAAACTCACACAACTTGGCAGATGATGCTGAGTTCCAGCTGGGGTTGGAGCTAAGGAGTGTGTAATGGCCCAAGCCACATGCATGGCTGAGGTGTATTCTTCTACATTGCTGCACTGCTACAATCCTAGGCAGCCCTGACTATCTTACGAGGTAAGATGATTTCAGCTTAGTTTTCAGCTAAGAAATCTGAAACATGGAGAGAAAGTGATTTACAAGAAATCACACAAAATTTGGTCAGGCGATCAGCTTGTGGGTCTCTGTGTTTCTTCTGTTCAACCTTCGTTTACTGAGTGCCTACTATGTGCCAGACACTATGTTTGGAAATGAGGCCACAGAGATGAATCAGATACAGTCCCCAGATCCCTGAAGGAGACACACAGCAGATGATTTTATACCATGTGATAATGGCAGGAATAGACAGTTATCTGAAGGCACCCAGGACCTCCTGAGTCACGTTCCAACAAACATAGCAGAATTAGAGGTCGGTCACCTACCAGGCAGGGCAGGGCAGGGCTGCATCCCCAGGATGGCCTTTTTCTCAGGGTGACCTCCCAAATCAGGCTTTACCATTTCAGACAGCAGCAAGACGAAAGGTTACCTCTGATTATCCAAAAATAAGCGGCTGCCTAAATCAATTAATCCGGAGTCAGCCAGGCAAGGGAGGCAGCTATGTTACAGCAGAACAAGCCCCAGACCAGAGTCGGCGGGTGTGTGTTTGAATCTAGGCTCTGAAACCTTATAGCTTTGACCTCAGGCTGGTTGCTTACCCTATGTCCTGCCACCTTGAACTCCAAAATACACCCTACACTTGGGCATATTTCTCCACCTCCACTGCTGTGCCCTTAGTCTATGGCAGCAGCATCTCTCACCAAGAGCACTGTATCAGCTTTGTAACTCATCTCCCATGTGGTCACTCCATGACTGGAAGACCTCCATTGCCCTTTGACTCCAGCAAATCCAAGCTGCTTACTGTGGCCTTCCCAGCCCTACAAGACAGGCTCTCGCCCACCTCCCTGACCTCACTCTTCCTTCTACATCCCAGCCATCTGGGGCTTCTTCACACCCGGAGCATGCCAGCCTTCATACCTGCTGCTTATTCTGCCTGATTTGCCACCCCTCAGACCATTATAAAGATGCTTCTTCCACATCCAGATTGCAGCTCAAATGTCACCTCCTCAAACAGACCTTCTCCAACTACCCCAGTGAATGCAGCCCTCTCTGTCCTACCACATCATATGAGCAAGCTCACAGTACCTGAAGTTATCGAGCTTGTTCCTGGACATATTTGTTGTCTGCCCCCAGAGTCTGCTGAAAACATATGTGTTGACTGACTGAGTCTTACTTTCTTTATGAAGACATGGCAGACCTGGACACTAGTCAGTGGTTAGGAGCACAGATTCTGAAGACAGCCTGCTGGCTCGGGTTCCTGGCTCTCCTCCCACTAGCTGTATAACCTGGTCAAGTTACTTAACATTTCTGTGTCTCAGTTTCCTTGTCCGTAAAATAGGAATTATAATAGTAGCCAACAGTAGGGTTGCTATGAGGATAATGAGTTAACATACATAAAAGTGTTTTTTAAAAGAGAACCATTTAACAAAAACCCCTAAATCCTGAAACACAGTTAAGTGCCTAAAATAATTAGCAACTACTTTATTCTCTTTGCTCCCTCTACACCATGGTCTGTCTCTATAGTTTGTGTTTTCTGTAGAGTAACTAGTTGTTTTTGTGTTTATCTTCCCTGTGAGAATATGAACTCCTTGCAGATGAAGGCTGTGTCTTACCCCTCTTTGTGTCTTCAATACCCATTAGAGGGCCTGGCAAAGAATGGATGGATGGAGGGAGGGTGGGAGAGAGGGAGGAAAGAAAAAAGACAGAGGAGAAAGAAGAGAGGAGGAAGGAGAGAAAGTAGAGGAAGGAGGAAAGGAAGGAAGGAAAAAGGAGGAAGGAGGAAGGAAGGAGGGAAGAAAGGAAGGAAGTAAGGAAGGAAGAAGGAAAAAGGAAAGGAGGGAGGGAGGAAGAGAAAATTCCAGAGTCCAGGATACAGCCCTATCTTTAGGGAGACAAATGACTCCCTGTCTCTTTGCCTGCCCTCCAACCTCTCCCATATACCAGAAAGGAACCAGAAAGGAAGCTGAATCTAGTGACTACCAGCTGGTCTTCATCTCATTAACTGCTCCAGGCACAATGCTAGAACCACCAAGAACTGCGTCCCCTAGCCTTGACCTTTCCTGCTCTGGGTACACAGCAGCATTCCTTTCCCATCTCCATGCCTTTGTTCAAGATGCTTCTGCCTCCAGAAGAGCAATACCTCACCATACACATCTGTGTCTCCTAGTCTGCCGTATTCTTCAAGGCCCAGTTCAGTGACCCCCGTCCCCAGGAATTCTTCCCTGATTTTCCAGCTAAGGGTATCCTCCCCTCCTGAGAACTCCCTTAGCACACCATCTGTCCCTTTCTCATGCTAATTCCTTGTGGAATATAATCGTACTTGTGTCCACAGCTCATCTGCCCTGGTAAATGTGAGCTCTTCTGGGGCATTTGGGTTATCCGCTTGGTGTCCCCGGGCTCAGCCCAGGGTCTGGCATGCAGAAGCTTCATAAGTAATCGTTGAATTGAATTGTGCCTAACACATTCTTGACAGAGTAAAAGACAGAATCCCAGCCATTGTGTTTCCACTCAGTGACCTACCTCTGACGATGCTTAGTTTGTGAGGCGAGAGGGGTGGTTTAGGGACTGCATCTTTCTTTTTTTTTGTGGCGACGCCTGTGACGCTTCTGTTTTTCAGAACATCTGTTCCCCAAATCATAACTGCCAAGTTCTTCGTGTACTTGGAATCTCCTTGGGTTACTTGTAGCTGGTGCCATTTCTCCTCATCAACCCAAATCCCGCTTCCCAGATGGACCTGAGAGGAATAAGAACACCAGCACCTGTTTAGTCCGACAGGAGGGCAGTGGGAGGCTTCTCTTGTCCTTTAAAAAGCATTGCTGCACAACTGTAAGAGATTCATGTCATAAATATGAAATTAACTCTCTTTAAGGGTAATCGTAATAGCTATCATCTACTGAATACGTGTAGTGTGCCAGGCCTTATTCTAGGGCTTTATATTTGCTATCTTAAATCTTCATGGCAATTGTGGATAGAAGGCATTATAACACCATTTTCCTTTCAGATGGAAACACCGGTTCAGACAGGTGAGGTGACTTGCTGAACATCATTCAACTAGTAAGTGGCAGAGTTGATATTCTACACTATACTTAGTTTATCACAAGGCTGCTCAGAGCCTTACCAAATCTCAGGACACCCATGCTTAACTTCTTTCTGTGTTACACTATGGAAAGACCCACCTTCCTTTAATGTGAACATTCTGGGACATATACCTTCCTAGTATGGTGGTTCTCAACCTTGGCTGCACACAGGGGTCACCTAGGGAGCTGTAAAAATCACCAGTGACAGCCAGGCATGGTGGCTCACACCTGTAATCCCAGCACTTTGGGAGGCAGAGGTGGGCGGATCACGAGATCAGGAGATTGGGACCATCCTGGCTAACATGGTAAAACTCCATCTCTACTAAAAATACAAAAAAATTAGCCAGGTGTGGTGGCACGCACCTGTAGTCCCAGCTGCTTGGGAGGCTGAGGCAAGAGAATCGCTTGAACCTGGGAGGAAGAGGTTGCAGTGAGCCGAGATCGTGCCACTGCACTCCAGTCTGGGAGACAGAGCGAGACTCCGTCTCAAAAAGAAAAAAGAAAAAAAGAAAAGAAAAAAAAATCATCAGTTCGTGGGCCCCACTCCTAGAGATTCTGATTTATTTGGGCTGGGTGTGGCCTAAATAATTCCAGTGTATGGCTAAGTGTGAAAACCTCTGCCAGCTCAAGTAAGGAGAGCAGCTGCCCTGCCAATTGGAGTAGGGCTGTGCCAGTCCTTTCCCACCTCTGAGCTTCATTTCCCTACCTATGAAGTGGTGGAGCTGGATTTCATCTCAAAGTTCCTTCTGGCTCAAAACACCTATGATTTTAAACACAACCACAAGGTACCCAGTTTGATTCCGACGGCACAAAGAACAAAACACAATCTTATGCTCCCTATGAGTTTCAGTGCAGAGCCAATAAGACCCAGAATGTTCCAGCAATAAGCTATAAGATTTTAATTTGTTCTCCTTTCTGCATCTTTAGTAAATCTAAAAAAGAAAAAAGAGTATAAAATTTAGATCTCACAAGTCATTTACTAACATTAATCATTAAAAAAACAGTGTTCACTTTGACATTGCCATTTATGTCATGCTTCTGCTGAGTCTGTGAAGGGACGAAATGGCCTCTGTGGGGACAGAGGGCGGCAGCTGCTAATGAGCTAAACTTTCTAAGGGACATGAGAAGGACCTGCCAAAGGTCCTTGTTTTCAGAAAGGCCTGCAGTTTGCCAATATCACATGGTCAGAGACATCTCTGGAGAGGTCCCTGGTCTAAGAGACTGGATGCATACCCAACTAATGGCAGACCAGCAAGATCAATTGTTCAAAAAACAATTAAAGATCTTTCTACTACTGGAGCTTGGCTTGGGAAGGAAGGTGAATACACATAGTTAGGCAGTCAGGTCAGCCAGCAAAACTTCTTCCTTTACCAATTACTGAAATTTTCCAACCATCAAGAAGAAAAAAAATAGCAATGCAGCCCACCCATGAATGTAAGTCAACAATCTACCTGCACGTCTGACTTCACCTCCTTTTGCTCAAAAGATCAGTCAGACTGCTGCAGGCAATCAGATAACTAGATCCACCTGGCCTCTCTGTGCTGTAAACTTCAGTACTGCAAATCTGTTCATCCGCTCAGGAAAGATAAGCAGCCTTGGAGTGAGATGTACTACCTGGCTGCTGGCTAGGCAACACGGACACCAAGGTCAAGTGTGGCCTTTTCTCCGCAGTTCGAACTGCAGGTGGGCAGTCTGTGTGCCAGACTGGGCATGCTGGGGACAAGTTCCCCACTGCTCCCTGCTGGACCCTGCATCACTTCCCTTGATGACACTTGAAGCCACCCACACAAGCTTCCTGAGATAGGAGAAAAACAAGGAACTTTGAATTACATTAAATTCTGAATCAGAAAATCATAGAGATGGATGCCAACTTTACATTTTTCAAAAATCTCTGCTTTTTTCCCCCACCACTGATCCTTGCTTTCCTGTGATCTTTTAATTTGTTATTCTTGAAAGGGAGATGAAAGTCCTTTTAGCCAATGTTCTACAAGAGAAAAGGGGTACTAGTATTTTTTGAGTACCTGGTTCACGTACAATGAACCAGGTATTGTACATTCAATTTATTTATTCCTCATAATGACCTTAAGAGATGGAAATAGGTAGAAATTATTTTCCCATTTTACAGATGTAAACAGAGATTCAGAGGGACTATGTAACTTTTCCTAAGGTACACAATCAGTCAATTTTGGAATCAAGATTCAAACCCAAATCCTGAAGCTTCTGCTCTCCCTGTCTTCCTTGCTGCCACCACGGTGGTACTGATGTAGATCAAAGACAGCAGACCTAACACATCAATGTTCAGTTAGTTTTCCTTTTGAGTTTCCTCTGTATCTGCCTGGCTACTTCCCACACCAGCTCCCAGTGCAGTTCACCACTGCAGACAGGGAAACCAGGAAAACAGCCACCGACTGGCCTTTGCCTCCAGTCCTTGCTCCCTTCAACCCGCCCATCCTATAATCACGACAGATTAAGTTCCCTAAAATACCTCCTTCCTTATTTGACTAGATGACTTCTGCAGTCTTTCAACTGTGTTTTTAGGTAAATCCTCTGGAATTTTGAATGGCTCCCTGTTTTCTATCACATTTAATCCAACTTCCTCAGCCTGGCTTTGAAGGCCCATTAGAATCCATTCTGTTCACTACTACTTCATTTCTCTACTATATTCATCTACATAGTCCATCTACACTACAAAATTCCGGAACTTGTTCATTTCCCGCTACTTCCAGTGTGCCGTAACATCAAGAGGATGGGTGCTGGAGCTGCCAGCCTGGGTGTAAATCTCAGCTATTCTACCTGCGTGCTGGTTAACTTGGGCCAGTCACTTTATTTCCTGAGCCTTACTTTTCTCAGCTATACAGTCAGCAGATCAGTGCTACCTCAGAGTTGCTGAGAGGGTTAAATGAGAAAAGATGTGTAAAGTGTCAGGAGGACACAGCAACTGTTACATCCTTTACCCTCTTTCCCCTCCCCATGTTTCCGCTCCTGCCATTCTCTTGTCCAGGAATAAATGTTTTCCCTACGTTTTCTTAAGCCTGCTAATCTTTCAAGTCCCAGTCTAAAATTCAGGAAACACTCCTTAATTACTGCAGAGCTAAGTTCTATCCTTTATGAATTTCTAGCTCACTTAGAGCCTTTGCCACCTGATTCAGTCCTTCACAGTACATGTCAGTGGGGAGGGTCAAGGCTTTGCCTCTTCTGTCCCCTACAAAGTGATAAGGGCTAGTCTGTACACAAAGCAGTAAGAAATTGATGGGCATATTTAATGTCTTTATGGAACTGTTTTTCACTTCTGATGAGCTGCTGTTCCTTGGAGATGAAAATATTTTCTGACATTCACTCAAGTACAAGGCCAACTTTAGAACACAGAAAGAAATGGGCTTTGCTATGACCAATCACAGGTATAGGCCGGGGCATTTGAGACAAGGGCCCCTGAGGTTAGCAAGGCTCAAGGTCACCTGGAGCAATGTTCAGTTTTCAGGGATGTAGCAGAACAGACTGGTGAGAGTACTGGCCTGGGAACCAGGAGGTCTGGCTTTCAGTTCCTGCCTGCCTCTAACCTGTTATGTAATTATAGAGGAGTCCCTTCTCTGGATATGTTTCCCTACCCATACTATGTATAAATTAGGTTATTTAAAATTTGATGGTCTTTGCAGCTTTATGATTCAATGAGTTTTTGAAATAAAACATTTAGACAAAGAAACACAATGCACTTTACCCAAATCAGAAATTTGTGTGGCAAGCCTGATTCATGTAAACCACAGTATACTATTTGACCAAAGTGTTAGTGTTATGTGTCAAAGGAGGTTATTAAAAATATGGCATCTGGTAGGATGGAACTTGATCAAAATATATTTATGTGAAAAGTTTTATAGGACAAAAATCATTTCCTACTAGGAAATGTGTCCCATTCCAGTGCTCTAAGCCTTGCAGAGATTAAGGCCTCTGATCGTGCAGACAGAAGGAAGGGTCAGACAAGACAGCAGAGCCAAGAACAATGAGGGCTACTTCTGGGATGTGGAGATGCTGTTCTGGGAAGCTGCCATCATTTCCAGTGCGTCCACTTCCTTTCCTCTGCATTTAAAACTCTCTCTGCCTGACTACCAATTAGGTGCAAATAAAAACCAGGTTAGTCTTATAGCAACATGCTGGCAAAAACCAATGAAAAAACAAAATAGGCATTTTCAAGATTTGCTGTTCAACTCACGTGTAAAAATATTAAATGAGATTTGAGAGACTCATTTTCTGGGGGAAGAATGCTATCTTTGCAAAAGAGGCCCCCTATAATGCTCTGAAACTATCCATCAGCCTTCAAGGCAAGGGAGAAATAGATTTCTCTTGGAAGCTACTTTAAGAAAAACTCTCTAGTCACTCCACAATGTGTTCATGACTAAAAAGAAATCAACAAACATAGCATAGTCCTATCTTTTATCTTTGATTGGGGAAGGTTCACCAAACTTAGATACACAGTTTGAATCAGAAAGGCCTTTGGAGAGCATCAATCCAATCCCATCTTTCACAGACAAGGATGCCGAGACCCAGAGAAGTGAAGGATCTTTGCAAGGTCACACAGGTAGGACAGATGTAGAGCTATGCTAAGAACTCAGGCTCCAGGCTGCCGACTTCCAACTTGTCATGCCACCTCTCCTCTGCAAAGCTGACGTTTCAAGCCTGCTGAAGGCAGCAAGGCAAGGCAGAATGGGCCTGTGGCCTGGCCCATCAGCTTTGCCTCTGCAGGGGAGGAGGCGCTCAGTGGGAGATGCAGGGAACGACACCACATCCAAGAGAGTCCTGAAAACTAATACGTTTCATTTCCTCAGCTTGACAATATTTGCTTTGGCTCAGGTTGGCCAGTTGCAGAGACATATCTGGACAAACCCAAATAAAACAAATTTTTCTTTCTCATCAACCTAACAGAGAATGATACTAAATAAACAGAGACCTTTTGAAGCATGAGGCAAGAAAAATGAACCAACACATGACGCGTTAAGGAGAACGAGAGGCGATGTCTGTAATGCATGCCACAGTGGCAGAGAACATAACGCTAAAGCTGAATTTCACCAGTGCCAACACAAAGGGCTCTGATGTACTTCTTCAAAGATCAATTCAATTGAATGTTAGAAGAATGTCAGAAAAATTTCCTCCCCTGCCCTGCTGGTATATCATCATGTGACTTTAAGATTTTTCACGAGCGATTCCATTACTAATAATCTTAAGTTTTTGTTTATGATTTGTTTTCAAGGTCATATAAATAACGCTGAGTAGTTCTATAAGGTCCTAGGACTGTGCGCTAACCACTGCTGCATACACAGCTTGAAGGAGGCTTGGGGATAAGGGAGTATGTCTTGTTCTTCCCTGTATTCCTGTTATCTAGCACAGGGCTTAGAACATACAGATACTTTCTAAGTGGTGAATGAACACAAACTGAGTTGTTATCTGTAAATAAGATACTTCATTTCCAGTTCACCTGATAAATTTTAGGCATCTGGTTACATAGGAAGGTGGGACAAGTTTCATCAAACTATCATGGGAATTAAGAAATATCTTTGTCACTAGTAAGCTATTTTAAAATGTCAATTTACTTTTACAGTTGCTTTGGATCAATATTTTTTAAAAAAAGAAAGAAAGAAAAAAAAAAGGAAGAAGGAAGAGAAAACGCCCCAGCAAAGCTACGCTACTGATAGTATACAAATTCCAGAAACAGTCATTCAGGGCTAGGCCAGGAGGCCAACCAGTCAAGCTGCGATTTGGAAAGCTCCCACCATACTCTCCACCTTTACTCTGACTAACAAACACTTGCAGGGAATGGATATTGAGCTTAAAACACTACCTTGCCATTGTCTAGGATATACTTGTCCATGACAGGCGCAGGAGCGGGGTAATAGGACGACGTATTTGCTTCCTCACTGAAAGTGCTCCGTAACTCCGGCTCGGGCTCGAGACATTCTGACTTTACTTTTTCCAGATCAATGGCGGGACCTAGGCAGTTAAGAAAAGAAATCTGTCTAGAACTCCAAGGAAAATAAAAGGCAAATATTTTTAACTAGGCATCTATCAGCACACCATGGCACAAAAAATTTGCTAGCTTATTTTTGTCCATTGAACTACACTTAAACCCAGACTCGAAAATAATGTGAGGTATGAATGTCACAAGGGAAAAGGTGGAAAACTGGAAGACAAGAGTGGACTAGACTCTAATCAAGTTTGAATGAAGAGCACTCTTCCAGGGTGTCATTGTCTAAATGGAAAGGCAGGGATTCAACTTCCTGCATAGGAAAGAGGTTCTGTTACGCCTGGGTTGGAGGAGAAGGGGTGGGAATTACTGAAATATGCAAATCGTGTATTTGCCAAAATCCTCACCTCAGTATCTTACAGTGGAGAAGGCCGTAACAGAAGAAGGGAGCTTAGGAAAGTGTGGGCAAAAATGTTAAGGCCTCCCCCTCCCCAAGACCTAGTATCTAGACTGGAGCATTTGAATCAAGAAATTAAAACACAATACACATTAAGCCCCTGATTGCCTGATCCAGCAGCTACTCTGATTTTTATTTTAATGCAATCAACACAAATTACATGCAGTTTAAACAGCAAAAAGGAAGCTAGATAAATGGTGATAGTTTCTAAAGGGGTTATTTTTTCTCCATTAGCTTTTAAAAATGGACTGTTTTATAAAATCACCTATTGTGTGTTGATTACTTAAGGGCAGAGAAACAGGATGAAAATGGGTAAATAAGGCCAAATGACTTGATTAACTTTTGTGGGAGAACAACTTCAAAGGCCCACATAATTTAACATGCTGGAAATTCTCCCCATGCAAACATTTCAGGAGTTGACTAAGATCAGAGATGTGGCTACTGCCACAGCAGCTCCCTCTGTCTGTGCATGTTAACTTAGGTAACAGATGAACTCACAGACCAGCCTTCTCTTATCCTAGCCATGTGGACAACTGGGTACAAAGCTCTTTATATATTAAAGCCCTTTGTAACAATCTGCTTGCCACTCTGGGTTCAGTTAACACATCCTAGACTTTGGTTGGTGGCAGTGAAGGTCCTGGTGAATTTGTTACTAAAATTCTTCATGATACAGCTTCCCAGGAGAGAATCTCAATCCTGAGTTGCTGGCAGCTGCTAACTGAAAGACGAAGTCTCTGTAGTATCATAAAATTTAAGAATGAAACTTGCACAAAGCTGAATGCAAGATGGTTGGGGAGCAGAACAGTGCAAATAAAAGAGCTCAACTCATCCTGGTAGAGATTTCAGGTCCCATTCCTGGCTACACTATATTTTAATTGTGTGACCACAGGTGAGTAAATTACAGATATAGAACCTGGCAGAGCGAAGGACCAATAGCATCATCATCGTTCTGACAGCACCTCCCAATTAGAGGTGCAAGACCTATTCAAGGGCTGGGCCTAGGTCTTATTCTTTCCTTTGTCCCCAGCACCTGGGGCTGAGTAGGCACTCTCTAAATGTTTGCTAAGTAAATAAAACAATGACAACAATGAATGAGTAATTCTAAAGTTTCAGAAGCAAATACCAAAGTTTCTTCTCTCTGTGTGGGATCACAGGTTAAAATTTTGAGACATAAACAAATTCAAGTGGAGCATTTGATCTTTTCTCAGATCTGGGAAAAGGTAATTACTTATATTTCCCCTAAAGCACATAGCTGAGTTGGCGTGTGAAGTCTCTTCTAGCTCTGACCTTCAGTCAACAGAAAAAAAATAATAGGCTGAAAAGAGGAGGTCCATGAAAGGCACTCACTCACGGTCATTTTTAGCAAGAACATGTCTTTCCTCTAAAGCCTCCTTTTCCTTCCATGAGAGGCTGGACAACAGAATGAATCCAGTACAGCCGTAACTTCAGTTGATTCTCTCCCATCCATCTCTATAAAGGCCATCAAAGGGATCTTCCACATGACCCTGTCTTTCCTTGCTTAGGCTGCCCACTACCCTCAAAATTAAGTCCCACACCATGGCCTCCATAAGGCCCAGAACAACCAGCCTCCTCTCTACCGCTAGGGTTCATTTCTTGCCCCCCACCAATATTCACCTCTGCTCAGGTACCCCAAATGCTATGTTGTTCCAGGCCTCTGTGCTGTTTGTCTTGGCGCTGAACACTACCTCATCTGTCTGCCAAGCACCCAGTTAGACTTTCGGACATAGCTCAGGTGTCTCCTTTGTGAGGCTTGATTGTCATCACTCCCAGGTAGGGGGGGTCTCTACATTGTGACTACTTTTAGCAAATTATGTTTGCAATCATCTGCCTGTCGGTTTTCAACATTAGACTATAAAGCTCTTCAAGAGCAAAGTTTTACTCCCTTTAGCATCTTGGAGCGTAGGGAAGCGCCTGGCACATGGCAGGCTCTTAGTAAATTCTTCATGACATGAGAGGGGAGGAAGAGAGGGACTTTAATGGGCTGGGAGAAAGATTCTGAAGTAAAGTCCTGCTGCTGAGTAGAGGTGCTTGAGGGTAGAGGCATGGACAGGTGGGAAGCTGTTCTGAATGTCTGTAATCTTTCTTGGAGTCCGAGAAGTAGAAATCAGGGCTGTTAAGTTGAAATCAGAAGCATCTAGTTAGAATGGACAATTCACATGGCACAGTTACAGACAAAGGGCTCTGCTATCACACTGTCTACAGAGGGACAGCTAACGGACATCAGAGGGAGCAGGGGTTGAAAGAGTCACCTCTCTGGCTCCATCCTGTTGGTCCCCTCCCATAGTCAGACTCCACTCTAGGCAAAGTGGCTGGCCTAACCCTCTCCACACATACACCATTCTTTCCTGCCTCCTACTCTTTGCTTATGCCATTCCTTTTGTCCAGAACATTCTACCCCTAGAGATGTCCACCTATACAAACTCCACCAGTGATGCAAGGCCTGACTCAAATGCCATCTCTCCAATGAGGCTGCCCTATCCCCTCAAAGACTAGTAAATAATTATCTCTAGCCCTTGGCTTGGGATTTGGAGACAGAGCTCCAAATACTGGGTTTAAGTACTGGGTTTGCCACTTACTGTTTAGTTGACTTGTGACCTTCCTTGGGTAGTAGAGCTTCCTTTGCACTCTCCCCACCCCTCTGCCCCTACTCTACCATAATAATCAGATGTACTTGTTCGTCTCTATATCTGTCTCCCCTACTAAAGGAGGAGGGAGCAGCCAAAAACGGTGCCTTTTTATGTCAGAAAGGAGGCTTGAGGACAGCCAAGGACCGTGTCTTTTTATGTCAGAGACCAGGTCTCACCTGGCACAGTGCTTGATTCACATTCTATCCTCAAGAGATAATGTACACATAAATAATTGCTTAACCTCTCTGATCTTGTTGTGTCACCTGAAAGGAGGAAAGATAACAGTGACTTGGCAAGACTGAGGATTAAATCAGATAACTATATATATATATTCGTATATTTATATGAAACAATGATTTCAGAGTCTAGTACAGAGTGGGTTTTTTTGGTAAATAGTCATTCACTCCCTCTCCACCCACTCCCACACAAGTTACACTTGTGCGCTTAAGTTCGTCTCTACTAAAGCATAGGTTCTGTGAAACAGAGGCCCTGCTGTTCTGCTTTTGCCCCTAGTGCTTAGCACAGGCCCAGCACAGAGCAGGTCCTTGTACTCCACAGCCCACCCACTCTCCTCAAGGTTCACGACGGTCCCCTCAAGGCTCACGAAGGTGTCCTAAGGGACTGATAGACTTCTGTCAAATATTGAAGCTACTATACTGAGATCTTGGCTCTCAAGAAAAACTATTTTCTAAATTTCTCACTCAGCACCATTTGCTTAACACCTGGTGAAAGCTCTCCGCAACAGCCTCCTCCTTCCAGGACATTGTCTACAGAAGGTCGGCTTGAAAAGCCAACCAAAGGTACATCTTAAAAGGGAATGTTCAGGAGACCTGGGTGTGAATCCCAGCTCATGACTTTGAAGTCAGGTCATCTTACCCTCTCTGCAACTCAGCTTTCCTACCTGCAAAATGGGGATTACCAAAAGCCACCATGCAGGCTGCTGACGTCTCTGGAAGAGCCTAGCACTGAGGCAGGCACAGAACAGACAGAAGCTGGCAAAACGGCAGATGAATGAAGGAATGAATCAATCAACAGAGCGCAATGTTTAGCATTACAGGATCAGAAAGAAAAGGAACAAAAAAAGCATGTGTTTTCTTCAGGGAGAGCAGGGAGGGCCCCTAGTGCTTTTAATTTAAGAGGGGAGAAAATCACTTCATTGCAAATTTTAGTCGGCTTCACTACCGATGTTGGCAATTTACATCTCATTACAACAAATGCTTCAGATTGCTGTTTTGCTTTTAAAAAATTTCTGAGGCATTGTTCTCCCTCAAACACATGTGACCAAATTAGCCACAATAATAAGCACTTGCGTTAAGAGACAGCATTGTACAATCTGGCGCAGATATTTTAGGTAACAAAAGAACTTTTTTCACTTTGTGGGAAGAGTAGGAATTTTTTTTTAAAAAAGGGCTTTGATCCATTTGCATTCGGATATTGACACACACTTGAGGTTTATTTTGGGGAAAATATACCTTCCATGGAAAGAAAACTCTCAGCTGGGTAAAGGAAGCTTTTAAAAAGTATGAAAGGTAGTACTTGTCTTTTCATTCAATCATTCATGAACCCATTCATCACACAACCCCTGACTGCATATCAAGATCTAGGCTCTGCAAGAGGCACTGGGGACCCAGAGACAAAGTATGTTCCTGTTCTGGGGAAGTTCAGATTTAACATGTGAAACACTATTATATAGCATACAAATAACTCTGATTTAACGGATAAGCAATAGATTTAGTGTTAGAAAAACCTGGTAAAGATCCTGGTTCTGTTATTTACTTTACCTCTTTAAGCCCTACTGGCTTTTTCCCTAAAATGGAAAGCATGACACACAGTTACGGTCTTTGTAAGTGTTTGCTGGGGCAACAAATACATGAAATTACACCATTTTCTATTCTTGTTGTATCGTAAACTGGACTAATGCTGTTCTTTCTGATTAACACAAATGTTTATGTTTGTGTGACTTCCGGGTTTAGAAATCACCTATTTTTTCAAACATGTATGTGTTTGGACACTAAATATCATTTCTGATTTCAGCTGAAATGGAAAGGTTAATAATATTCGATTCTTTTTTCTTTCTTTCTTTTTTTTAGAAAAAAGGACTAAATCCTTTTACTTCTGTAAGTAGATAGGAAGTTTCTCTGTTACAAGTACCATCCTATTTTCTTCATAAATGCATAGCAAATCAAGTCAAAATTCCTAAATGCGTACAGAACATCTGCTGTGGCACACAGAAAGTACTAGATTTGGCAGAATAGAGATGATTTTACTGTCGAGAAGTACCTGGGCAGGGGAACAGCTTCATAACAATGAAGGAGTTAAACAAAGGCCTTGGAAAGAGACTAGGGAAGATGCCTCCGGAGCTGGGTAGGAGGATCCCCCTCTGTGGACCTTCTCAGACCCTCTCAGAAGTCATCAGCTGCTCTCACCTGCTGCTGTAGCGTGCCTCTGTTTCTTAGCCCCATTAGTCTTCCAGTGAAAGCAGAGACAAATCTGGTTTCATTCCTTTGGTGAGAATCTACTAAGTACCTCCTGAGTGCCAGCCCTGTGCTAGGTGGAACTGAGTGCTTCACTGTCCAGCAGTGGAAAGAGACAGGCAGCAGACTACCACCAGCCATGTGGCTAACAAGCATTAGGAGAAAAACTGGGGCAGAAGCAAAGGAGGGGGTGCTGCCTCTGGAGGAGACTAGGAAATCTTCATAAGGACGGTCACCAACTTCTGTGTTGGGGCTTGGAGGATGAGAGGAGCTTGTTGGGTGTGTGACCCTAGGGTGGGGTAGTTCTCATAAGGTGAAGGCAAGTGGCACAAACCACAGGCTCACTGTGCACAAAGGGTGCAATGTGATGATCTGCATGAATTTGGGGAGGGGGAGATCACTGCCGGTTAAGGGATCCTAGAAGGCTTCAGGAAAGTGGTGATCTCTGACTGGGGCTTTGATGGATGCGCGACATCTTGGGGAGGTGGGGGAGTAGTGAGGCCGGGGTTCTTCAGGTCCTCTCTCTCTCCATTTTCTGTGAGTGAGGGCAGGAGCAGGCTTCGTTGGGCAGAGGCAGGAGAAAAAAATTCTAGCATGAATCCTGGATTAGGTGAGATCCCAGCAGCTGACACAGATGCCTCCACAGTGGGGCCATACCCTCGGGGAATCTGAACCACAGAGCAGCAGAGTTGAAATGGATCCGAGAGAGCCCCCTTTCCAAGGGGGAGAAGCCCACCCAGGAAGAAAGAGGTGAAAAAAGCAGGCCCAGGTCCCCAGTCTTGGAGGTCAAGGTTCTCCCCGACTTTGAGGAATTGCAGATGCCCATTTCAAATGACATATTTGAGAAGGAAAGGTGGCTGAAACCTACAAAAGTCTTCTTTGTTAAGTATCTTATATCAAATGTATCTCTCTTTTTTTCTCTCTGTAGCATTTTTCAGCCCACTGTCACGTGATTGTTTGTTTAACAGCTCCCTGACTAGAACATAAACACCGAGGGGATGTTCCTGCTATATCCCCAGCACCCAGCGCAATGTCCTCCATACAGAACACTCACTAAACACGTGTTTAGCGAAAGAAGTTAATCCTTATGGTGGTCCTACAAAATCGATCTTATTATCTCTGTAAAGACTCAGAGTAGTAAAGTAACTTGCCAGAAGTCACATAGGTGGTGAGTGCTCAAACTCAGGGTTGTCAGATTCCAAAGACAGCTCTTTCCACTACCCTACCCCTCCTCAATGAACTGTACTTTCCAGAGCTTCTTGCCTAATGCTCACTCTGTGGGACCCTCAGCTCATCTCTGACTTTCTCTGACATTCCTAGGGGGTCTGTGAAAAGCCCCACAATCATGAGGGGTGCGGTGGAAGGGGAATAGGTTGTCACCTCTAGAAGCTCTGAACTTATCCTCTGGTGGCCAGGGAAAACTGGACTGGTTCTTCATCTGTGGTTCTTCTACTTCTCTCCTGCCCAACTATCTGTGCCCAGAGAGTATCCAAATGGCAGGGTATGTGCAGAACGCCCTGTCAAGGAAGCATTGAAGGCCCACACATGTATTCAATGCATGTAAAATGGACCACAGTTGGCTGGGTTGGGGGGCTAAGGAGTTGTGGTGGGAATAAGTGGGGTGGGCAGCATAAGGGCTGCTCCCAGTTTCCTGAGGGACCACTGTGGGCACAGTGAGTGCCTGAGGGTAGGAGTTATGAGGAGGCAAAGTTTGATCACATGGTGGATGTCTGCCCAACAAATCAATCCATGACCCTGACCTCTGCTGATACTCCCTTCAGGCCATGAGCCCTTCCAGAGTAGGGACCATATGGGATTCATCTTTGCTAAATGGCTGTTGATTGATTTGCCTGACTCAGAGGAAAATAGCAACTCAGGAGTTGAAGGACTGCACCCCAGCCCACTCCAATGGGGAAGTGCCCCCATGAACCACCTGTAGGAGGGGCTGGGGTAGTTCTGCTTGCTCTCATCTATGTCTGCAACCTCATCTCTTCCTGCTACCCAGCACTTCACTGTGCCGTCCAACCAGAACTACTTTCAGTTCCTTGAATAAGCCAGCCTCTCTTGCAACTCCAAACCTTTGTTTAGGCTCTCCTGTTGCCTGAGATAGTTCCTTAACTTGGGGCCTCCTGCAGCCACCCACAACTCTCCTACCCCAGCCATGTAAGGAGCTCTCTTTTGTATCCTTTCCCAACATCCTGAGAGCTCGGGACCAAAGTAAAGCTCACCCTGCATCCCAACTGTCTGCTGTTGAGACTGTGACTTCTTTAAGGTGGCAAGGGGGGCTTAACAATTTGATTTCTCCGTGCCTAGCACAGGGCTCGGAACAGAGGAAGGATCCAATAATGTTCCCTGCACAAAAACATTTCCCTACGGTCAGAGCTATCCAATAATGAGATAGGCTGCACTGGAAGGCAGTGAGTGAGCTTCTTGTCTCTAGTGGAATGTTACTGGAGGCTGGGTGATTGCATGGCAGGGAGACAGCAGAAAGCTTCTTGTCCTGTATAGGAGGCTAGACGAGGTGAACTCTGGGGTTCCTTATAGGACTAAGGTCCTAGGACTCTAAGAATTACCCCCCACACTCAGAGTACCCCCTGGAGCAGCAAGGGAGGGTATGGCCAGCCTCTGGGACCTGCTGAATCCTGGCATCCAAACAAACATCCATCCATGTTGGCTGAACACAAACCTTCCACTGCTTCATGATATAGCATTCATGAAATCCTATATATTCTGATTCCACATGGCATAGATATGTCTTTTCCCCTCTCTGGGCCTCAGTTGTCCATCTATAAGATAGGGGTGAAAGGCTGAACTGGGTTCTCTCTAAAGAGACAATTTCTAAGAAAACTCCAGGAATTGTCCAATTGGTATCTTGAGGCCATGTTGCCTGGTAAGGCTGAAACTATGAAGACATGGTGGGCTTTTAAATTAAGCAGGAAATATTCATCTAAAAGCTCAAGGGTCCTGCAGTCACAGAATGCACTGCAGTACTGGATGGTCTAATGGCCAGCAATGAAGGCCTAATCAGGAGGCAGGCAAAAGGGATGGTGCCACAGAAGCACATGGCTAAGGGACTCTGTGATCAGACTGCCTGACGCATGGCAAAGCAAGAGGGGCCTCAGTTTTGAAACCTGGTTCTACCCTTTCCTGGGTGTGTGGCCTCAGGCAAGTTACCTAATCTCTCTGAGCCTGTTTTATCCACTGCTGAGGTTGTTTTATATATGGAAAGTATTTAGTGTCTGGCCCAAAGCAGGTATTCCTAGAAACCAGGCTTTGCCTGTAATGAACACTTTCCCACCTCCATTTCCTGCCTGGCAAATCCAAAAAAAACATAAGCTTGTCACATGGCAATATGGAAGGCAAAACCCTGCTCTAATGGAGAAACACACTGCTATTCTGACAATGGGGAAAAGCCTAACAACTTCCTCTGGATGTTCTAAATACCTAGGCAGTTGTTAGAAAAGGGACAGCCTGGAGTTGTCCCTCAACCCCATCCCCACTGCCCCCAGGAAAACGGAGTCTAGGGAGAAAGGGGAAGGAGGGTCCTGAATTGTTCGGCCACCCTGAAATCAACTTTTAAAATAATCTGGGATTATTTTAAACTGTGGCTACTTCTGATTTGGGCAACAGTTCAAAAAAAGTCCTTCAAAGTAGAAGATGACTGATATTTTTCAGACAAACTACTCCACTTCTTATTACTAGGTCTCTTCCTGCCATCTGAATTAAGCAGGATACAACAGTTTTTGAAACTGCCCCACCACTAACTCTAAACCGGCAGGCAGACTGTGGGCCTCTTAGGCCTTACCTCCACAAGGGAGATGTAAACATCTAACTAGACAAAATGGCTCTTGTCCACCCGCTTTGGGCCTTTCTCAAAGCCCAACTTTTTTATAGTACTCCTGCTCATTGTGAAAATGAACTGAGGCTGAAAGAGACAGGAAAGAGCTCTGAGATAAACAGGCCCCAAGAAGAGAGTCCTGGCAAAGAGAAGACTGAGCCACAACTAGTGATGTCTAAAAAAATCTAGGAGGTCAAATGGGGTGGTTGAGAGCTAGAGATGGGAAGATGGAATTCTGCCCAGGAAAAGTTGGGCGTGGTAATGGACAAATTCTATAAGCTACAGACCAGTGAGTTTGAAATCAAGTCCAGGCATGGTTGTAAAACAGAGTGTTCAAATATGATTTCTAAGGACTTACAAGGGGAAACAGGAAATCTCTAGGTGTCATCCAGGGTTGACCAAAGATTAAGACATCCCAGACCGTCACATCTGTGTTCTGCTGTAGGACAATGGGTGCCTATGATGTGCCAAGTGCTATATACACATTTTCTCATGCACATCTTCAAATGATTCTATATCTTGATGCAGTACCTACTGAGCACCTACTATATGCCAGCCTCCAGGCAGATGACTTTACTGCATTTATTCATTTACTCCTTTTTTTTTTGGACAGAGTCTCGCTCTGTCGCCAGGCTGGAGTGCAGTGGCATGATCTTGGCTCACTGCAACCTCTGCTTCCCGGGTTCAAGCTATTCTCCTGCCTCAGCCTCCTGAGTAGCTGGGACTACAGGCACGCGCCCCCATGCCCAGCTAATTTTTGTATTTTTAGTAGAGGCGGGGTTTCACCATGTTGGCCAGGATGGTCTCGATCTCTTGACCTCGTGATCCGCCTGCCTCGGCCTCCCAAAGTGCTGGGATTACAGGCGTGAGCCACTGCCCCCGGCCCATTTGCTCCTTTTAAGAACCATAATAGCTGATACTATCATTCACTCTCTTGTACAGATGAGGAAACTAAGGCTGAGGAAGTTAAGTAACTTGCCCGAGGCAACAAAATTTGAATTTGGAAGAGCTGGGGTTGAAAACCTCAGTATTTCTGACCTCAGAGCCCATTAGGGCTCTTAATCACTGAGCTGGTTCTCCTGTCTGTATGTAGTGGGCTTTAAGATACCTAGAGGAGAAAACAGACACCTGAGAAGGGTTAAACAAATGTGTATGAAGTTACACAGGTAATAAATTAAGACAGCTGAGATTCAAACCCAAGTAGTATCTGTTGCTGAAGCCCAGGTTGTCTCCAGTACAGGAGAAAACCAGCAAGAAGCATTTGGCTGACATCAGCTGCCTTTTCTAAGGCACCATCAGAGACCTGGGCTTAAAGAAACCAGTTCAGACTGCAAAGGATTTTAAAGATCAAAGCTGGTATTTTAGCGGACCTTGGACAGCACACAAGGCACAAACCCAGAGGGTTACAGAGGTATTAGTGATCCAGCTCTAAAAAGTTGAAACAGATATGCAGGCCACAATGGCTTTCTCCTTTTTCAAAACTTTCAGCCAGCTTATGATCTAGCCAACAGGACATTTTCTCTTCTTTTTGCATTCTCCTCTCTAAAACGGAGATAATAATCCCTACCTGGCTTGCAATAAGACTATCGGAATTGTCCAATGAGATAAAAATGTCAAGGTGCTTTAAAACCTGTAAAATGCCATGCACATGTGAATTACTGTTATTACTCTAGTTATCTATGCCTCTTCTGGTTAGAATTCATCATTTTTGCCTATATTCCCTGACAAAGCACACACAAAATCTAAAACCATCATCTGCCTCCCTCCTGCAATTAGAGCACTGATTTTATTTGCCTGGTGTCACACTGCGTACATATTTGTGTTCCCTGTGAGACTTGTGTGCATCCTGAAGGCAAGGATTATGTCTGCTCCTCTTTGTATTCCTCACAGAGCCCTTGAGAGTCTTATTTGAACTAATGTTACCCGAGTCACACCACAATGAATTATACTGTCTAAGTGGTACTTACAGTGTAACAAACTGGGGAGGACACCGTAGCCTTGGACTTTGCCTTCTAAGAACAGGGAATCTAGCTGAGGAGAAACCAAGAGAGACCCTAGAATTTACTCCATTCTCACACATGGGGGCTTACCCTCCCCCAACTGGGTCTCTATTGTTCTGCTTCCCTTCATCCCCTAAAATTCTCTGTGGCTGCCAACACCCGGTTTAAACACACCATTCTAATCTACTTGTGCATTGTTTTTTAAAAAGGCACTCTGTCTTGTTCATTACGTTATTCCCAGCACCTAACCCAGTCCTGGAACAAAGGATACCCTCGATAACTGTTCACTGAATAAAATAAATAATGAATGAAGGAATATACATAGAAAAACATCTGTACCTTGTACATTGGAATGTCACCATGCTTTTTGCATCCTCGGCATTTACTTATTTGGGGGAGGAGGGGCAGGAAAGGGAGAAAAAGGAAAAGGGGACTGGCATTTATTGAACACTTACAATATGGGGGTCACGGGGCAAAAGTTTACATATGCAAATTACATATGCTTCCTTATTTAATTTTGACAGTGGAGGAAAGTGAGGTTCCTTCCCATCAGAAAGGGTTGTTTACCATGCTAAGATCACAGACAAGGAAAGTTCTGTTTTACAGAGAGAGATGATATCCTTTGTGGGGAGTAAAGGGGATGGAGGAGACACCCCCATGTTGGGAAAAATGAAGTCTAAGAGCTAAAGAAGGCCATACGGGTGAGGGTCTAGAGAGAGGCACGCAGGACCAGGGGTCAGAAGACCCTTAGGAATAAGCCAGTGACACTTTTTGGGCTTGTTTCCTCATCAGCAAAATGACGGTGACAGTCTATAGCCTAAGTTCTTTCACAACTCCATGCCTCCATGTTGGAATACTTCCTGTTAAATCCATCTTTTCTTGTGTGTGGAATGAATGAAAGAATGAATAAATGTACAAATGAAGACGTGTACGATTCAGTGAAGCCTCTGAAACATACTCTCTTGCTGCTATCCCCCACCCTTGGGTGTGGCTCCACCTTTCTGACCCCAACCTTTCCAAGGTGCGCCATTACAACTCCTGGCTGCTGACGGACCTGCTTCCCACTCTGAGTCCCCATCAGTCTGAAAAGACCAGGCGGCTGCTCTCCACTACCATCTACCATTCGTAGGACCCCACTACCTCGGTGAGTAAATAATGATTCTTCCAGACAGGTAGATTTCTTTTGAAAACTGAGCACCTCCTGACCTGTTGGCCTCCCTCGTCTCTGAATTTGTGTGAATGATCCAGCACCCAAGCTAGACAAAGGCCTTTGAGCTAGGCCCCTAGCTGAGGTGGACAAAAAATGAAAATACTCAAGGATATGCCTCCAGGAGCAACACTCAAATGAGGCCCAGGGGGCAGAGAACGGCAAAGCCTGGGCCCTACATCAACCCTAACCCAGGACATGTTTCTCAGAGGGCAACTGAAGCCGAGAGTCAAACAAGGGTCTCTCATTCGCTTTCTGGTTGTTCTCTGCCTTCTTAGTGGTGTTTATAGATCAGGATCTGTTACAGCAAGGGGATATCTTACCAGACTTTCCAAGAGAGACTTCTCCCTTCAGACGCTAATCTCTCTCCCAGAACTGGCACTCTGCGTTTTAATAACATGTTTACCTCCATCACTACCCTCTCCCTACTTCCCAATGTCTTAATCTTCTTTGTATCTCCCTAAGTTCCTAGGCTCAGAAAGCATTTGGTCAATGTTAGCTGACTGATTGAATAAACAAATGAACAAACATATATAACCCCTCTTATCTTCAATATTGTAAGAGGATACTGAGGCAGAGAAGTTAGTTAACCTGCCCAAGGTCATATAGCCAACTACTGGCTGGGGGTGCCCGAGTTAAAAGCCAAAGTTAACCCTGTCTTAGCTCCTCCATTACATGATGTTGAACAGGAGCTAACAGTAATCAAGCATTAACAGAATGTCAGGCACTATGCGGTGTGTCACAAGGCTGTAATATTATCATTCCCATTTTACATATGAGAACACTGAGGGTCAGAGACATACATGCTCTTTGCCTAAATTGCTCCTTACTCTCCCCATCTACTGATTCCTGTTTGGGTAACAAAAATTCATCATTCAGGCTTCAGCCTAAAAGTTGTTTCCTTCAGGAAGCCTTCCTTCTCTGACCCCTCAAAATCTGGTGGGTAATCCCCTCTGCTGTCCCACAGTCCTCTATGGTTTTGTCCCTATGATGGCATTTATGTACTGTGCTGTCATTGATTGTTTCAGGATCTGTTCCCCTCATCAAACTTTAAACTCCTCAAGGGCAGAGGGCAAGGGCTGTATTGCAAATATACTGAATTCTTACACTAGGCTAGGTCCCTGGCATGTAGCAGGAGACCAGCAAGTATTCATGGAAGAAAATAAGGTCATAGGAAAGGAAGGAAGAAAGGAAAGAAGGACATGAGCTTCCCAAAGCCACAGAGTTGGGAAGTAGGGAAGTTGGGATTTGAATCCAAGCCGTGAAAACATACAACCTCCTCTTAAGGGTAGAGATCCTTTTATTTTATTCTTGCGGATTTGTCTTGGAAGTTGGCACATTAGCATCCTCCTATTAACATGTGTTAATCAATAGACTTTTAAGCTTTCACTGATGAGAGACAGTGGGTGTGATTTTCCAGGATGCCTGTAGCCCTGAGAGGATAGGGTGGGTGGTCTATGCATACTTGGGGCTCCAGTTGATTTATGTTGAGTCCAACCCATTGTAATGATGATGGTGACTCAGATCAGGGAAGAGCTAGCCACTGGCCTGTGCAATGGCCTTCAAGGCCTGTGGGATGGGAGAGCCTAGAAAGATCAAGACACTGAAACTATGCTTCAGGTCAAGTTTTTCTACATGTTTTAGGACTAAAAGAGGCATATAATGATGTAAAATGCAGGGTGTCTTACCACCCCAGAGGCTTAGGAGTGGTTTCTAGAGTTTAAACTCAGTTCATAATCATGAAAAACAGGTAGTTTCCCTGGGAGTTGAATTAAGTACCAAGAATTTCTGTTTTTGGTGTACTTCCCCACAAGCCCCCAAGAAGTTCATAAAAGGCATAGCATACAAAGCACACTGAAAATGCAAATTATTCACTTTAAGATTGGGAAACATTTTTTCTCTCTGAAAATTTCAGTTATCCCCATCCCCCATCACCACTACAAGAACAATACAGCTTTTACAAATTTTTACATTTATGATTTCTCTTTGAGATTTTATTTTAATAAAGAACTTTACTAACTTTTGAAGTTGCAAACCATATGCGACTTTTCGTGTCACTGTGAACCTCTGTAGACTATGATTTGGGACAATGGCCAAGGCAATGGTAGAGTTGGGGAGTGGACAAAGTCCAGCCTATGAATTGAGTGACTAGAGTTGAGACAGAACTCTACCTCTGCCTCCCTAAGTAACTCTGGGGAAGTCCCAATGTCATTTCCTTTTCTATGACAAGGGCATGAAAGGCCTCTCTGCTGACTTCTTGGACCACCCAAAGATCTACTGAGCCACTACCTTGGGGATATACTTTAAGAAGCAAATGACACCTACAAATATAAGTAAATTAGGGTAAGAATAAATCAAAGAAGAATGAAGCTTCATATCTAAATATATTATCTAGATAATGAAAACCTTCACAAGGGCAAAATTGTATTTTATTTAAACTTTGGGGATATTTCTAGACTAGATTACCACCTTCTTCAAGCAAAGCACACTGACTCAGAGTTATTAATTACTGTCTTCAGGGGCTATGGAGGCAAAGAACTTGTGTTATACCGATTTCCTCAATATTGACTGGGCTCTATCTTTTACAGTTCTGGATTCTTATATTCTAAAAGCATTTTTCTGTCTTTTTCTCTCTGGTAAGCAGTCATTTCTTCCGGCAGTCAAAGCTGCTGCCTTTCAGGTTTCTCGATCCCTGCTTCTAAACCACTTTAGATCAGAAAACCTGATTAGTTAAAATAGGGTGCAATATAAGAACCTATTAAGTTCTATGAGCAAACCAAAGGAGTTTTATACGTCTTTATATTCATCTTCCTAAGGTCATGTGCCTCCCTGCTCAAAGCTTTCTAATGCTTTCCATTCCTACCAAAACAAGTCCAGACATCCCAGGCTGGTAAAGTTTTCAAGTCCTTCCATCTTCTGTCCTCAAAGCACATTTGCATTATTCCTCTTAGTGTGCTCCAGGTATTTGCCCATGCTCACCAGTGCTGCTCAGCCTCCTCTTGTGCCTTGAAACACTGCCCAACCTTCAAAGCTCAGTTTCTTACTGAAGTCTCTCCATGCCCTCAGTTACAAATAACCTCTCCAACCCCTGAATTCTCATATCATTTTGTCAGCATTCTCCTTTGGCATTTATCACTTTCTGACTTAAACTAATACATGTTGTTAGGATCATGTCTACTTCTTTTTACTATCCTGAAACCTCCTTGGAGAGGTTCCCTACGATCCCTGTTACTGCCTCCTGCTGAATGAATGCATAAGGGACTGAGCAGTGACAAATATTTTGTCAGCTCTTAGTCTCTGACCCATGTTCGCCAATGTTCCCATAGCTGAGGCTGCTGCATACATAAGCTCCTACCAGATTCACTATGAGTGGGGAGTGACTCTTCCTTGAGGTAACTGGTAAGCCAAGAGTCTGTCCTTCCCTAGCCTCAGGGCACTTGGTCTCCCTCTCCCCTTTCCCTTCCTGGAAGAGGATCTGCATGAAGTATTTCACCCAAGTGGAGTGGTAGGTGACCTGCTGGGGCACTCACCGCTGCCAAGCCGCAGGAGCAGCACGTCCTGGAGCCTCCGGTTAAGGTCACGGAGCTCCTTCATTTCAGACACAAGTGCCCCGTACTCCTTGAGCTTCTTGGCCTGTTGTACCAGCTGCCTCCGAGTCCGCTCCAGCTCCTGCTGGAGGTGGCGCATCTCTTCCTGTTGCTGCTGGTAGTTGCGCAGCAGCTCCTCATACAGAGCCCGGGGCACCACAGCATCTTCTAGACTGTCCATGTCCTCTGTGCCTGGCGAGGCCTCCACGAAGACCTCTTCCGGACACGTGCTATGGCCCAGGCTCAGGCCGTTCTGCTTCTCTAGCCGAGCCACCACTGCCTCGATGCTCTTGTGCGCCACTTCGCTCGGCTTCCGCCCCTCAGGTCTCTGTGTAGGACAACGAGAATCAGTTCAGGCAAGGGCAGCTGGGATTTTCTTGGACTGCAGATCAATATTTCCCCAGACAATCCTAAAATCACAGAATCACAGAACATCAGTGCTTGGAGAAACCTGTGCAAACACTTAGTCAAAGCCCTTCATTTTATAAATGGGGAAACATTTTATAAATTTTATAAATGGGGTTCCGAGTGGGGAAGGGGCTTGCCCAAAGTCATAACCAGGACACTGGTTTCCCAGGCCTGCACTTTTTCCTTTTCACCACTCTGCCTCCTGGATGCATATACCATGACCACCCTTCCCAACTCCCCAGGCCCCAGCCCACCCACAATGCCTAGGCAGTGGCTTGCTCATGGGGGTGTTCAATATGTATTTGTGGAGAATCAGGGAGAAATGAGGCCAGGCCAAGTGATCCCAGAGGACTCACAAATGTCTTCAACAACAAAAACATAAAATTCCTCCCCTAAAGGCAATTCACCATGTAAACTTTTCATCGACAATGCTTTAGATGGAAAGGATGTTAAAAACTCTAATCTACTCTAATCTAGAGCAGAAAACATGTCTTATTTTCTCTGTTTCTCCTCTGCCTACTCACTCAGAACTGGCACTCAGTAGGGGCTTGAAAAATGTTTACTCAACTGAAAAGTTCAAAGAATTCTAGCATTGAAAGGTACTTTCAGTTTAACTGCCTCATGTTACAGGTGAGAAAACTGAGGGTCAGAGAGTTCAGGGAAGGACTACACTTAGGGTCACATAGTGAGATACAAACAGAGCCAAAACCAGAATTTGGAATCTAACTTCCAGTACAAGGCTCCTTCCAGACTCTCCTCAGCAAGACAGTGGATAGAGAGAAGAAAGTTCATTTACAAGAGAATTATCCAGGACCCCCTCCAGAGCTTGGGGTTCCACTGCCTAAGGAAATTCTAGCTCAAGTAGCTACAGCTTCTACTGAGGGGCAGTGAGAGTTACAAGATCAAATGAATTCTTCACTCAGGGCAGGAGGGTTAGGAGCTCTCCTGACTGGGGCATGTGTAGGAAGTGCAGACAACTGAGGACATGAGATTCCAGGCAGTTCTAAGTTTCAGGAAATTTAAGGAAAACCAAACCAAATCAAACCCAGCCCAATGAAACCATGACTCTGATATTGTGTTACATGACAAAATCGTAAGTCGTTTTATCTGCTGAGATAAGGTGCTACTAGTGTAGATGAATTTATCATTTATCTAAAGTGATCGTTACAATATGTCTGCGTCACTATAATGTGAGACCCCTGGAGGCAAGGACCATGTCTGGCTAATGGTTCCAGGTACGAGCACAGGGCCAGGCGCATAGCAGGAGTACAATGAATGCCATGAACTGAACTCAGCTACATTCCTTGGGAACACCCTCAACCTTGTGACCAAAATCAGACCATGGTCAATGCAGAAGACATCCCACTTCCTTATCGTCCTTCTCCCTTCCTCTCAGGTATCTACTGCACAGAAAAAAACAGCTAGCTTGCCGAACAAGATTTTCAGCAGTTTCCAAAGTGAAGGCTGGAGACCAACTGGGGCACACAGCAAGAAAATGCAACCTCATGCAAATGTTTTCATCTAACCCGAGGTCTCACAAATCCCTTCTGTGAACCTCGTGCACTTCCCAATGAGTCCAGCCTTAGCTATCTGGGGCACTCTGACAGTGACTGGCCCTAAACTTCTCCCCAAGAACATCTGTTTAACGTTCTTGGAGCTTAGCAGTGACCTCTCCAGAGCTGTGGGCCAAGGAGAAACACACCGTTCCAAACCTCCAACAGCGATGACACTGCACAGACTGTGCAAACAGGACCAAGCTTGGTGGCACAGCATGAATCAGGGCTCTCTAGAAAGTTGGCCAGCAAGGCAAATACACACGAGTTGTCCCACGCTTTCACTACCCTGAAAAAATCATAGCCTGTGATACCAGGGGACATTTACATGGGGAGAGGAAGCCAGACTGAAACTCTTTAGCTACGAGATATCTGAAAATGCTCCAGCATACCTCCAAAGAAAGGAAAGATTTTGTTACCTTGATGTGTCTAAGCTGTAAATCTTCTTCCCCATAATCTTTAACCTCTCCATCTTCTTCTACATGATTAAGAGAAAGCTTGGGGATTTTTATTTTCTTCTGCATCACACTGTTTTCAAGGTCAGATTTGTCTTCTAAAATGCATATCAAGAGAACAAGGTTCATCATGAGTTAAAATGAGTCATTATGAGTTTAGAATGCCCAAAACCTCAAATGCTAGAAAATAATTGAGGCCAGACCAGTTAAAAAGGAAAAACAAACAGACTCAAGGCTGGTTCCCTCTTGCATGCAGGGATCCTAATAGCAGTGCAGATCTAGGAACAAGGGTGTTTGCTAAAAGCACTGTCATACAAAGTGTTGAAATAGCAGCCAGTGAATTTGCTTAGGGGTTTCTCTAAGTACATCCTAAAGGGTGGCCTTTTATGGAATTCTAGAATCTTGAATTGGAACAGCCCTTAGATTGCTATCTGATCTAAACTAAAATGGCACATGAATCCCTCAACTCAACTGAGATCTTTCTAAGCCAAGTGTCTTCCCAGGAGAACTTGGTGGGTTTCTGTCAGCTCAAGTGCCAATAGACATGAGAGAGCTTATAGCTGATAGGGATGTAAGGAAGGGCAGGGGTATCTCCACAGCCCTGACATAAGGCAGGCTGAGGTAAGGCAGACGGGAGAAGAATAACATTTATCCCCTTTTTACTGGTATCAAATCTCAGCATGACTGAGTTTGAGGGACCTCAGTGAACAAGTGGTCCAACTCGCTCATGTTACATGAGGAAATTCAAACCCAGAGGATGGAAGAGGCTTGCCCACGGCATGAGTCTGAGGAACAGCCGGGAGTGGGAAAGAGGCCTCTGGCACCTCGCCCACTGCTTACGTGTGCTCACGACACATACTGAATGTAAAGTGCTACACAAATATAAAAGGATATTATTTCTACTCATTTTCTCATTCTTTAAGCTCAACCTAAGATAATCTGTTTCTTTTTCTGCACAGATTTCAAACTGGACTTTCCAGATTTGTCTCTCACTGGATATGTTCAAAAATAAAAGTTCAAACAAGAGGGCTCCAGAGGCAAAAATCTGAATCATCTCTGGACTGTCCCCTTGTGGTAAAATACTTTGTGTTCAGGGCTTAAACTGACACTTTAGAGATTGCTGTTTCTCATAGTCCTCAAAGGTTCCCACTGGTGTATCCCAAATGCGTTTTGTAGCATGTTGCCCAATGTTGGATGTAGCATATGGCCAGGTAGTTAGTTAAATCCAGTCTTTAAGGGTTTTGTGTGTGTGTGTGTGTGTGTGTGTGTGTGTGTGTGTGTGTGTGTATGTATTTGCATGTGTTAAACATGCTCTTACACTGTTCCCAGGCCAGGCTTCTCTCCTACAACTTGTTAGTAAAGCTGAGAATGCAGCTTATAAGCACATAACTATTCCAGAATGTACTCAAATGCTGAATCTTCTCAAATGCTCTTAGGGATGAAGGCCCAGCTGGTCAGAGGTAGGAGTCTAGTATCAGAGACTTAAGTGTGAACCTCAGCTTTTCTATGACAGGATGAGGACAGGTAGGTAAGGGCCTTAATCTCTCTGAACTCAAGTCTCTCCTCATAATGGAGGTTGTGAGGATGAGAGCAATAATTCACGCAACCCACCGAACAGTGCCTGCTACACACTGAACATTCAATGGATGGCACAATATAATTGGTATTATCAATGTGTTCTGAATCATTTTCTTCTCTTAAGCATAAAGTGAATAGAGATTTAATTAAAACAACAACAACAACAACAACAACAACAACAAAGAAATGATTTAAGTAGGGTAAGGATGATAAATGAACTGCTCAGAAAAAAAAGAGGTGGTCTTTGTTAATAACCCCTACTGATGAAAACGGCCTTTCCCACTGAGTGGAGGAGCAATCCTTGGGTTCCTATTTTCACAATGGCTCATTCTTGCACTCATTGTGCCTATAAAACACATCCAATGGGTTAGGCATGAACAACAATAGGGACTCAGGGTTTTCTAAAAGAGCAACAGTTTCCCTCCTACAAATCATTGCTGACTTCTAAGTCAAAAGGCTGCTAAAATGTAAAATCTAAAGAAAGTACTTCAGATGAAATTATCTTGCAATGGTGTTTTTTTGTGTGTGTGTATGTGTGTGTGTGAAAAAAACAGACAAAAAGAGAGAAAGAGAGAGAGACGATGAGGGTGGTATTAGGATTTCTGAATGTGTTGGGGCAAAGCTCCTGGACTAGTCTTCAGTTTGACAAGTTGAGGGCAAAGTCTGACATGCAGAGCCACCAATTAGAAATGACAAGCTATGCTATGCCTTCCTGCGCTGAAACTCTGTAGCTCAGGATCATGTTAGTGTGGAGAAAAGCAATCGTTCGGACTCACAAAACCATGTTAACATCTGGATGGAGAATGAACCTCAGATCATCCGATTCTATTTTTCAAAATGCAGATGAGAAAAACAAGGTTCTAAATGGTGAAGTCTGTGCATCCATCCATGCAACTCTCAGGCCTAGGAATACAGGAGGGGCAGGATGAACAGGGTCCCCATCCTGGAGAGCTCACTGTTGTGCAAGGTCACAGAAGTTACTGTCATAACATGAATGTAGGAGAACTCTGACCACATAATCCAGTTCCAGAGCTTTGCCTTCTATGCCTCGACTTAACCTTTACTGAGAATTTACTCTGTAGGATCTAAACTGGCCCGGGGGACACAGATGAACAAACATCCAGTTGGGGATACAAGATAAAAACACAAGAAAAGAGAACCCAAGATCTCAAATGCTGAATTTGAATAAGGGAGAAGTAACTGCTAAAGGATTTTAGGAGCATGGGAGATCACTTCCGTCAGTGTAACCCTGGAAGGCTTTTGAAAGGAGGTGGCATTTGAGCTAGACTCCTTACTTGCTAGGTGATCTTGAGTAAGTTAATTTACTTCTCTGAGACTATTTCCTCATCTATGAATTGAAGTGAATAATTCCTACTCACGTTGCAGAACTGTGAAGATTACCAATTCTATGTGTTAAAAACTTGAGCAGAGTGAATGGCACTTCAACAGTTGGTGCTCATAAAAGGATAGCCATTTAAAGGATGGTAAGAATCTGGACTACACAAGAGGGGTAAAGAATAGAAGCCAAATGGGGAAGGGGGGGAAATATTTGGATCAAAATGGTTATGAAAGATGGTTCAGTTATAAGCAGGAGGGAGAGGTGAGAAGGCAAGAAAAGGTGGTTGGAACTAGAAAATAAGTGGCCTTGAATGCCAAGTTAAGAAGAGCTGAGGCTCAGTGTGCAGATGTGGAATAAACTAGGCGTCAGACAACCTGGATTCCAAGTCCAGTTCTGTCGCTTTGTAGGTGTGAGATGTCAGGCAAGCTGCTACCTCACTGAGCATAATTTTTCTCTGTAGAAATGGAGATACAATATCTACCTCAAGTAGGATCAAATCAGCTCAGTAAATGTTCCTTGAAAACAATAGAGCCCCGTGCAGACAAAGGTGCAGCGGATGACAGAGCTCAGCAAGGACTGCCTGCTGGCTTCTGCTGGCTTGGGGCTTGGGGCAGGCTTGCTTCTGGAGGTAGAGACCTGCTTAGCTGCCTAAGATGGGTGACACTCCCCATCTGATGACAGGAGGCCTCATTCCCCCACCAGCTATACTCAAGGCTCTAAGCTCTTCCATCTAATTAGAATGCCCTTCTTTCTTATGTGCTAGACAAACTCTGCTTAGCTTCCACTCATCTCCTCCCTCCCTCTCAAAGATGCATTACACATCTACACATCCTACCTACCTTCTTTGTAGTCTATTATCTTACTATTTGCAATTATCTGCTTAAAGATCTTATCCACTGGCGTATGAGTAACCTCATCAGGGCAGGGCCCATATCATAGAACTATCCATACAATAGAGACTCATCAAACAAAAATGTTTAATTAAAGAATAATAAAAACAGGCTACACCAATGAGTATATGAAAGGAGCTCAACATCATCAATCATTAGGGAAATGCAAATCAAAACTACAAGGAGATACCACTTTATACTCATTAGGATGGCTCAAATCAAAAATAAAAGGAAAATAACAAGAGTAAAGAATGTAAAGATATTGGAACTCTCATACATTCCTGCTGGGTATTGTAGAATGGGCAGCCATAGTAGAGAACATTATGGCAGTTCCTCAGAAAACTAAACACAGAATTACTATAACCCAGCAATTCCGCTCCTGGGTGTATATGCAAGATAAATGAAAACATATACCCAAACAAAAACTCACACACAAATGTTCATAACAGCATTATTCATTAACAGCCAAAAGGTGGAAAAAAACCCAACTGTCCATCAACTTATGAATGGATAACAAAATGTGGTATACCCATACAACAGAGTATTATTCAACCATAAAAAGAAATGATGTACTGACTCATGTTACAACATGGATGAATCTTAAAAATATTATGGAAAGTAAAAGAAGCCAGACACAAAGGCCATTTATTGATTTCATTTATATGAAATGTTCAGAATGGGTAAATCCATAGAGACAAAAAGTAGTTTAGTTGTTACCAAGAGCAGGGGGAAAAGGGCAATAAAGAGTGACTGCTCAATGGGTAACACGGATTTATTTTCTTTTTGGGTGATAAAAACGTTCCGGAATTAAGTAGTAGTGATGGTTACAGAACTTTAGGAATATACCAAAAAACACTCACTTGCACACACTTTAAAATGGTTAAAATGGTAAAATTCACATTGAATGAAATATACCTCAATAAAAAATTAGGTTACCACTTGTGGAATGTCTACTACATGTCAGATACCTCTATAAAGATCTTCATATAAATTATACCTCACAACAACCTTGCAAGTAGGTATTATAAGCCACATTTTTTTTTCCAAAAAAGAAGAAATGAGGCTCAAAGAAACAAAACTCTCCTCCTAAAGTCACCCAGCTGGGAAGGTGCAGAGCCAAGATGTGCTATAGATCTATGTGCCTCCTAAGCCTATGCTTTAAACACATTCCTGGAACATGGTAGAGCCAGAATAAATACTGAATGAATGAGTGAATGACAGCTACAGTTGAGGACATCTAAATTCCCCAGCCTAAGCTCAAAGCAGAAGACCACTTGACTCCCACTTTCTTGCCAGACCACGTCCTCTATCCTCAGTAAGTCTCCAGAAAGCAGCAACCATCACCAGGCACAACAGAAACAAGTTGTGGCCAACCCTCAGGGCTTGAATGGGTTCTTTGAAAAGGTGGCTGAATAGTCCAGGAAGCTCTGAGGTGTCAGGAATGAGTTCAGGAAAGGGACAGAAGCAGATAGCACCTTGATTCACATGCCTCTTGACCTGGATCCTGGCTGCCTCCATGCTTGGCCAGGGGGATTTCGAGGCTCCTCTGAGAGTTAACCACCTCCTGGCTCCATCCTAATACTTACCAGTCTCTTCCTGGACCCATGTTCCCAGAGTGAGGGTCGGGAAGTCCCAAGTCCTCTGCTCATTCTTTTCTGCAGGCAGTGAACATTTACTGTTCCTGTTTTGATTTCAGCACTATGCTAAGTAGTCCTTGTGTTTTTGGTCCTTACAACCCAGTATATGATAAGAACCCAACCAAAATGCAAGGTGTGACTTCGTGAGAGACACTGGCTTATATAGTGCAAATATCTGCTCTCTATGCCATCCTAACCCTAATCCTGAGTTGAAGGTATAGATACCTCACATCCATAGAAGATTACTGAACATTCAGTGTCATCATAACAAATGGAAGAAATGGTTGGGAGAGGGTGGCCCAGTATCTAGCAAAAACAGTGCAGTCTTTTGAATCAGGTGGTCCTAATTTGGAATTCTGGCTTTGCTACATACTAACTGTGGCAGCTTGGGGTAAGCTAGTTAACCTGTCTGAGACTCAGTTTCATTACCAGTGAAGTGGGGATAATAAACTCTTTTCCAAAGAGATAGTGCATGTAAAAGCACCAAGCACAGTGCCTTTCTTGTCATAGATGTTCAATAAATAGCAGCTGTTAGGCTACCCTTGTGTATTACCTGTTTGCCTTTTGTCCCAAGGCAAAGAGAACCACTGCAGGTATCTGACACAGACTGAGACATGATGAAAGAGATGTTTTAGGAAGATTAATGTGACAGTGGCAAGCAAGACGGATAAGACGTGAGGAGGAGACAGAACACAGGGTGACAAGAAGCTGTAACTCTTGACTGGTCACATGAATGAAGGTGAATGGTGGTGTGGATCATGTAAGACAGTAAATACTTTATGTGGCATTTTAATGTGACTTTGGGATATGCTTCTGGCTTTGAATTCCAAGAAACCACAGAAGAAACTAGGAAGGATGAAAAAGCTCTTTACTCAGCCGGTCTGTGCAACTACTCTAACCTTGAGGCCAAATAATCAGTTTTAGTGTAAACAAAAATAAATGTGCAGCCTCTGAAGATAAAATCACCAATCTTCACTTCTGGACTCTTTTATGTCCAGGGCAAGGGAAACCACCAAAGATTTGGGCATTATCCTTTTCCTCCTCCTTTCTAGCTACTACAATGTCAGCTAATTACATTCATCCATTCAACAAATACTGAGTGAGCACCTACTATGTGCCAGGCTCTGGGCAACATTCCTTACAAACTCACTATATTTAATCCCTACAATAATGCTACTGAAGCAGAAACTGAGGCTCAAAGAAGTGAAGTGGCTTTCATAAAGACATAAATAGCAGAGCCAACATTTCAAATCAAGTCTGTTTAATACAGGCCCTGTTCCTATCACCTAATTATCCTACAGCAACAAGAGAAAAATAAGGAAGTTGCTGTAACTTCCTCAAATGAACTAAAAGGCACATGTAACATGAGTATGTCAATATAACTTCCTAAAGTGCCTGCCTTTCTCCCAAGATCTTGCCTACACCCTAAGAGAATACTGTGATGAATTCCCAAGTTGAAGTAAACACTATATAAATATGACCTGTTGCCAAACTCCTGAACTACAAGGCTTATGGAAGCCACAAAGCTCTAAATAATGCCCAAATAGGGTCTCTACTCAAAGCCACAAAGAGCTTTCTTGTAAAAAAAATGGTAAAAACTGCTATTCAAAAATATAGAAGAACTTGGTGTTATTAATCTGAGGAGGATAAACATTCCATTAAACTTACTACTGGGGAAAAAAGGAAGCATGCTGGTAATAGGCAAATGGTGTTTTAGAAAAAACAAGCAGGTGACAGGAAACCCAATGCAAGTCTGTATTCAAAAGTGAATTTACCCATGAAGAATTTACAGTATTATTAAAATGGGAGAAATTTTGTCTTAACTTCCATTTGACATATAATCAGGCTGGGCAATTAAAATAATCCAATGTCAGAGAGCCTAATTTGGTATGAGTTTGTTAGCCAGGATGAAATTCTGAAAGGCTACACATAAAATGCTTTGTAAAGGTCTTATAAATATCTATATATAAGTTTAAAGTTTTTCATCTATACAAAAATCCTGTGCAGTTTTATGTTTGCATTAAAAACAGATATGCCACAGAAAATACAAACACAGTGCATTCTCTGGCCGATGGTGTTTGTTTTTATAAAATCCAAGGCAGACAAAATTCTCAAGTTTCAAGGATTGTACCCAGCCAAGACTACAAAAAAAAGAGTGCCCTGCTGTGGTGTTGCAGAAAGACATCAGGAGACACCAAATCGAGGCCTGCCTCTCTCATTAACTTGTTTGGTGATTAGTCCTCTCTTGATTTTCTTTTCTGTAAAACATGAAGACTACAGTAGAAAACCTTAACAGATCCATCCAGCTATGTGACCGCTGGCCAGTCACAGGGACTTCCAGGTCTCTTTCTCAGCTGTGTAATGTAGGGTAACAGTAGATGAGCTAGAAGATTCTTCCACGTGGGCATGTTTGAAGAAATGCCCTACTGAGGCCATCCACATAGGGAGAGAAGGAATTGCTAGCCAGGTTTCAGTAGGTCTCCTTGTTCTCACTCCCACCACCTCTCTGGCCTTGGTACAGGACTGGGGCACAGAAAAAACTGGGAAGTTCATTCTATGGAGCCATTTGTCTAGCTGCCTCCATGTGCCTCACCAGGGCTGCTGCCAACACAATAAATGCCCCCAGGATAGGGTCGCAGAGGAACAAACAGGGAGGGAAATATTAATAGTAAGCCTTTCATGCTTAGGTCAAGTCCCAGGAGGATTTAAAACACACACACACACACACACACACACACACACACACACACACACAAGTTAAATTTTAAACTTGTATGCTCCTTCCAAGTGCTCGTTCCTCTAAGTCATTCCTTTCCACAGTGGGCAGTACCCACAACTAAGCAAGTCACTGTTCTTCTCTCAGCACCTATTAGTCCACTGTAGTTCCTAACAGTTATCTATATTTAATGAGAACCTACTATATGCCAGATATTTTTCCATATTATCCTGCTAAATAACACAGTGGGCAATTACTATCTCCATGCTATAGATGAGCACCTGGAACTCAGAGATGTGAAGTAATCTCCCCAAAGCCACACAGCTTCTAAGTAGCACAGTCACAATTTTAACCCAGACTATGTAACTTCAAAGCCTGTCCTCTTTCAGCTCTCTAAAATTTCCTCTTCAGTAGTTAAGGAAATGATCTAGAAGTCATCTAACCAAACTCTCCCATAGTGCAGGGTTCCATCCTAAAATACCCCTGACCTGCTTGCCACCTTTAGTGACAGGGAGCTCAGCACCATGCTAGAAGCCCTTTCCATTATTTGTCTGCTCTCTCTGCTGTTATATTGCTCCCACCAATGCCTGTGAATTCCATTCTCTGACCCCAACTCTGCTTTCAAGAGCAAGGCTGATCCTTCCTCTGTGGTGCAAAACTGAGAAAATGAAAATTACCAAAATATCATCCCATTCAAATCTTTTCTTTTCCTGCTTATGTATTTAGCTGTCCTATCCTATGTCTGACCAATGAGTGAAAAGGAAAAGGTAGCTGCTATATAGTTAAAAGAAACCCAAACAAGCCTAGTTCTAGGATCCAAAGACCTCTCTTCTCATTTGGTTTCCAGGACACCTATCTCTGCTGGTTATCCCCTGATTCTAAGTCCATCTGTTAGACTAGGAAGGCTGTTTCTCCCCAGTCACTTTTTTTTCAGGCTCTTCTTTAACTGTGCCTTTAAAAGCCGATGTTCTGCCCTTGCACGCTTCTCTCACTCTGCACTCTCTCCCACTGTAACTTCAAACCTTCCTTAGTTCATGACTTCCAGATTGAGATCTTTGACTTGGAATGCTCTTCTGAACCTCAGACCACATGCCTACTTGCTCTCCTGACATATCCACCCAGATGTTCCATGGGCCCTTAAGATTCGACAGGTCTCAAGCTACTCATCATTTTCCCTTTCAACCAGCTACACTTCCAGGGTTCTCCTCGAGACAGGGAGGCCCAGATCACCACATCATCATCATACACATTATTACAACCAGTCAGTTACTAAGTCCCATGAATTAGTCCCTCCTTCCTTAAAATATCTCAGGTCCACCATGACCACCACCACCTTAGTTTAGGTCTCAGAATTTTGGACTGAACTGACTCATATTTATCCACAAGTCCAGTCCATGTGGGAAGACTTAGCCCACTGCCTGGCACCTACAGTGTTCACTAAACAACTGTTTGAATGGCTCTCTTTTCTTGGGTAAAACAAAAATCTCTATCTCACAAGGATGTAGAATATGTGCACTGAACCTGGAACCAGGTGAGTATTTATAACATATTTGGTAGGGAAACACAGTGCTTATTCCTCTTCCTGCATTTCCCTGGAGTATAAGACTGACCACCTAGTATAACTCAATACTTGTGGAACTTAAATCAACCAGAGAAAATGTCTCCAGATTACGAATGTTCTTCTGGTAGAAAGAGTACACACAACTTCTGTCCCTAAGGAGCTTATAAGACAAAGCAGGTAGGCACACTAGAAAGAGAATTGGTCTTGGTGTCAAAGACCCCAATCTGAATTCTGCTTTCTGGATGTGCTTTTAAAAATAAAAACTGGTGTGCTCTTGAACAGCAAAACACCACATAAAAAGCAACTTGCCTGGGACAATTTTTTATTTCTGCTTATGAACCAGAACTCTGAAGCACTCTGTAGCACATACTATTTAGCTGTAAAAATTGGTGGTTGTTGAACATGAGAAATCACATTAGACTGAACCCTCAATGGTTAACATCCCAGTAGAATCCGCAACAGATGACAGCAGGCAATTTCCAATCTTTGCTCCAATGTATATCAGCAAAACATGTCAAAACCTAAATTAAAAGTTTTCACTCACTTTTTTCAAGAAAATAAATCCTTTTGTTGGCAGTTTCCCACTGATGACACGCAACAATCTTTGCATATGAAATCGGCTAGTCCTCTGCTTCACTGCTAACTTTGTAGAAGTTCCAAAGCATTTCTGGAGCAAATGATCTATTTGGACTAACAATGCCAAGCTGGGACCTGAGCCCTGAATGAGCTAAAATTACCAAAGCAATAAGAACATGGCTTTGGAAGCTATTTCCCCCAAGTGTGGGGTTTCTTCTAGCTAGTTGAGGGAGTGATAAAGAATGTTGACTTCTTCCAGATGAACAAAGTTGAATGAAAACTTAAAATCCTACGGCAGGTTTCTGTTCTGAAAAACAAGCTGCTGCTGCAGAGGTTCCTATCTCCCCTATTTCCCTCTCCTCAAGCACAAAAATGCACCTGTCTTCCCAAAGTTGATGAGTTCAACATGGGCACACCAGTGCAGACTATATGCTGGGCACTGAGGATGCAGGCACAAGGAAGCCAGGCCCCTGTCCTAGAGGAGTTCCCTGTCAGGCAGGAAGAGAGGCACATTCATGACTAATAAAAACAAGACATAAAATGCTACAATCCATAAGCAAGGCAAAACCAAAGTGAAAAGAGAGTTCTGAGGAGGGAGAGAGTCTCTCTTGGGCGCAGAGGGAGGAATAGGGACTACCACTGAAGCAAGGTCTCCAAATGTACTTTGTCCACTCCTTTATCACAGGTGGAGGGGGGCTGGACCACAAACTTCTGTCACATGTCTACCTTCCCCACCTGTAGGTGAGCTCCTTGCAGGCAGAGGCCCCATATCAGACAATGATTAATCCACCTTGGCTGGCTCAAAGGAGTGCGAGAGAGTGTGTTCACAGAAGAGTAAAAAATACCATAGGTCTCAGGGAAAGGGGAAGAGAGAGTGAGGCTGGAGAAGTAAGGTGGGGCTGGGATAGAGCTGGTCTAAGGAGGGCTATGAATGCCAGGCTAAGAAACTAAAACTTTTTTCAGTAGGCAATAGGGAGCTACAGAAGGTTCTAATGAGAGCAGTCAACTAAGACTGTGTTTTAGAAGATTATTCTAAAAGCAATTGGGAAAATAGATCAGAGACATGGTAATCAATTAGAAGACTGCTTCAATAGTTTAGATAAGAGCTGATGCTGACCTGAATGCAGGCAGTGATGGTGGAGCTGGAAAAGAAAAACTTAAAAGATAAACTGCAAAGCCCACCTTGAATTGGTCCATTCTCTGTGTTTCCCCAGTGCCTGGCTTCTACCTTTATTTAGCACTTACTTTGAGGCCCCCAAATTACACACTCCCTGAGGATGATACCCATTTCTTTTCCATCACTCCCTCCCCCACAGAAATCCTACATAGCAGGACATGAAAAGTCAACGCCTGCCACCCCTGGGTCGTGCTGTCATTTCAATCACAGTACCTGAGATGCATAGGTGCACTGGTATATTCACTTAATACAGCACTGGGCCTGGCATACAGAAAGCAGTAAGGAGACATCTGAAACAAAAAAATTCAGCACACTCAAACAACAGTAACAGAGCACAGGTGCCTAGATAGAACAACTTAAAATTTTAGGGCTCTAGGCACAGAGAAACCAGTTTGAGCCTCCTAAAAAAAAAATAAAATTCAACACTATGAGCCCCAGTAGCAGGCTGGATTGCAGTTAGATGATGGTGAGCTCTCCAAATGAGTAGTTCTCACTTTCACAACCTGCTTGGCAAATAAATGAGAGTAAAGAGAGAACAGAGGTCAAAGGTGAGTCAAACTTTGAGTTATGTGGACCCTCCAAGAGGGACAGCCTTAGTGAAGATTTATTCAAGCAAATGCCAACTGAAGAGATAGGCGGGTGGGGGACAGCTGTGTGTGCTCTGTAAGAGGGAGGATGGTAATGGAGAAAGAGCAGAATGGGCTTGAAAACTCAGAAACTAAAATTATACTCTGGCTTGAAAACTTGCCTTGAGCTGTAAGCTTCATGGACAGTTTTTCCATTTCCTTTCACTCCTTCCAAATCATGCTGTGTAGCTGATGGGAACATCGGCTACTTTACAAAGGAGACTGCCAAGTGGGGGCCTGGCACTGGAAGACCTGTGTTCCAATTCCAGCCTTGCCATTTATTAGCTGTGTGGCTGTAGGCAAGTCTCTGAGCTTCGGTGTCCTCATCTATGAAATGGAAATACTAACCACAGCAATACCTACCAAAATGTCACTTAGAGGACTAACAGAGATAATGTGTAGGCATATAGCAAGACTATCAGGAAAGAAGGAGTTTTGTTTTTCCTTGAACTGGGATTGTAATTTGATAAGTAGTGGTATAAACCACCTACTATGGGCAGTAAAATGTAAAGTCCCACAGCAGTCGGCTTTGACATTTCCTGAGTATAAAAAGAAGTATACTTCAAGACAGCTCTGGGCTGGCTTGGGCCAACACTCAGTATAGCAACATACTTCTCACCAAAAGCCAGAAAGCTGTGCTGAAACTACCTTGGAAACCATTCTATTTGTGTCAGAGAGATTAATTAATCAATTAATAGCTAATCCACAAACATAAAGCCACCTCTGCTTCCCACTTGAGGGGATTCCTCCTCACACCTGGTGCCATAGCACAGTGGTATTTACATATAGGAGATGCCAGATGAGCTCTCTGAAGTCACTGTAAGCAATTCTCAGAGCCACCAAGTTTAAGTCAGGAAGGGGTTTGAAGATACATAGGAGTTATTCCAGGGTAATGAATTCCCGAACTCACCCTGGCCCTTCGATCAGGTCTCTATGCAGGGCAGTGGGTACCCAGGAGATCAAAATTCAAAATGTGGTTTGGCCAACTTCAAGTTGTTGTCTTTTTTTCCCCTTTCTCCTCCCAAGAAAAAAACTGAAGAGAGGTAAGGGGAAGTGTTTTTCAACTAATTCAAACTGGCACACTTCTTTGAACCTACTCTGCCAGTTTCCAAATGATGCTTGGGTTTTTTAAATAACCATACAGATTTATCAACATTCTAACTTGGAGGATGAACAGTCTACAGGTTCAAAATTCATGGTTCTCAAACCAACAGCTACATGTATCTTGCTTCTGAGGACTTGTGTCGATTTCAAAATCAGAGCTGGTGGGAGCTGCCATCTGCCTAAGTGGCCTCTCTGCAGTGCCTGAAGAGTCAAGCACAGTGTATATGTATGTTTGCTGAATGAATGAGTAGATGAATGAAACAATCTCCAAGAGAGGAAAACAGCCATTACACACTAAGAAACTTATCACTGACTCTCTTTAACACATCACTTCTACTCTCCTAGGACCCTTCCAGATCTAGGAGTACAATACAATCGTCAAGAAGCATGCATGCATTTTCTTCTAGCAAAAGGGAAGCTAAGGTTACAACCTAGTTATAACTTCCTCAAGCCTATCGTCTTGGGAAATAAATTCCTAATCCTTTCCCTCAGGTAATTAAAGGCAAGTAAGCAAACAAAATAAAACCTAATCAGCTATGAATGGTTCCCTTTTCTAAAATCTGCTTCCCCTCCCTCAGTTTCTTTGGCCCTAGGTGTCTGGCAGTGGGTGGGCCTACACTTCGGTGTGCCAGGGCTTATCAGGGAGGTGGTATGGATAGAGCCTGTCAAAAAGGGTCCAAGTGCTGCTGGTCAGTTTCCAGTTCTTCCACTCTTCAACTTCTGCAAACCGATTTTTCAGAGGCAACATGAGTTGTGAGACTGAGCTAACTTGCCATGAGACCCTGGGCAAGTCTCTATGGGTTGAGAGAATGTTGGGTTCATCTTTTAGGCTAAATGTGAGGAAGCAAAGGAACTTGAAAAAAATAGAGAAGGTCTCAAAATTACAAAACATCTTCATTCAGTCACTAACCCTTCGTGTTCTTTCTGGTAGAAGGCAGGAACACTATTTGCCCACTTTAAGGTTCATTCTCCTTACCAGCAGGAGCTAAAAAGGCTGCTCCCCAAAACGGAGATGATACTTCCCCCTTCCTTGCTTGTCTAGACTCAAACTTTCTGGAACTAGCTGGGAAAGAGGGCCAGCTGTCTTCTCTTTACAAAGGAAAAGGTGTCTCAGCATGGCAGGAAGAACTGGAGCATAGGAGGATAAAGGGCTGGTTTCTTTCCCTATCACCAACTGAACCTCAGTACCCTCATCTACGAAATGGAGATGAGACTAGCTGCCTTAGCCCATCTCTCAGGGCCCTGGCAGGGCAGGGATGAGAGGTCCAGTGTTATTCTGACCCAGAAACTCTCTCCTGGCCCTCAACTCTCTCATTCAGGGAGCCTTCTGGGAGATTCAGAAAGGGGTGTGGAGGCTGAGGGATGCCTTAGGGCCTCTACCTCCTTACCTCTGCCACCTGGCCAGGGAGGGGCAGGAGAGTGTGGTGTGGAGCCCAGTGCACTGAGGTTCATGGCCTCCTCATCCTGTCCAATGTTGGCCCGGATGGGACAAGGATGTCATAGCTTCCCTCTGTGAGGAGGGACTCCCACCTAGAAGATCTGACAATATCCTTCTTGCTCCTCACTCCAAGGAGGTACCAACAGCCTTTAAAGGGAGAGAGACAGACAGCTTGAGAAACTTAATTCTTGACAGAAAAGAACAGAGGGAAGGAACTGGGAGAGAGGTAAAGAGAAGGTGAGAGAGAAATGACGGTACAAACAGGTAGGGAGAAAAATGGAAAGTGAAGGAACGAAGAAAACACAAAGAATCAGAAAGAGGAGGACAGACACAGATGAAGAGATGAAGACGGACTGACAGCGCGGGAGCTTCGGGGAAGCGGGGAAGACAAAGGGGACCATCCGGTCTTTTTAACTGGCCTGGCCTCTTAGAGACACCCCGTTCCCAAATGAAATGCCCAGAGGACGGGAGAAGGAGGCAGGAAGGAGCAAGCAGTGGCTCCCCCCGGTCCCCTCCGCCCGGGCCCCCGGCCCCTCCCGGGGTCCCAGCCCCCGCCCGGGTCCCACCGTCCCTCCCCGCCCGCTTGCTCACCTGCCAGCGCCAGGATCTGGGCCTTGTGGAGCAACAGCGCGCCCCAGTCGCGGGGGGCGCGCGGGGGGCTCTCGGGCCCGGCGCCCAATTCCTCCGGGCCCCGGTACACGGCGTACACCTTCTGGTTGTCAAAATCCAGCCGCGAGCGGGGGCTGAAGTCGCGCACGCACGACACGGGCAGCGCGTAGCAGACGTTGTCCTCCAGGAACCGCACAAAGGCGTACATGGTGGGCGCCGGGGGCGGGCCCCGGTCGGGCAGCTCAGCCCGCGGGGCGGGCGCGGAGGTGGGGATCCGGCGGGGGGCGCGAGTCTCGCTACGGTGCTGGGGGGGGCGGGGGCGGCTCCCCAGGACCCAGGCTCCCCCCACTGTTATTGTTCCTGAAAGCACCGTTCTGCCAATCGGCTGCTTTCGCCTGGGCGCGGAAAAGGGAGGGAGGGGGGGAAAGGGGGACGAGGGGCGGATGAGGGGGGTTTGGAAGCGCACTGCCACTTGCAAAGTCAGACCCGAGCAATCACAGCCGGAGCGCGATTCGAATGGGGAGGGAAAAGGGTTCAGAGATTCAGTTGCAATAAAAATAATAACAAGAGCATTGCAGGAAAAAAATGCATTGATTAAAAGGTGCGCTGCGTGCAGGATTATATTGCTTCAACAATCGCGCTGCCAAATTGCATTGCAACAAAACTGCATTGCCAAGTAGAGAAGTGTATGAGTGAGTGAATGCGGGATAGGGGTGGGGGCAATCTTGATTGAATCTCAAAGTGTAAACTTGGAAGCCAGCAGAAGTTTGGAGTGTTTTAAATGTAGCCACCCTACCCGCGCCCCCAGCCCCGCACCCTCCCCGCGCCTTTCCCAGCCCTTAGTTTGGCCCCGCCTTTTCTTTGCTTTCTTTCTTTTTGTTTGTTTGTTTGTTTGTTTTGTTCTGCAAAACTGCCAGCTCCCTCTGTGGAAAGGGTCAGTCAGACAGAAAATTTCCCCTAGAGCTGCCAAACCAGTTCTGACCAGAACTGGGGCTTATCTGAGATTTCCAGTTGTGCCAGCTGGCTGGGGAGGTGGAAGGTTTGTCAAGGGCTGCTCTCATCTGAGGGAGCAGTGGCGCCCCTCTCCTCTATAGTCTTTCTCCATTGAGATACCCTCTCCACAGCACGCCCACCACTGAGCAGGGACAACTTGGAATCGCGGAGGGAGTTGAGGAGCGCTCTGGGTAACACAGGCCCAAGGCTAGGGATTTCTGGAGCACTTTGAAGAGTACAGGAATAGTACTCCATGGAATAGCGGTCTTTGCTCTGTCTCTTGCCAAAGAGAGCCTGGAGGGGCTTGGGTCCCCTCCAAGACAAGCCGTGAGGACCAGCCAAAGGGGGCTGATTGGGCTCTGTACTCATAGGAACCCTATCCCACATCAGAGGAGGTCAGTACCTTCACAGGGATGCCTCGTATCAAATATGGCTAGTTATATTTCTGTTGCCTAGCCAGACCTGGCACTTGACAGGGAGTTAATGAATTTTGGGTAAAGAAGAATAAATAAAAACCCACATCCATCCATCCATCCATCCATCCATCCATCCATCCATCCATCCAACCATCCATCCATCTGTTCATTCATTCCTTTATTCAAGCAACCAATATTCACTGAGTTTACACCACCTGCCAGATTCTGGGCCAGGTGCTGGTGATAGAAATGAAAAGATAAACACCTGGATTCTTGGGCCTTGCAAAGTCAGTGTACCAGAACTTGAATCTCAGTTTTGGGTTCCTGTGCCAAAATTAGGTAACTGTATGAATAACATACCTTTCCCATCCTCACAACCTTTACAATCTAGTCTAGGAGTATTAAAGAAGTATAAGCAAGTAATGACAGTATAATGAGAAAAGTATTGTCATAGAGGAATGCTTAATGGAGGTGTTGGACTCAATTAAATGTTATATTTTTAAAAATTCATCTTAATAAACTTTAGCTGTAAGAAAAAAACAGAATAAGTGCACCAAAATGTTAATAGTGATTTTTTTAGCTTCTTAGTAGTGGTAGATGATTTTGTTTTTCCTTGTATTCATTGTGTGTGTGTGTGTGTATGTAACTATTTTCCACAATGTTTTATTACTTTATCATCAGAAAACATCAAACATTATAAAATCAAAGCACTGTGCTCATATTTCACATCAGCTGCACTGACAATGAGGCAGATATTTATTTCACTGTGAAATAGACAGTGCGTTATATAAGTGAATCCCATCAACATATAGCTCTCATATCCAAATGTGTAGGTCAGTACAAATTTTTTTAAACCAACCCACTGGTTATGTGGTACAGCCAAAAATGACCACCACTTGTCCTGATGCAGCTGTTGGTCTTATCTTGCCCCACAAGCTTGTGGAAAAAAAAGGAGCCACTCTGAGTTGTTCCAGCACATTTACTGTCATGATTATGATTTCTTTGGACTGATCCTCAGTGAGTTTTTATTTTAAGAATACATTCCTATGGTGGTCAAGGGGAAGTAATGTGCAGCAAGACTTCTGATAATTCACAAGATGGATCATGCAGAGTTGGCCGTATTTAACAAAAGTCCTTGAAGCTCCGGACTATGTTCCCAAAATGATTTCAAGTAGCCAATGGCCAACCTCCTCTCTGCATCTAAATGGGGGTGACCACAAAACATTACCAATCTCATCTCTTACTACCTTCCCAGACACAGTACACTCCAGACACCTAAACTATTTGACATTTCCAAAGATAGCATGTTTTAGCAGGTCCCAAGCTTTTGTGCTTTTTCTGCCTTCATCCTGGGAAGTTCTTCCTTCCTCAACTTACCCTGAAAATCAGCTCAAATGTCATTGCCTTTGTGAAGCCTTTCCCAACCACCCACACTTTTCAAGGATAGCCTATCTCTTTCTACTACAATATTTTGTCCCAGCACTTTTTATCTTCCCTCACTAGAATAAGAGCTCTTTGAGGGGAGGCAAAGGCTGAGTAACTTTAGCATCCCAGGTACCTAGCACAGGGCTGGGGAGTAAATGTTTATAAAACAAATGTATTAAAGAAGGACATAAAGAGAGCATGAATAACAAACCTCTTGCACATTTTTTCTTGAAAGTCTGTTCCTCTCTTTTTTTTTTTTTTTTTTTTTTTCTTGAGACGGAGTTTCGCTCTTGTTGCCCAGGCTGGAGTGCAATGGCCTGGTCTCGGCTCACTGCCACTTCCACCTCCCAGGTTCAAGCGATTCTCCTGCCTCAGCCTCCCAAGTAGCTGGGATTACAGGTGCTCGCCACCACGCCTGGCTAATTTTTGTATTTTTAGTAGAGACGAGTTTTCACCATGTTGGTCAGGCTGGTCTCAAATTCCTGACCTCAGGCAATCCACCCTCCTCGGCCTCCCAATGTGCTGGGATTACAGATGTGAGCCACCGCGCCCGGCCTTTATTATTATTAATATTATTATTATTATTACACTTTAAGCTCTGGTATACATGTGCAAAACATGCAGGTTTGTTACATAGGTATACACATGCCATGATGGTTTGCTGCACTCATCAACTCATCAACTACATTAGGTATTTCTCCTAATGCTATCCCTCCCCTAGTCCCCCAGCCCCCCACCCCCCTACAGGCCCCGGTATGTGATGTTCCCCTCCCCGTATCTATGTGTTCTCATTGTTCACCTCCCACTTATGAGAGAGAATAGGACACAAACAAATGAAAAAACATTCCATGCTCATGGATAGGAAGAATCAATATTGTGAAAATGGTCATATTGCCCAAAGTAATTTATAGATTCAATGCTATCCCCATCAAGCTACCATTAACTTTCTTCACGGAATTAGAAAAAACTACTTTAAATTTCATATGGAACCAAAAAAGAGCCCATGTAGCCAACACAATCCTAAGCAAAAAGAACAAAACTGAGGCATCATGCTACCTGACTTCAAACCATACTAGAAGGCTACAGTAGCCAAAACAGCATAGTACTGGTACCAAAACAGGTATATAGACCAATGGAACAGAACAGAGGCCTCAGAAATAATGCCACACATCTACAACCATCTGATGTTTGACAAACCTGACAAAAACAAGCATTGGGGAAAGGATTCCCTGTTTAATAAATAGTGTTAGGAAAACTAGCTAGCCATATGCACAAAACTAAAACTGGACCCCCTCCTTACACCTTATACAAAAATTAACTCAAGATGGATTGAACACTTAAATGTAAGACCTAAAACCATAAAAACTCTAGAAGAAAACCTAGGTAATACCATTCAGGACATAGGCATGGGCAAAGACTTCATGACTAAAACACTAAAAGCAATGGCGACAAAAGCCAAAATTGACAAATGGGATCTAATTAAACTAAAGAGCTTCTGCATAGTCTGTTCCCCTTTTTAAGGGTTGATGCTGAATCCCAACTCTGCCTTTCCCATTCCCAGTGATCGAAGGGCAGAAGAACATTGATTCTACCACTTGTAAGACAGACACATTCATTAACATATTAAATATCACTGCACCCTGGGGTTCAAATTCCCTACCCATGTCACTGTAAATCATTCCTATAAGGAGGCAGTTCCATTTTCCGATAACCCAGAAAGAGGAAAAGAACAGACGATGGACCCGGATGCTGACAGAGTAAACACAGATCAAAACACATGTTTCATAGATCCACAGAATCGATTCTGGAGTAGTCATGACTGGCACGGGATGCTTAAAGAGATACCCTTGGACGGCACCAGAAAGACGTCAGTTCCTGCTTCCTGTGTGACTCACACATTCAGTCTATGGATACAGCTTAATGGAAAACCTACTATGTGCCATAGGGCGCCTCTTCCACCCTACTGAAAACTGAGCAACAGTACTTTGACCTGGAGACCATAGCCCTGGGCTTTACACATACCAGATACTCAAGATATTGATGATTCATTGACTGGTGAGCAAAGATAGTTTAAATACAGATTTCAGACTTAAAGAGGCAACTGCAAACTTCAAGTTTAACCAAATCATTGTTGAATCCCCTCTTCAATATTTCTGCCAAATGGGCATCTAGAACACCTTTTATACAGTTCTAATGCCAGGAAGCTTACTAGCTCCCCTTAACTTTTATACATTACCAAGTGTTAGAAAGGTCTTTTTTACTTGCACTGAGGTAGAATCTTTAACCTTATAGCAGCCATACTAGGTTCACCAAGACTCTCACGCCTGCCCTTCAGACATGGTGAAACTTGGAATCCTGTCTCCCAGCTCTTTGTCTTCTGCCCAAACATCTTCATTTCCTTCACCTGTCTCTCCTCATATGACCTGGTTTCAGTGATGATAATTGTAATACCTATTTTTTCTCTAAAGCTTATAAATCATGCATGCCAGGCGCTGTGTATACATGATCTCAATTACTTCACACCAAATTCTTCAGGTGGGTGTTATTAAACACATGATAGAGTTGAGAACATGGAGAACTATGGCAAAGCAGTTTGGCTCTGGGGAGCCCTGGAAGGCTTGTGGTTATATTTCAATTTTAGACAGTTTGCTCTAGAAACATTGTGGGGAAGGATTGGAGGGGACGCAAGTCTGGGGAGACAGAGGCCTGCGAAGACGCTGACTGTCCTGTCTCACCCCTCCCCCGACTCTCTTTTTCTGTGGGCCAAATGTGCTTTGCCTTTCATCCAAGTCATTTTAATGGAGCAGAAAATGTACACATCTGGGGCAGCTTTGCAACTGCATCTCCACTCCACTCTCCTGTTGAGTTTTGCAGAGCCTTGGGTTAATGTCAGGCTCCTTTGGTTTAGCCAGCTGAAGCATGTTCAGTGGCAGCAGTGGGACTTATGTTTCATATTACTACATGGAATTCTCAATGTAGTTTGCAAAACTATTTTTAAGGAGACCTGGGTTTTGTAAATTTTTAAAGCAATTGGAGCGTGCCTTTTCAACCTCTCTGCTAATGATTGACCACATTTTTTCATGATTTTGCCTTTTTTCCCTGTGATGTTTGATTAGACTTTTCAAGTCTCTGCTTTTTACATTTTTGAAAGACTTTTTAAATAGTAGTTTTAGGTTCATAGTAAAATTAAGAGGCAAGTACAGAAATTGCCTTCATACCTCCTATCACCCACACAGGTATAGCCTCCTTAATACCAACATCCCCCACCAGAGTGGTATATCTGTTGCAACTGATGAACCTACATTGACACATCATCATCACCCAAAGTCCACAGTTTACATTTGAGTTCACTCTTGGTGTACGTTCTATGACTTTGGACAAAAATATAATGGCATGTATCCACCATTATGGTATCATACAGACTAACTTCACTGTCTTAAAAATCCTCTGTGTTCCACCTATTTAGCCCACCTCAGCAGCCCCAACCCTTGCAACCACTGATCTTTTTACTGTCTCCATAGTTTTGCCTTTTCCAGAATGTCATATAGTTGGAATCATACACTATGTAGCCTTCTCAGATTGGCTTCTTTTACTTAATAATATGCATTTAAGATTTTTCCATGTTGTCTTATGGCCTTTTACATTTTTTAAATTTTCCTATTTTGCCCAGAAAAGTAATTTGCTGTGCTGCAAGCTGAGGGCCACTGTCTTCTCAGGTTGATTCAAGGAAGGAACGTTGATACATGGCCAGGAGGATCTGGAGCTACTGGGAGGCCTGTAGTGGGCATTATCCTGAGCTGTGTAGTCACACCATAAAGCAGGGGCATCAACCCAACTCATTCATATGCACTCCTGCTCATGAAGTCTGATTGAGTCTGCTTGTGGGATTTTGGGCAGGGGAAGAGAATAGCAATGCAGAGGGGGAAGGAAGCAAAGAGAGGAGCTGCATGTTGGGTACAGGCTTAAAGGCCAATGAACATCACCTGGATAAGTTATCCAGGTGAGACTTAGAGGGAATGTAAACTTGTCATGTAGATGACAGATTGGAGGGCCAAAGAAATGTGGGCTTAGGAATCAAACCAGTGGTTAAAACCTGACTTTGTTACATCTTTGCTGTAACTTTAGGCAAGACAATTCACCTCCATGAGCCTCAGCTTTCTCACCTGTGAAGGTGTTGTGAGACGTGGGCCAGGAATTTTCCACCCTTTCTGTGTATAAGGATCACCTTGGGAATTAAAAAATATTCCATCCCCAGGTCCTATCCCCTGAGACCCTGATTCAATTGGTTTGGGATGGGGCCTAGGCATTGATTTTTTTTGTTGTTTTTTAATTCCCAGAGTCTTCTAACATGAGACGAAGTTGAGCACCTCTGAGTTAGAAGATCTTAAGGTAACATGCCAAGCACACAGGAAATTCTCAACAAGTCATAAATATTATTATTTTCAGGAAAAATATATAGGGATCCTAAATGTCTATCTAACCTTGGGGAAGTCACTTAGCATCTCTGAGTTATGATTTCTTCATCTGAAAAATGACATGCCAATGTAAAAAGAAAACAGTATATTTAGTCTTAGGCTCTGGGTCCAAATCCTGGTCTGATAAGTAACGTCTATTCTTATGGTGTGGCCTTGGGTATGTTTCTTAATCTCTTCAAGCATCATTTTCTTCATAAGAATATTAATTCAACTTCACAGAGATGTTCTGAGGATTAAATGAGATAATCTATGTAAAATGCTTGGCACAGTGCCTGACACTGTGGTGAGTTCTCAGTAAATGATTGCTGCTGTTACTGTTAAAATAATTATTATAGTTATAATTATAAGAACACATATCCCCATTCTGACACAGAGTGGGGGTGTCCAATATATTTTTACTGAATCAAATTGAATATAACAGACTGAACAATGCTAATGATAATCCAACAAGCATCCTAGAATGATTCCCGCCAAATGCTGTCCCCTTCAATAAAACTCTGTGGTCATGGGTCACAGTCACTAAAGAAGCTCTCTAATTTCAAATGTTCAAGAGCCTCTGAGGCCACAGGGCTTGCCCAAACCTGCAGCAAATACTTCTGAAATACTGTGTTTGGGGCCATTCATTCTTTCAAACTGACTTTGTTGAGTATTTTTTTAAGAGAAGAAATAAAAACTTCTATGCATTATATAAAATGTAAAGTGTAGAAGCGTTTACAGCAATCTGAAGCCTTGTGGATGTGCACATTGGCTTGAAGTTCAGTTCAGGCAAACTGCAGTCAAATTCAACCATTCAGATCTCAGCTATCTTATGAGCTCATGTGGGTCACAAATGGAAATCATTGGTCAAACAAATGATCTGAATCCCAGCATTTTACTAGTAGTATAATATACTCTGCATAAGCAACAAAAAGTAAATAGATTCCCTGTGGTTAAAGATGAAAATAAATTTATTAATGTAAAAAATTGTCACAAAGAACCAACATTTGAATTCGTTTTGAAAAAGAAATGAAAAGATTGACCTACCTCGGAAAAATGCAACTCGCTTCTTGAAATTATGAATTTCAATTAGGGGCCAACTAGTTTGAGAAGTTGCCTCTGGTTTCCTTTATTAAATTAACTCATTCTGTAATTTTTCAGGTGAAATGTCACTTCCTCAGGAAAGTCCTCCCTGACTCACTCCTTCCATCCCCCTCCATAGACTAGCTCCAGTCCTTCTTACACACTTCCATGGCTTCTTATAGTTTTCTTCATGGAGTGTATCTTAGTATGTAATTATGTGTTTATTCTATTATGGTCTATCTCTGCCTATAGATCAAAGCTCCATTAGAGAAGTGACCATATCTGTTTTCTTCACTGTTGCATCCTTGTGCCTAACCTGGCACATGAGAAACCCTAAACAGACACTTGTTGAATGAGTGCATGTCTGAAAGGCAGACCCTAAAGAACCCCCCTACCCAGAGATGAGAGGCAACAGGTGTACGAAGGGCCATATTCTGTCCCTCTAAGTCTCATTTTCCTCTCTGTGTTTCTGTGCTTCCACCATGTCTGGCTCCTATCTGACTGGAACATCAATAAAAGCCTATTTCCCATTTTCCCTTAGCAACCACTGGATAGTTAACATTTTCAAAATGTTTTTCCAAATACGAGGAGAGAACAAAATGGAAATAAATAGAAAAATGATGTACACAGAAGAAAAATAGTCAAGTTGACAGTCACACATGGTGGTCATACACTAATCCTAATAATAACATAATAGTAGCAGGAACCTCATTGACACAGTCTCTGGGCCTTCCGGGAAACAAGATGGTGATTCTGCCTTATTCCACAAGGCTAGAGTTCTTTCTTATCCTGTTGTTGTTGGCTGGAAGTCACTGACTCTCTAACCCCCTACTTAGTTAAGGAGAACCCTGCCTCATTCTAGTCTTCTGATGATTCCAACATCATTTTTGAGACAATAGGGCAACCTTCCTTCAGAGACCACATTAGTTCTCTGGTTATCATCTCTGCTCATCCCAAGCACCTGGTGGTTCAAAATGCCTGCCCTTCACAAGTCCTCATAGGGCCAGAGTGTACCCCTAGACTTAAAAAAAAAAAAGACAACTCTAGGTTACCATTCTGAGTCAAAGGCATAAAGGAGAACATTCGTTCAGAAGGTTAAGTCATCTCAGAAGTATGCAGCAAACTGTGAACTCTGATTTTCTTAAGAATGTCTCTCAACCACACCAGAAAGTCAATACAAAATCAGAGGAGAGAAATGAAAACAGAACTAATGATTATTGATTTCCATGATAGGAACTGTACTAACTGCTTTACATATTTAGTTCTTTTAATCTTTTCAAAATATCCCATAAAGTCAGTATTATTAATATCTCCATTTTTCTGATGAGGAAACTAAGACTTAGAGAGATCATAGAACTTGTTTATAGTTACATGGAAAAGACTTCAACCTGGGTTTCTTTGATTCGAAACTTAGGTTGTGATGGCTGTTTTGATATAGGCCTTGCCTCAGAGTTTCCTGAAGCAACAAGGAGCTGAAATGACTATGGGATTTAATCCCTGTTCCCTTTTTCCTAGAGGCTGAATCCCTACCTAGAAACCTGAGAATTAGACCCTATGGGAAAGTCCAGTATCTACCATTCCAATCATTCATGTCTTAAGTAACTAATAATTTTGTAAACACTGAAGATTTGACTACATTATCTGTGGTTTCTTAAATCATGGCTTCCTTACACCAGAGTCTGAATTTTTTAAGCTCTTTGAGGTTACCAACTGTTGAAGCAGATTTCTACTGGCATATATCCTCTGCTGATGGCCAAGGCATTAGAACCTGTTGGTAATCACCTCTTACTGCCGGGGAAGAGTGGAGGATTATCTGAGCCAAAAAAGGAGACAACTGGATAGCCCCAGTCAGAGATATCTCTGTGAAAAATGTCAGCCTCCCCAATACCCCGCAAAAGTGTTTTCTTACCCTATTATTGATTAGAGGAATAAGAATAAGAATAGAGATAATAGTAGCAAACCTTTCAGGAATGCTTGCCTTGTGCTAGGCTTTATGTACATTTTTCATTTAATCCTCAAAGTAGTCCTGGACGTAGGTACTATTATTATTAGCCTCATTTTAAAGGTGAGGAAACAAGGCATAGGGATGTTGGGTAATTTTCCCAAGGTCACACAGGAGTAAATGGTAGACACAGGATTAAAACCCAGGCCATGTGACTCTAGAGCCCCAGCCATGGACTTCTGCCCCAATTCTGGCTCCCACTGAGTCTGACTCTCTAGCCTCATTGACAGGATTTGTGCTCTTCTGGTCAGGATGGGGAGATGATGAAACATTCATCCTCAAAGGGTCATATACAAGTTCTCCAGGGATGTCCAGATGACCCCTATTGGTCCAGGTGAGATCCTGACAGGCACTATCATCCAAATGTCCCAACAAGCACCCTGGAGTTCATTTATATTTTCATTCTATGTTGTGGTGGGTGGGAATGTACTAGATCCAATCCACAGGATAAAGATGGCTTTCTTTCATTTACTAACACAAATTTCTTTATTTAGTAGCACAAAGGAATACTTATTAATGTCAACCAATATAAAAAAATCCTTTCCCTCCAAGTTTTTATATTATAATGGAAAACTGACTCATATATACAACATACAATACATTTTCTTTTGATAGTTCTTTTCATAGATTCTTTTAATGCTGGCAGGGGATGTATTGGGGTGCAGAATATTAAAACCCCACCTCCCCATCTTTATTATCAGGCACACCTCTATTATCAAGGAAAAGAAATGGCAAGAATAGAGGAAAAAGAGATAATCAGTTAAGGGCGAGGCATTTTTTTGCTAACGTAAGGATGGATAAGAGAAAGATGCACACAGGTGCATGGGACTCTGGATAGTGGCCAAGGGAAGGTTTATCTCAACTGGTAGGTCTAGTAGGTAACTGGAAAAGACCCTACCTCCCACCCTGCTAACATATTTGGCCACATTGCTGGGCCATCAAATGGTCTCCAACCACTAAGCTCTGTTGCTGGCTTTGGGACCCATTCTGGAGAGGCAGCATGTCACGAGAGGTATATGGCAATATGAAAAGTGAAAAGTGCACAGGCTTTTAACTCAGTTTTGGGCTCAATTACTGCTTTATCACCAAGGTACTGTGAAACCTTAGGAAAATCTATGACTCTCAGTTTCAGGTTTTTCAACTGTCAAAGAGATCCTTATAAGGTTTTCATGTCTAACTGAGACAAGGCATGTAAAGTGCCTGGCAGGCACAGTGCCTGTCACACAGTAGGTTGCAAAAACTATGAGTTGCCTTTTTCATTCTTACCTTCTGAGATAATTTCTATTACTCTTTCCTTTCAGGAGGTCACAGGGTAATGACAAGGATGGGTTCCTGGAGCCAGTTCATTTTGGGTGAAGGATTTTCCTCCTCCCTGAAGGCTGGGCAGTATTACTGTAGATATGCCACCCACCATCCCTTCCTGGCAAACAAAGGCAGTCTGCCTTGTTTAAGAAAGCTGGAATCTTACTAAGGTCTGTACTTTTATAAATTGTAGGACTTAAGTTGAGTTTGGGGTTTTATTGTCTGCTTTTAAAATCATGATCAGATATTATATATTTAAAACATGGCTTCAGAATTGTGAAACACAGTGTTCTCAATCATAAAAAAGGATGAACTATGTTATGCCTTTCTGTTTCCATTTCTGGGTTCTCTTTTTGTCTCCTTGCATGAATTTTTCTGTGATGCCCTGCCTTATGTCCTAATTCTTCTGGGACACTAACTGTGAAAATGTAGGCAAGATTCTTAACTCCTTTAAGACTGTCTTATTTGTTCATTCATTTATTTACTATTGAACTATTTGGTGAGCGCTTATAATGTGCCAGAATCTCTGATTAATGCTTGGGATACAGTAGAGAATCAGACAGACAGTTTCCCCCATTTGTGAAACGGGAAAATGAAACGCATATTTTAGGATTTTCAAATGGAGTAAGTGAAATTTTATATATATATGAGAGGAAGAGACAAAGAAGAGGACTAAAATCTATTGAACCCCTTACTTGATCCCCAGTAATGCTAGGTGCTGGATATGCAATTCTGATAATAAACTTGGAAAGTGATTGTTGTTATCCCTATTTTATAGATGTAGCAACTGAGGTTCAGAGAGGGAGGGTGAAGGTCCAAGTCACACATTGGATTCAAACCTGGTATGAAGTCCATATGGTTCTCACTCTGCTATGTTGCCTCCAGTGGTCTTGGAACACTGCTTGTCATCCACTGGGTGTGTTAATTCCCCATCACCAACTCCACATAGAAACTGGGAGGCTGTACTATTCTTGCTGCGTGGATATATATATATATATATTTTTTTTTTTTGAGACGGCATCTCGCTCTGTCACCCAGGCTGGAGTGCAGTGGCCCAATCTCGGCTCACTGCAAGCTCCGCCTCCTGGGTTCATGCCATTCTCCTGCCTCAGCCTCCCGAGTAACTGGGACTACAGGCGCCCGCCACCACGCTTGGCTAATTTTTTTGTATTTTTAGTAGAGACAGGGTTTCACCATGTTAGCCAGGATGGTCTTGATCTCCTGACCTTGTGATCCTACCACCTTGGCCTCCCAAAGTGCTGGGATTACAGGCATGAGCCACACTGTGGATATATTTGATAGCACTAAATGTGGTCTGGGTAGAGTAAGGGGTACTTGAATGGAAAATCCAAATCATGTTCCCTGATTCTTTAGGGACAAGATGTAAAGAAGACTTTATGAAAGGAAAGGGAGGGAGACATACGTTAAGCTCACTAACTCCAAGTCATAGGAAGAACTTTAAGGTCCTCTGGCAGCTAGACTCACCAGCTCAGGAGACAGCTGAGACACAGACTCTTGGCGAGAGGAACACTGTCTTTCCCAAGCCAACCCGTCTCTGCTGCAGTGACATTAAAAGATAAAATGTTCAAAACTCTCTACCCCTCTGACTCTTACCACTTCCTAGGTGGAGGCAGACCTGAACTGCATAAACAACGAGGTATATTTTTCCACTTAAGATGTTCAGTGCCTATCCAAGGAAGAAAGAGTCTGTCAGAAAACATTCACTTAGGGCCTGCACATTTTCAAGAAGCTGAAAGCAGAGTAGGAAGTGAAATCACTATGCTTACATTTGGCAAGAGGACTGCAAAACTGCCCCCAAGCTAAACAATTTGGACCTGTGCACCCTTTTCTCTTCCATCTCTTTGTTTGGATAAGTCACAGCAAGAGCACGTAACAGATTTACCAGCACTATTCATGTGTTTTTAACTTTACGAGCAAAGCCTTCTCTTTGGTATCAAGAAAAGGAAGGGTCGGTCATGCCAGAGAGTGCTTGTTGCCACTGAGAAAACTTGTGAGGGTTACCAGAATGAAAAGACAGACACAAATGAAGAAAGGCAGAGTTTTGCATGCAAAAAGGGGGAAAAAATCTTTTCCTTGGCATAGAAAAATTTCATCCTGAAGGTTCTTTTTTCCCTTTTTTTGGCAATGTGATAAACACCTTAAAATAGAGTTATGAAACAGAAACAGATTCTATAGAATGAGGAAACCAAGACTAGTGACCTCAGAGAACTTATGTATCAAACCTGTCATTCTAGAGATGATAAAACTGAGGCCAGAAGGATGATGATTTCCCCAAAGTCAAAGAGTTTGTCATTGACTGCTATGGTTTGAATGTGCCCCTCAAAGTTCATGGGTTGGAAACTCAATCTCAAGTACAACAGTGTAGAGAGGTGAGACATTTAAGAGGTGATTAGATCATAAGGGTTCTGCCCTCATGAATGAATTAATATCATTATCTCAGGAGTGAGCTCATTATTGCAAGAGTGAGTTTGTTATAAAAACGAGTTTGAGCTGGGCGCAGTGGCACAAGCCTGTAGTCCCAGCTACTTGGAAGTCTGAGACAGAGGATTGAGCCCAGGTTCAAGACCAGCCTGGGCAACATTACAAGACCTTATATCTGAAAAAAAGAAAAAAATTATTTTGTCTCTCTCTCTCATCTGTCTTGCCATGTGATGCCTTCTACCATGCTATGACACAGCAAGAAAGCCCTCACCAGATGTAGCCCCTTAACTTCCCGGCCTCCAGAACCATGAGCCAAATAAGCTTATGTTGTCTATAAATTACCTAGTCTGTGGTATTTTATTATAGCAGCACAAAACTGATTAAGACATGACCAAATCAATAATGAAGCTCAGCTTCTAGTGGGCCTTATCGCTGTCCTCCATTGCTCGGCATTCCCTTGATTACAATGAAAAGCCTTCAGTAAAAGGTAATCTCATTCATCCTCGGGCATTAGCTTACCTAGTCTTAAGTAAACATATCCCAGCATTTTCCAGGTTTAGCATTAGAAGAAGCCTTTTAGCTGAGGAGGGGGGTGGGAGAGGATGAATTAATTCTCTTCTCTAAATCACCTTCCCCTTGGAGTCTATCTATAGTCCTGCTGCCATTTCCATGCTGCCCTCCCCCACCACTACCCTCCATTCCCCCATCCCCATCAAGGGGTTCTGTTAATTCTCTAACACTTGAGCCAAAGAATGAGCCCAACCCATTTTGGGGGTTGCCCTAAGCATAGCTGAGGTAGTCTGAACTTACAAAGAGACTTTACTGAAACAGAGGTAAGAGAAAAGGCAGTAGAATGTAGTGGAGCAATCTGAACTTTGAAATCAGAAAAATCGGGGTTTAAATCTCAGCTCTACTGCCCATTAGCTGTGCAGATCTGACTAAGTCACTTGTCTTGTTAAGTTTTCTCATTTGTTGGATATGGAGACAAAATTAGGGCATTTGATACAATTAAATAAGAGCATAAGGCATCTACCTCAGATCTTTGCACACAGTAGGCACTGGTGTTCATAAAACATAAAAAAAAGTTTGATTTAGAAAGCATGGGTTTATGGTCAATCATTCAAAAAACATTTCCCGAGCCACCTTATCTGTGCCAGACTCTAAATTAAGTGTTGGGACAGAAACAAACAAGAAATGGTCCTTACCCTGCAGGAAATAATTTTTAATGGGTGTTATGGGTTTCACTGTGTCCCTACAAAGATATGTTGCAGTCCTAACCCCCAGAATTTGTTAATGTGACTTTATTTGAAATCAAGGTCTTTGCAGATATAATCAAGTTAACATGAGGTCATTAGGCTGGGCCCTAGTTCAACATGACTTGTGTCTTATAAGATGAGAAAAATACCATATGAAGACAGAGACACATAGGAGGAATGCCATGTGATGATAGAGGCAGAGATTGAAGTAATGCAGCTGCAAGCAAACTAAGGAACACCAAAGGATCAATGGCCACCAACAGACACTAGATAAAGACAAGGAAGGATTCTACCCAGAATCTCAGTGGGAGCATGGCTCTGCAAACACCTTGATTTTGGACTTGTATCAACAACAGTGAGAAAATAAATTCATGTTGTTTTAAGTGACCCAGTTTGTGGCATCCCTAGGAAACCAATAGAATTGGGAGATATGCAAGGGAGCAAATGCAATAATTCCAACAGAATAAATGATGTAACACTTAATGAGTTCCCTGAGCTGTGCCTATTACATTTATTAAATTATGTAATCTTGGTTAAGCCAGGAAATCTTGTGAGCCTCGATATTCATGGAGGTATGTGTAAGTAGAAGTAGTTTGTCCAAGAAAAAGACAGGCAGTCCATGTCTGCCTGAGGAAGCTGGGGAAGGTTTTCTAAAAAGGATAGTTGGAGCTGATACCTCAAGGATGAGTAGAAGCTTAGCAGGTGTGGGAAAGAGCAGAGGGAAAGACACCACTCAGGCTAGAGAGCCTAGTGTAGAAGCAGAAAAGTGTGAACTAGTTTTTAAATTTTTAGAAAACTACAAATATTTAAGCATTGCTGGAGTATGGTGCTGATATTCATCAGCCTTCTAGATCCCTTCTTCACCTTGATGTCCCACAGACACCTCCTATTCAAAATATCCCAAATTGAACCAGACCGCTCTTTCTACCCCCATTCACACTCCATATATGTTCTCCTTTTGCATTCTCTGACTTGGTGAATGGCCCCACTACCTACCCATGTAGCCCAGCTAAAAGTCTCTAAGTGTCCACATGACGAACTCTTGGAAATTGACTTCCTTTTTATATCCAATTTACACAATCATTTTTGAGCTTTACTGTCTCTGGTTCTGATGGCTTCTCACTTGGCACAAGCTCTGAACTCTCCAGCTGTGTCTCTAGGCCATATTCCTTCCAGCTAAGCCTCTCTGCCAGATAATTAATGATCTATAAACAAATGCTTAATTGTACTAGGGGAGCACATATTTAAAGAAACTTTATGATAAAGCAAAGGATCCTTTTCATAACATGAAGAGCATCTCTCTCACAAACTCCCCCAGCCTCAGTTTAACATTTAGCCTGACTTTTCATTTCACATATTAAATCTAAAGCTCTCTTATAGCAGCGCCCCAAAAATAAAAGAAAAAAATCACCTAAGAGACAGATGGTATATCCTAAGGTTTATCCATGTCAGGTACTTCCTGAAATACCTCTCTTCTCTCTAAGTCCAGCCCCTTTGGCCCTCAGACTCAAGACTTTGGCACCTGCTGGGAGGAAGAAAACTTCAGCTCCTGGCAAGAAGGGGAAGGAGATGTGAATTTATTAAGAATGTAATATATGCCTGGCTCTTTTATTTATGTTCTCTCATTTTACTCTTCACAACAACTCCACGGACTGTTGCCACCCATTGATAAACAAAAAAGTTAGGTACCTTACACAAGGTAGTAGGAGCTTATAAAGGGGAATGACTGACATTGAAGGGGTATCTGAATTAAATATAATAACATTATTATCTCTAAGCACACTCTTTCAAGCTGTTTAGGTTATCTAGTCAGCCTCAATGCCTTTTCAAAGCGGGTATAAAGTCATCAGTTAGAGAATATGCCTGGCCATGCTGATTCCTCAAGAGTGGGCCAGGCACATCGACCCTGGTGGTCAAGAAGCCCCATTGGAAACTTTTCTGTTTGTTGCTGCTTTGGGGATCTACCCTTGTGCTGGGAGCCAGGGTTAGGTGCTGTTGGAGGAGGGGCCAATCCAGCCACATAGGCACTTCAGAGAGGAAGCACCTTGGCTGGGATCTGAAATTGAGCCCTCTCTAGGGAGTTTGAAAAGGTGGTTTTTGTGCAATTCTTAATGTCCTGGCTGTTTCAGAAAGAGGAAGCACAGCAACATTTTTAGAACAGTTAGTGGGGTGTGACAAAACCCAGAGACTGTACCCACAGGAACTTTCTCCCTGCTCATTTGTTTCAGAAAACATTTGGTATTCAAGGAGCACCTGCCCCATTCCAGGCCCTATGCTCTCCCACTGGATCTTCAACCTCTTATCTTTGGCAGGCTCCTTCCTATATGCACTTACACATGCCCAAGCCTTTCCCAGCTTCAAAAAGCAACAATGGCCACCTCAAAACCCTCACTCATCCCTGCCTCTCCTTCAATTACTACCTTCTCTCCTCCTCTGGGAAAGCAGAAGTTTTTGGAAGAAAGTGCTATGCATAGTTATTATAAACATCCACTCACCTCCCATTCACTCCTCAACCCCACTGCAGTCTAGCCTTTGCCTCTACCGAACCTACTCTCCAAAGTCACCAATGACTAACTGATTCTAGGACACTTTGCCTCATTTGGTCTCTCAGGAGCATTCACACTGTTGACCTTGCCTTTTTCCAGAAAATGTTTTTCCTCTTAATTTCAGTAATCTTTAAGTTCTTTTGACCTCTTTGATAATCTTCAGTCTCCATGTAGGCTCCACTTCCTTGACCCCCATTTCAGATGTCAATATTCCTCAGAATTTTACTGTAGGCCTTCTGGACTTTTTCATTCTGTGTATGAACACACCTAGTGCAGACTTCTATTCTGAACTCCAGTTACATAGGCATACAGCTGCTTACTAGACATACCAACTTTAAGGTCTTAATGGCATCTCAAATATTTCAAATCCATCTCTTCAAACTTTTGAGAAGCCTGCTTCTCCTGAACTGTTTCCTATTTTAGTAAAGAGTACTATCATCCACCCAAAGATCAGGTTAGAAACCAGTGAGTCATTCTTGACTCCTACTGTCCTCTCACCTCTTAGTCATCAACTCCCATGGATTCTGCACCATATATATCTTTCAAATCTATTTCACTTCTTCTCCACTATATCCTAGTTCAATTTTTATTTCCCTGCTGTAAATCTTACCCCTTCCCAATGCATTCCCTAAACCAGAATGATCATGCTCAAATGCAAATTTGATCACGTTACTCCTCAGAAAAGACTTTCCAAAAGCTTCTCATCTATCTTTGGATAAAGTCCCACCTGATTTTAATCCTATACAATCTCTACCCCCTACCAACTCTCTGGGCTCAACTCATGCTACGTATTCCCTTATTCTCTTTGCTTCAGTCAAACTGGCTGCCACCTTGTTCTTCTCTTTTTCCTCCCCCTCCCCCTTTTCCTCAACCCCTTCTTTTCCTTTTTCTTTTTTCTTTAACTTTTTATTTTTAGATAATTAGAGATTTACATATAGTGGTAAGAATAATCGAGAGTTATCCTGTATACCCAGTTTCCTCCAATGGTAACATCTTGCATACTAGAGTACAGTATCACACCCAGAAAGTTGACATTGTTATAATCCATTGACATTATTCATATTTCACCAGTTCTACATATATTCATTTGTGTATATGTATATGTATTTAGTTCTATGCAATGTTTTTTTTGAGATGGAGTCTTGCTCCATTGTCCAGGCTGGAGTGCAGTGGCACAATCTCAGCTCACTGCAGCCTCCGCCTCCTGGGTTCAAGCGATTCTCCTGCCTCAGCCTCCCAAGTAGCTGGGATTATAGGCATCTGCCATCACATCCAGCTAATTTTTCTATTTTTTAGTAGAGATGGGGTTTCACTATCTTGGCTAGGCTGATCTCAAACTCCTGAACTCAGGTGATCCACCCGCCTCAGCCTCCCAAAGTGCTGGGATTACAGGCGTGAGCCACTGTGCCTGGCCAGTTCTATGCAATTTGATCATGTGTAGATGCATGTGACTACCATCACCATCAAGATATAGCACAGTTCCATGACAAGGATCAAACTGGCCTTATTCTGGTGCCTTCAGTGGGTCAACTTCCTTTTACTTATAGGTATTCACATAGCTGTTCCCTCTACTTGTAACATTTTCCCCTAATACCATTCATTTGTCCAATTACTATTTATTTTTCAGGTCTCAAATTAAACATTAATTCTCAGAAATACTTTTTCTAACCCTACACTTGGTTAGGATGCTTGTTCTCTGTTCCACTAGCACCCAACACTTCTTCTCTCCCATGAAGGCACCTATTTTCTCACCTCTGCATTAATATTATTCTGCATGAAGGCAGAGGTTATGTGTGGCTTGTTTACTTCTATATCTCCAATATCTAGCACAGTACTTACAACTATGGAATTCCTCAATTAAAATAGGTAGGAACAGTAAACTCATAAAAACTGATGAATCTAGTGGAGCTCTTTCCTTTAAGGAGCTCCCAGTCATAAAACAGGCCACTCTCAGACAGTGTATTGAATTAGTATTGTCTTGGAAGGAAGCACTGGAGGTTGTGGGGATCCAGAGTATCCATTTTCTCCCCAGCTTCTAAATATACATAGTTGGGCACAGCCAGGACAAGAAGAATCCTTGAGTACCCACGTTCATCTGCCCAGAACCCTTCAGCACAGTTTAGCAGGTCAGGTAAGTGGAGCATAGACTGTGGTTACGAGTCTAAAGACATGATTTCAAAGATCTCAGCTGGTTAATTTTCTCAGCTCTGTAACCATAGACAGAAAGCAATCTTGGTTACAGATTGGGTCCCACACTATGAATCCTGATCTTGACCACAGAATGCCCCTGATCAAGGCACAGATCTTAACACCATCCAACCATGTGATAAATATAGCATCTTCCACAAGAAGAACAGGTAAGGTAAAGGTAAACCTCCATAGTGGGAAAACAGCAGCCTACTCTGACACAGGAAAGCAGAACTTGAATCATATGTCCTTCTAGGGGTCAATGATATGCACACCCTAAGAAAAGAAATATAATTATTGAGTCTTGAAGACTTAAACCTGGAAGGACCCTTAAAGGCAATATGCACCCTTACGTGAAGTTTGATGGTGTAGAGAATAGAAACTCAGCTTACTGAATATAGTAGTAAAATGTTAACCTTTCATATCTAGCTTCAGACCCAAAAACCCTTGTTCCCATTTCAGAATCCTTTCTAATTAATTTTACCAAAGCATAATGACTTTCTTTTATTTTAATAGTTTTTGGGGAACAGGTGGTTTTTGGTTACATGGATAAGTTCTTTAGTGGTGATTTCTGAGATTTTGGTGCACCCACCACCTGGGAAGTGTACACTGTACCTAATATGTAGTGTTTTATCCCTCACCCCCATCCTACCCTTTCTCCCAAGTCCCCATAATCCATTATATCATTCTTATGCTTTTGCATCCTCATAGCTTAGCTCCCACTTATAAGTGAGAACATACAATGTTTGATTTTCCTTTCCTGAGTTACTTCACTTAGAATAATGGTCTCCAGCTCCATCCAGGTTGCTGTCAATGCCATTATTTTGTTCCTTTTTGTGGAGAGTAGTATTCCATAGTGCATGTATATACCACATTATCTTTTTTTTTTGAGACGGAGTCTCACTATGTTGCCCAGGCTGGAGTACAGTGGCACAATCTCGGCTCACTGCAACCTTCGCCACCTGGGTTTAAGCAATTTCCAGCTAATTTTTGTATTTTTAGTAGAGATGGGGTTTCACCATGTTGGCCAGGCTGGACTTGAACTCTTGACCTCAAGTGATATGCCCACCTCAGCCTCCCGAAGTGTTAGGATTACAGGCGTGAGCCACTGCACCCGGCCCATATACCACATTTTCTTTATCCACTCATTGGTTGATGAGAATTTAGGCTGGTTCCATATTTTTGCAATTGCAAATTGTGCTGCTATAAACGTGTGTGCAAGTGTCTTTTTCATATAATGAGTTCTTTTTCTCTGGGTAAGATACCCAGTAATAGGATTGCTGGATCAAATGGTAGTTCTACTTTTACTTCTTTAAGGACTCTCCATACTGTTTTCCAGAGTGGTTGCACTAGTTTACATTCCCACAAGCAATGTAAAAGTGTCCTCTTTTTACCACATCCATGCCAACATCTATTATTTTTTAATTTTTAAATTATGGCCATTCTTGCAGGAGTAAGGTGGTATCTCATTGTGGCTTTGATTTGCGTTTCCCTGATAATTAGTGATGTTGAGCATTTTTTCATGTTTGTTGGCCATTTCTATATCTTCTTTTGAGAATTGTCTATTCATGTCCTTAGCCTACTTTTTGATGGGATTATTATTTTTTTTCTTGCTGATTTGTCTGAGTTTCTTGTAGATTCTGGATATTAGTCCTTTGTCGGATGCATAGTTTGTGAAGATTTTCTCCCACTCTGTGGGTTTTCTGTTTATTCTGCTGATTATTTCTTTTGCTGTGTAGAAGCCTTTTAGTTTAATTACATCCCATCCATTTATCTTTGCTTTTATTGCATTGCTTTTGTTTTTGTTGAATTTGCTTTGTTTTGTTGCATTTGCTTTCCTGATCATGAACTCTTTGCCTAAGCCACTGTCTAGAAGAATTTTTCTGATGTCATCTTCCAGAATTTTTATGGTTTTAGGTTACTTAGGTTTAAATCTTTGATCTATTTTGAGTTGATTTTTGTATAAGGTGAGAGATGAAGATCCAGTTTCATTCTTCTACATGTGGCTTGCCAATTATTCCAGCACCATTTGTTGGATAGGGTGTCCTTTCCCCACCCACTTTATGTTCTTGTTCGCTTTGTCAAAGATCAGTTGGCTATAAGTTTTTGGCTTTATTTCTGGGTCCTCTATTCTGTTTCAATAGTCTATATGCCTATTTTTATATCAGTACCATGCTGTACCACGTAACTATAGCCTTGTAGTATAGTTTGAAGTCTGGTAATGTGATGCCTCCAGATTTGTTTTTTGCTTAGTCTTGCTTTGACTACGCAGGCTCTTTTTTGGTTCCATATGAATTTTAGGATTGTTTTTTCTAGGTCTGTGAAGAATGATGATGGTATTTTGATGGGAATTGCATTGAATTTATAGATTGCTTTTGGCAGCATGGTCATTTTTACAATAGTGATTCTACCCATCCATTAACATGGGATGTGTTTCCATTTGTTTGTTTCATCTGTGATTTCTTTCAGCAGTGTTTTGTAGTTTTCCTTGCAGAGATATTCCTAAGTATTTTATTTTATTTTCCAGCTGTTGTAAAAGGGGTTGAGTTCTTTATGTGATTCTCAGATTCGTTGTTGTTGGTGTATAGCAGTGCTACTGATCTCTGTGCATTGATTTTGTATCCTGAAACTTTAGTGAATTCATTTATCAGATCTAGGTGCTTTCTGGATGAGTCTTTAGGGTTTTTTAGGTGTACAATCACATCATTGGCAAACAGTGACAGTTTAACTCCCTCTTTACTGATTTGGATGCCTTTTATTTCTTTCTCTTTTCTGATTGCTCTGGCTGGGACTACTAATACTATGTTGAATAGAAGCAGTGAAAGTGGGTATCCTTGTCTTGTTCTAGTTCTCAGGGGGAATGCTTTCAACTTTTCCCTGTTCAGTATAAATGTTGGCTGTGGGTTTGTCATAGATAGCTTTTATTATGTTGAGATATGACACTTCTATGCTGATTTTGCTGAGGGTTTTAATCATAAAGAGATGCTGGATTTTTTCAAATGCTTTTTTGTGTCTATTGAGATGATCATGTGATTTTATTTGTCTTTAATTCTGCTTATGTGATGTATCACATTTATCGACTTGCATATGTTAAACTATCCCCACATCCCTGGTATGAAACCTACTTGACCATGATGTATTGTCTTTTTGATATGCTGTTGGATTCAGTTAGCTAGTGTTTTGCTGAGGATTTTTCCATCTATGTTCATCAGAGATATTGGTCTACTGTTTTCTTTGTTTGTTATATCCTTTCCTGGTTTTGGTATTAGGGTGATACTGGCTTCATAGAATGATTTAGGGAGGATTCCCTCTTTTTGTATCTTTTGGAATAGTTTCAGTAGGATTGGTACCAATTCTTCTTTGAATGCCTGATAGAAATCAGCTGTGAATCCATCTGGTCCTGGACATTTTTTTGTTGGCAATTTTAAAAATTATTGTTTCAATCTCACCATTTGTTATCGGTCTGTTCAGAGTTTCTGTTTCTTCCTGGTTTAATGTAGGAGGGTTGTATATTTCCAGGAATTTATCCATCTCCTCTAGGTTTTCTAGTTTTTTATGTAAAGGTGCTCATAGTAGCCTTGAATGATCTTTGGTATTTCTCTGATATCCATCGTAATAGCTCCTGTTTCATTTCTAATTGAGCTTATTTGGATCATCTCTGTTCTTTCCTTGGTTAATCTCACTAATGGTCTATCGATTTTGTTTATCCTTTCAAAGAACCAGCTTTTTGTTTCATTTATCTGTTTTGTTTGTTTGTTTCAATGTCATTTAGTTCTGATCTTTGTTATTTCTTTTCTTCTGCTGGTTTTACATTTGGTTTGTTCTTGTTTCTCTAGTTCCTTGAGGTGTGTGGTTAGATTGTCTATTTGTGCTATTTCAGACTTTTTGATGTGGGCATTTAATGCTATGAACTTTCCTCATAGCACCACTTTTGCTGTATCCCAGAGGTTTTGATAGCTTGTGTCACTATTATCATTCAGTTCAAATAATTTTTAGTTTCTATCTTTATTTCATTGCTTACCCAAAATCATTCTGTTTCATGAGAGCATCAGCTGTGGTAGCAGAAGGGGGACGTAAGCTTGCCCTAATACTTGGCCAGGATAAGTATTCAGGTTTCTCAGGCAATGAATGCATAAGGCCATAAAGCTCCCAAGAGTTTGTGTCTTTTGTGTTCAGCTGCCAGGGCACGTAGAGAAAAAACATCAGGTTGGGGTAGGGTTAGGGGGGTCTGAGCTCAGACTCTTTTTGGGAGGGGCTTGCTGTGGCCGCTGTGGGGCATGGGGGAGGGTGGTTCTCAGGCCAATGCAGTTATGTTCCAAGGGGGATTATGGCTGCCTCTGCTGCATCATACAGGTTTCCAGGGAAGTAGGGGGAAAGCTGGCAGTGACAGGCTTCACCCAGCTCCCACACAGCCAGCAAGGCCAATCTGACTCCACTGTGCCCCACTAACAGCAGCACCAAATTTATATTCAGGCAGCCCACGTGCAGGGCTTGAACCTTGCCCCAGGCTACAAGCCTCCTCACTGAGAAAGCAAGTGTGGCTTTCTGGCCTTGCCCCTCCCTGCCTGCCCACACCGTTGGCTGCAGCTCCTGCACTTGTATCTACAGCCATTCCCATTTACCTCTTGGGTTCTGCTCAAGAAAATTTATGTTCAGTCGAAATTATTACAAAGTTTAGTTGGAATCTTCTTTCACCTTGTGACCCCTCCCTAGTTTCTCTGGCTGCCTTCCCCAAAGACCCCTGTGAGATAAAGTCAGGGATGGCTTCCCTGGGCTTCAGCTGGAGACTGAGAGTGCCTACAGGGCTTTTCCCATAGTTTTTTCTACTTTAATATCTTGCTCAGCTGCCTAAATCCATTTCAGCTCTAGGTAAGGTTAAATCCTTCTTCTGTGTTCTGGATTTTCAGGTTCCCCAGTGGGGATGTGTGTTTATAGGTAGGTTTTCCCCTCTCACACTTTGAGAGCTTGCAGTTTTTTGGCTGTCTTGTGAAGTTTACAATGGCAAGCCGCTTCCTCCACAGGATCTATGAACTCTTTTGGTCTTCTTTGCATGTTTTTGCAGTGGTTCTTGGAGCAAAAGTTCACAGTGTGAGTCTCCACATGCTGTTCTGGCCGGGAGCTGCACGTTTGTTAGTCCTGTCTTCCATCCGCCATTTCTCACTCTGGCCTTGCCTCCATAATAACTTTTTTTTTTTTTTTGACTTCAAAACATCAAACTAAAGACATCCCTTGGTCTCCAGCTGGCACTTTCTAACATCGTCTTCCCCACCAGCCAGAGTAACCTAATTAAAGCACAAAATGAGCTATGTTAATTTCCTGCTTAAAACCCTTCACTGGCTTCCTATCAGTTGATAGAAAGTTTCAGGATGGAGGCCAGGCTCCTTTGTCTCCAGATCTCGTCTCCCTGCTTCCTCTCTGTCCTTACCACTTGCTTCTCCTTATATTCTACTTTCTTGAACACACCATGCTTTTTTATGCCTTATGTTGAAGCTGTGCCCATTCCCAGCATGGATTTCTCACTGATTTTTGCCTGGCTAAGTCTTTCTTAACCTTCAAGAGTCACCTTAGCCATTATCTCTCCCAGGGAGCCTTCCAGGAAAAATTAGGTTGGGATAATGCCCCTCACCCTGCCATATGTCTATGCCTACCCCATCATGTCATTTAGAATCTTCAATTGGGACATCTTATTTATGTGTCTGGACCCCCATCAGTCTGGGCTTCTGGGGACAGAAATTGCATTTTAATCATTCCTTTCCTCTCAGTGTCCAGCATAGGACCTGGTACATTGGAAGCTCTTGGTGAACTCTGATGTAAAAAGAGAGCAATTCTATGATTAACTTTCATTGAAAATTAACTGTATGTACTAGGAAGTATGCTGGGGGCTTCACATGCATAATGTCATTTCATTCTCCTAATAGCACTGGACCACTCAGCATGCTTAACAAAGCCCTCCCCATCAGAGTATACCACAGGTTCCAATGTCTATGCTCCCAGTAATATCCAGAGCCTGTCTCTAGGCCCTGCCTCTGGCACCACCCTCCATTATAACACATGGCCTATGGACTCATGTCTTGTCTTTTAATTTCACTTCATACTTGAACTTACATTTCTACCTGACCCATTCAAGTGGCATTCAGGGTTAGGCTGTGTCTATTTTTCTGTTTTATTTCCACCATAGACCTCTGGTTCCAACCCTCAGCATCAGGCTCTGCAGTCTGCATGCCTAACCTGATCCACCCCAGGAACAGTGAAGGCTCCAGACTCTCAGTACCAACCCGGGACTATAGGTCCTTGAGTATCTGAGAGAAAAGAGCCGGCTAATGTGAGCTTGATTATTCCCACTAGTGAAGACAAGGAAGCTAAGTCAAGTAATGTGCCCAAGGTCACATGGCTTGGTTTCTGCCCAATGCCAAGACCCAGACATAGCATCTCCTCTTGTGTAGAGGACACCCTCCCTCTTCTTTCAAACAGCTCTTGAAGGCCCACTTATTTGTCCATCTCACACCTTGGTTATGAGCTCTATAGGCAGGGGCTGTTATCCAGCACTGTCCTTCAGTGCCCAGCCCAAGTCTGGCATTGAAAAGAGCCTTGGGAAAGGCCAGGTAAAGGGACAAATGAATGTAGAGCTCAAGCTTACACCAATCTCCCTCTGCCTACAGTGGATGTTCTGCCCTTCCTCTACTGCTATTTCCAAAGGCACTTGGAGTTCTCTTTTGCATTTGTTTTGGCATCAAAGGAGGAAAGCTATCAAATGCATTTTCCTGTCAATTTTTCTTTGTAATTGATAATAAATCCCTCTGTAAAGAAATATATACCCTGGACATCTTAAGGAAGGCAAGTCATGGTATAATGGTTTAAACAAAGGAATTACAAAATTCTGGGGAAGGTACAGATCTGTAACTCACTAAGGTCTGAGGTAAAATTTTCTGAGGCTATGAAAAGAGGAAGTGCTTTGTCATTAGACAAAACTGGGTTAAAATCTTGGCTCTGCCTCTCAGGACCTGCAGACCTTGGGAGAGAAACTTGAGAGTATCCTATGCTTTACCCTCTTTCTTGCCCACTCTTGCCAATCTTTCAAAAAGTTCTGCCAGTTTCACTATCTGAATGGTTCTTCTCCAATCTCTGCTACAATTGTGAGCTAGTCTGGTGGTTAAGCACTTAGGCTCTGGAATGATATTGTCTAGACTTGAATCCAAGTTTTCTTAGTATGTCATTTTGTCATTTTGGATACTTTGCTTAACCTCTCAACATCTCAGTTTCCTCATCTATAAAATGGAGATTAAAAATCTTAGATTATTAACAAGATTTTAAAAAATCCCAAAAAGTGATAGCATAATCCTGGCCCAGAGTAGAAGCTCACAAACACTAGCTCTTATTATTATTTATTACCTCTTTTGTTCAGGCTACTATCTCTTGTAACTTTATACTGCAACAACTCTCTCCACCCTGCCAACTCATGACCATTCCTGCAAATTTTCCTGCCTGGTTTATCTCCTCTACTGCCTCTTCTCCAATCCATTCCATGTGCAATAGCCAAAGCATTATTTCTAAAAGGTATCCCATTACAGGGTTGTCTGTAGATAAAGCATGAGCTCCCTAGCTTCAGAGAAAATGCCCTCAGTTATCAAGGTCCCTGCATACCTCCCAACAATTCTGAGAGTGAAGTTTTACTCTCTATTTTACTGTCTGGGAGTGGTCAAAGAAATGTTCCAAGGTTTTGCAGTTATTCGCTGGTCAAGTTGGGATTTATACACAAGTCTCTCTGAGCCCAGAGCCTATGATCTCTTCACTGGCCCACACTGCCTCTCTCCCCCAACACTGACCATCCATAACTGACAAATAAGAGGCAGCATCTGATAAACAAGAAAGAAATGGTGCATCCGGTAAGAAAGAGGAGCTAGAAGGGAGATATCATGGTGGGCTATTGAGCTGGGGAATCATTCCTGGAGGGGTAGGGGCTCTAGGGGTCTGGAGGGACAGACTAGCAAAGATGGTACTGGAAAGAATGCTGAAGTGCTTTCAGAATTGTCTGGTGAGATGAAGTGAGGTTCAAGTCTGAATAGAAACATGTGCTGCAGATGGTGTTTTCTTCTTCCCCAGCAATGGCAAAATCATAGGAAGCTCAGAAATTTTGTTTTACATTTCAGTTATTGTTTGCTGGGGATGGAAGCACCATGTTAAGTTTTAGGGCTTGCCATATTCTCTTTGATAGTCAGAGATTAACAAACTCTGGTTGGTTGGGAGCGGGAGAAGAGTCCCTTCCCCTTGAGTTCCTACCCATAGTCTTATTATATCACCCTGCAGTGATGCTACCCAAATATCTATTCATCTGTTCAGCAAATCTCAGAAACCTGCTGGGTACCAGACCCCCATGCTAGAGATGCAGAAAACAGTCAGAGGTGGTTATTGGACTCAAAGTACTCACGATTTAGTGGGGAGAATATCCCCTATACAATGACGATACTATGTGAGAAGTGCTCTGGGGTTTGGGGTAGGGAGTGCACAGGGAAGTTTTCTTAGAAATGACATCTAACTAAGTTTCTGAGGGAATGTTTTCCATCAAAAGGAATATTTGGGCTCATTTCAAAAGGCAAATTTGGGTTATTGCCTTTTGTTATTGTAATGGCAGAACAATGTGCTCTTGCTTGATGTTGTGGAGCATTTAGAGCATGCAAGGTAGAATAGCTGTGCGGTAGAATCCCTGGTTTGGGGAATCTAAAATGTAGTTTCATATTTCATGGGGATTTCCTCAACTATGGAACAGGGATAATAACATCATTTCCTAAGATTTCATAGTCAAAGTACCTGCCAGATTGTCTGAAGGTGGCATGAAAGGTGAAACACACCCTTGGGCTATATTAGGGGCTCAGTGAGGTAGTGCAAAAGAATAATGGCCCAGGATGCAGACAACTGTGTGATTTTCCAGCTATGTGACTCTGCAAAAGTTACTTCACCACAACGAACCTCAGTTGCTTCCTTTGTCCAACAGGGACAATATTACCTTGCCTAGCCACTAAATGGTAGCATTGGTCCTTGGTCTCCCATCTCATGCTCTATGACCCCCTCTCTCAGCCTGTTTCCTCATCTGTGAACAGGACAAGATGAGATTCTGTGCAGAGAAAGAATAAGAGAATATTCTCTAAGGGCTGTTTAGCTTTGACATCCTATGCATAAAACAACAGCCAGATTGGACTATTGCTTAATTCTATCCAAGCTGCCAGATAGGCATTTGAATAAGTAATCTAATATATACATTTTTATTCTATTAAATATTCAGGTCATCTCCTGGTTGGGATGAGTATTCAGAATGATGATTGCTTAGAAACACACCATTCCAAATACAAATGAGAATATATTTGCAATATTCGGTTCAGCAAGGATGGAAAGGTATGAGATTAGGTTCTGAAAATAATCACACCTTTCACATCTTGGATGCCTATATACACATTTACTACATGCCTTTCTTCATAACCTTGGAAATGCAAATCCTTGGACTCTTAGAAGCCTGAATATTTGCCCTGTACTAAGTCAATTCTCATGTGAAGATGGTAGAATGGGGCAAAAAGATGTGACTTCTCATCTGGTGTTCGAGGCCCAACTACATCTTCCTCATCCCATAAGCAGTGGTCTGTTCCCCTCACACTCCAGCAGGGACAGAGTGCTCACCACTTTTCAAAGCCACTAATCCCACTGGTAGGCAGCTTCGACTTGAGGAAATAGCCATTCACATTGAGCAAAATCCCTACCTCTAGTGCCCCTACATTGATCTTTGTTCTGCATTGTTTCTTCTGCCCTCAGATATTCCTGCAGGGATCAAAGTCATTGACCCTATCCCTTCAAAGTCAGCCTTTTCCTTGAGCTGAACTACCACTCCCTTCAACCATAAGCCTGCTCTTTCTTTGTTGTAGAACAGAACTCTTGAGGGATTAGCCTGGGGGACACAAAGAGCAACAGCAAGCTCAAGATGCCCTGGTGAATTCATTTTTCTCTGGCTTCCTTTGCCATTTGGTAAGAGAAAAAGAAGCTTTTAAAGTAACAGTGGCAAAGTAGCTGATTCTGAGGAAACTTGCCAAGGCTTTTCAGGAAACAGCACCACTGGGGAAGGGAGACATTTGGATTGTGGCAAGATGAACAGCGAGGGTTACCATATGAACTATTCCCAACCAACATTACACCTGCCTCAGAAGGTGTGTATGTGTGCATATATGTGTGTGTGTGTGTGTGTATCTGTGCGGAAGTATCTATGCTTGTGAATGAGCATCTACTCTCATATATCCAACAATGCTTTGGTTGTGTTAGTATACGTAAGTTCTTCACTTGGCCACTTGCCACGTCTCTTCAAGATTCACTCAGATGTTACCTCCTCTAGGAAGCATTCTGTGATATGCTTTTGACCTTAACCAACCCCGCACTCCCAGGAAGTTTTCTGTGCTTTCTTCTATGTTGTTCATTTCCTTGCCTGTCTGCCCATTAGATTGTGGTACCTTTTTGAGCATCCTGACTGTGATGGATTCATCTCTGTGCCTCTGTGCCTGGCACAAGCATGGGTACTCTGTACATGTTGGTTACATGAATGCATTTGAAGAAAGATGTCTCAGTCCTAGTCCAGGGTTTTACCACTGGCTTTGCTGCCATGCTTTGCTTTTCTTATAACAGGCTGAGGTGATGCAAATTAAGAAGAACAAAACTCCCACAAGGCTCAGGGAGATTGTGGCTCAGGGAGATGGGGACATTTGTAGAGAAATAACTCAAATTAGCCAGTGGTATCCACACTTCTGAAATTGCACGAGCCTCCCTGTGAGAGGTGAAAGTTGGGGTGTAGTGTTGTTTCTCCATCCCCAGTCTGCTTTGGGCCAACTATTCTCAGCGTGTGATCTGCTCTTCTCCTCTGCTTGGCCCCTGAGGAGCATCCATTCCTATAGAGCTGACACTCACATTTTCCTTTTATCCAGCCAATTTATAGCTTTTGAATGTTCCCCATGCAGATGTGCAGGATTCTTGCACACATCTGCATATCAGAAGGGCAGTGGAAGTTGCTTGGCAAGAGGCCCTGGCTCAGCAGGAGTGCTCCATTGGTAACCCCCGAGTTGTGAAAGGATCTCTCCCTGTATTGTTCTGGGCCAAGGAACTCAGCCAGAGACTGGGCTGGGCAGGGCTTTTAGGGGTAGAGAAAACTGCATCATCTTAATCTCCTCTGGACACAGAAAATCAGTGGGCACATCTTGGGGCAGAGCACTGGTATCTGAGGCAATGACACAAAGGGAAGAGAAGGAAAATTCATTCATTAATATATTCGTTTAGGAGCAGCCCATAACCCTATTTGTAGAGGGACTGCTTTGTGCCAAGCAGTATAAGTCAGTGAGTCATTAAATACCAGGATCTGCTTCATATTTGAGATCTGCCATTCTCAAGGTCTGGGACCCGGGGTAAGTCTTTTAACCTATTTGATATCAGTTTCCACATCTATAAAATGGAATGGTAATGGTATTGGCTGCTTACCAGATACATTGAAGGGAAGATTATTCTTTTATAGCACTTTGTTTACTGTACATTTACTGTGTTAGGCATTATTAGAGGCACCTTAAACATTCTGTCTTATTATTTCCCACAATAAACCTGCAAGATAGATATTAGTACTCCTGCTTTTTTTGTCAACTAAACTGAGGCACAGAGATGTTAAGATTCTTCCCAAGGTCATGTAGTATATAAAGAAGCTGTCAGACCTAACTTCCAGGGCCCTGGTAAGTCAGGCTCAGTTAAATGTCCCTGATGAGGCAGGGCCAAATTTGGAGAGTCCCAAGGGAAAGGAGGCCTAAGCTGCATATGAGCCAGCAGAGAAGAGAAAACCAATTTTTTTTGCCCAGAGAGGCTGAGATCACAGTTGGAAAGATATGCTGGGTGTCAGATCTAATGTGTAAGGCATGAAAGGAAAAGAGAGAGTTAATACTGAGCCTGGTAATTATGAAGGGCAAGAAACAGGCTCCCAAGAGAGGCCATGGCCAGCGAGTCAGCACAAAGGCTGAGACTGAAGGGAACGTGCCAGAGAAGGCTGGCCTTGAGTAGGCACTTTCTCTCCCTGGAGCCGTAGAAGGGCTAATAATACCTAGACCATAAAGATGAGGTGAGGACTAAGTGAAGAGCTGCACAGAAAGCTCCTTTTATATCTGGAGCACAGCAGGTGCTTAATAAATGCATCTAGAGAAAAATATTAAGGTGTGTTTTTATAAGATTCCAGAATGAGAAACAGAGGTCACTGTATTCATTCTCCAGAAAAGGGGTCCCAGCTTTAGACTAGGCTATGGAGGACTGTTGGGGCAGACTTCTTGCAGGGTTTTGTTCCCATGAAGATCCGTGGGGCCTGAAATTAGCACAGCAGGGAAGTGCAATAGCCCTACTTTAGGGAAGGAGGAGGGTAAAAATAGGGTGTGTGTCCCTGAGATTAGTTTCCTGGATCAGCTCTATGGGTCCATGTTTGAGCACCAGGGAGAGAGGAGTTGCAGGTAGAAGTTATTTCCAAAAAGACCACAGAGCTGTGAATACAAAGTGAGGGAGATGAACATTTGTCCCATTTATAGATCGGAAAAAGGTGTGACTTTGGTTGTGATAGTATTTCTTGTTCTGACAGCTTGATATTATAAACAGGCAGCACCCTTGGCTAGATCAAGGGATTTCTCCTGGTGGACAGTGAGAGCCCTGAGTAGGATGGGGCACTCTCAAATGCAAGAAACAGGAAGCCTCACAGGATGGGCCGAACAAGAAAGAAGCAACATGGTAGACATCATGTAGAAGTGGATAGCACCCTTTCTGAGCTTACATACAATGCCACTTGGAGACATCTAGAAAAAACTGAATGAGACTTGGAGGAAGACTGGAGTCCTGCCTTAACAGGTAGAGGAATGAGGCAGCAAACCACATGTGATTATTATAAATAGAACCTCATTTGTGCCTGCAGGCTGTTCAATTTCTCCAGGTCTGGGGAAACATCAGTTACACACTCTGCTTAAACTCTAAATTACTCTTAGGGGTCTGAGGTAATTTCCAAAGACGGGTATCCCTATGCTTCTTTTGTGTATTTCTTCCCTTACTTCTGACACACTGTTGGCAAGTAAGTCCCCTTGTTTCATTGTCTCAAATATTCCTCAAATTCACTTCCTCCTTCCTCAGTTTTATTCTGGGTGCATGAGGAATAGGGTCCACTTCTTCAGGCATTTAGGGTGGTATAAGAGCTAACCTATGCCCTATATTATGTTAAGTGCAGGAAATCTAAGGAGCTATAAAGCATAGACTTTTCCCTTCAAAATTTTGTGGTGTGATTTCAACCACACATCTTAAGACTCCTCGAAACTCTGTTAAAGAATGAATGGAACTACTCATTTACTCATTCACTCATTCACTCAACCAATCAACTAATAAACATGCTCTGAGAACTCTCCTGACCTTGAGGCTGGCTCCTGGGGACACACAGCCCCTGTGCTTGAGGTGCTTCTGATCTGGGGATACAAGTCCACAATAGAGAGTTGGGCACTGAGTAGCCTCCACTGTTGACAGTGGGCAAGCTGAAAGGACAATGCAAATTATTTTTGTAAAAATATATTCCCTAAGCCATTTGTCAGATGATTTCTTTTACTCATCCTCTTCCGTGCAAGATGTGCCTGATTGATGTGGATAAGGGATCGGGTCCACTTCAAGGTCCCCTTCAGAGGCAGTGTAGAGTAAGGAAAGAGCACAGGCCTCAGGCCTAGATCATCTTGGGTTTCAATCCCAGTCTACCATTGATTAGATTTGTAACTTCATTCAAATCACTTCACCTCCCTGAATCTCAACTTCTTCGTGTGTAAAAAGGAGCTGATTTATGCAAAGTGTATAGCATAGTCCTGGGCATAAATAGGTACTCAGTAGATGGAAGCTATTATTTTATTCAAAATTTCAGCTTTGGCAAAATTTATTAGTGTTCAACAAATAAATGAACTTTACTGTGATGAGCTACTGAGATTTGGGAGTTTTTCTGTATTAATGGCCTAGCCCAGCCTATACTGACTAGCACAAAGGGCAGGGATGTGGTCTTCTCATGTTCTCTCATCTGAGGCAACCAGTTCAGAGCTGCTTGCTCGTTTATTTTATTTGTTTCCCTTTTAAATTCCAAGTCTCAAATTTGACCTTTGGACGATGCTAGTTGGTAAAAGGCCCAGGTTTTCCCACATGCTGATTGTCTGCTGTGCTTGTCCAGTGTCTACATATGGAGTGGGACAACAATGCTTGTAACTGATCCTGCGTGGAGGCCTCTTCCTCCCTCCCTTTTTCCCCCATCCCTGGTTCTCTGGAAAGTATCAGGAATAAACAAGAGCACATGTGGCACAGCATTCCTCTCTCTGGCTCTGTCGCCAACAGATGGGACACAATAGGTGTTCCTCTGGAGCTCTGATTCTCAGCAGATTGGGAGTGCAAGGTAGTGGGTGGGGGTGGGGGTGGTGGATGCTAGATGGAGCAAAACTCAAGTTCTTCAGGTCAAACGCATGTGTGTCATGGAATCTGAGGGCCCGAAGGAACTGCTAAGACCATTCAACATTGGTACATAGTTTATCTGGGACAGATTGGGGAGGAGAACTGCCCACAGTCACATAGACCTCTAGTGAGAAAGCCAGGACCTCAGACTCAAGCCTTCTGAATCCCAATTTTGTGCCTTCTGTATGTTCCTGGACAGCTTTGCTCAAGCATTTACAGTGGCTTCCTATTTTTAACTGTTTCAAATTCAAATGTTCTGGTCTGATAATTAGGGTCTAAGATCTGATTCTCACTTTACCTTTCTAGGTTTATTTCAAACTCAATGAGCAACTTGGATTGGTACATCCTGCTCTTGAAAATTTGATCTACAATTTCAACTAGTATTTTTTTAAGTCCCCCTCTTCTCTGATTTCTATTCTAGGATCCCCGTTTCCTAGTTATGTGTGTCTGTCTTCTTGATTCTACTCTGTCTTGCCCAACTCTGGTTTCTGTGAGGTCCAACCCTCTCTACTAGAGTGGCTTTTGGGTGCATATCTAGGAAGAGCACATTGTGTTGCAACAGATAGGGTATGTACGGAGTGGGTGGGATCTGATTTTAGAGCCTCCTGCTAGAGGGGTTGACACAGCAGTGTCCAGGGCATGGCTATCTCTGATCACAGCCCAAGAGGCAGGCATCAAGAGGGTCTGAGATGAAAGATAAGGAACCGTTCAGCAAGGTCTTACACAGGGATTGGGTAACTGTGAGAGGTGACTTGGAAGTTCAGGAAGAAAGGCAAACTCAGGAAGGTCCATCCAGAAGTCAGGGCAGCATAGTCAGGAAACATGATGAGAGGCCACTACCTGAAGTTGAGACAGATAATAAGTGTGGGTCTGTTGTGTGGCTGGGATCTTACAGGTGGGGAATTGTCTTTGTGGGCATCAAAATGGACAGAAGTTCCCAGGGATGAGTCAGGCCAAGAGGCATATTTCTCAAGGCTGAAAGTTGTCCAGTGAAAACTACAAAGCTGGATTCAGAATATCTGAAGTCTTAGAAAAGGGAATTCGTGCTGTGTGATGGGGGAGAGGATGAGTATGATTTTAGGTGAATAGTCATTTTGGGGCTATGGGTCATGAACAGAAGGAGGAAGTAGATTAGGAGGTTCTTAATTCACAATAAGGACTCTGGATCAGATATTCCTATTTCCCCCACCTGCTCCTGGACAACACTGCGCTGGCCTAGACAAACTCAGTAATTTCTTAATTTATTTATTCATCAAACACTCTCTAGAGTCTGCTCTGTGCCAAATCCTGGGCTAAACACTGGGGAAACAGCAGTGAATCAGATACATTCCCAACCTTTAAGGATTTCATTTCTGGGAGAAAAACATTCTCCCATTACTGGGTATATACCCAAAGGATTATAAATCATGCTGCTATAAAGACACATGCACACATATGTTTATTGCGGCACTATTCACAACAGCAAAGACTTGGAACCAACCCAAATGTCCAACAATGATAGACTGGATTAAGAAAATGTGGCACATATACACCATGGAATACTATGCAGCCATAAAAAATGATGAGTTCATGTCCTTTGTAGGGACATGGATGAAGCTGGAAACCATCATTCTCAGCAAACTATCGCAAGGACAAAAAACCAAACACTGCATGTTCTCACTCATAGGTGGGAATTGAACAATGAGAACACATGGACACAGGAAGGGGAACATCACACACTGGGGACTGTTGTGGGGTGGGGGGAGAGGGGAGGGATAGCATTAGGAGATATACCTAATGCTAAATGACGAGTTAATGGGTGCAGCACACCAACATGGCACATGTATACATATGTAACAAACCTGCAAGTTGTGCACATGTACCCTAAAACTTAAAGTATAATAATAATAAAAAAAATGGAGTGATAAGTGCTTTGAGAGACGGAAGACAAGGGGGCTGTTGAAACACAGAAGAGGCACCTAACCCAGATTGGAGGCAAAGTGAGGTAGTCAGAGGGAGTGGATTAGGAAGTTTCTAAAAGACGGTAATGTCTGCTGAGAGACATGAATTCAATATATGAAGAAGAAACAGTGTCATATTGTTTTAGAGAAATACAGGCAGGCTTGTGAGATGAACTGGCAGAAAAACAAAACAAAAAAACTTCAGTTCATGAGTGGAAATAAGCAATGGGAAAATCAAGTAGGTTGTTCTTAGATGTCCAGATTTGTAAGCACATGGCATTAGGGAGGTCTGGACTCTTGGTTGAGGTTCAAGAGAAGAGAGAAGTGATTCCAGGCTCCCAGGAGGAGGCTGACCTCATCTAAAGGGAGCCTAGGCTTGATGATGGAAGCCTCACGTATTATCTCATTTATTGTTTACTATATCTACAACCTGGCCACCAGGGCTCTCTGCACTAGGGTTTGAGCTCAAATTTCCAGCTAAGAGTAAGGTGTTGCTTTGCTTCTCATGGGTCAGACTTTGTGTATTTCCCTTCCTTGAAGCCTTGGTGGAAAGTAATAACTGGTGATGGAGCAGAATTGGGTAAGGTGGATCCTAGTACTAGACTTACTATTCTTCCTGTGTAGACTTCTTTGCTCCTTCTCTTCTGGCTCTGATGGAGACATTTTGGGTAGCTTTTTTTTTTTTTCAAATCAAGGCTCAGGAGAGGGCTCTGGGAGAAAAGGACCTTCATTTTAGTTCAGCTCAGCTCAGTCATGTTATGCACTGGGATTTGGAGCCAAAATCCTAGGTAATAATAATAATAACTAACTTCTCCTCTCTTGTGAATATATTTGCCTCAAGGAGTTGCCAGGGAGAATTGGCTGAGATGAGGTTAGATTTGGGTATTTTTGAATCCCCTGGCAAAATCCTGTCATGATGTTATTTCAGCAACACCTTCAGCAATATTGCTGTCAAGTAGTTTTAGCCAGAGACTGATTGTCCCCCAGTTCCCTGTCAACCTCCTCCTTGGGACCTTGAATCTCTTTGCTCTTCTCTTGATCTTCAGCCAAGAGTTTAAACCTCACTGGTGTAATTTACTTGCTAACATTAACATTTAAGGACTTCCTGCTTATTTTCCCATCACTGAATTCTGCTCATTTGCTACTTTTTAAAAATATTTTTTAATTGACATATAATAATTGTACATATTCATGGGAAACATAGTGATATTTTGATATATATAATATATAGTGATCAGATCAAGGTAATTAGCATATCCATCATCTCACACTTATTTCTTTGTGCTGGAAACATTCAATATCATTGTTCTAGCTGAAATTATATAACTATTATTGTTAACTATAGTCATCCTACAGTGGCATAGAGCCCTAGAACTTATTCCTCCTATCTACCTGTAATCTTGTATCCTGTAGCAAATCTCTCCCTATGTATGAGATCAACTTTTTTTTTTTTTTTTTTTAGCATCCACATATGAGTGAGAACATGCGGTATTTAACTTTCTGTTCCCGGCTTATTTCACTTTACAGAATGTCCTCCAGCTTCTTCCATGTTGCCATAAATGACAGGATGTCAGTCTTTTTGATGATTGACTAGTATTCCATTGTGTATATACACCACATTTTCTTTATCCATTCATCTGTTGTTGGACACCTAGATCTACATCTTGGCTGTTAACAGTTCTGCAATAAACATGGTGGTGCAGATGTCTTTTTGATATACTGATTTCCTTTCCTTTGGATAAATGCCCAGTAGTGGGATTGCTGGATCATGTAGTAGCTCTATTTGTACTTTTTTGAGGAAACTCCATACTGTTCTCCACAGTGGCTGTACTAGTTTACATTCCCATCAACGGTGTATAAGAGTTCCCTTTTCTCCACATCCTTTCCAGCATTTATTATTTTTGTCTTCTCAATAATAGCCACCCTCATGGGTGAGATGATACCTCATTGTGGTTTTCATTGGAATTTCCTTAATGATTAATGACATTCAGCATTTTCCATATATTTTTTGGTCATTTGTATGTCTTTTGAGAAATGTCTGTTCAGATCATTTGCTCATCTTTTGTTGGGACTCCAGGGACTGATTATTCCAACAATAATGGTGAATTTTTCAAACAAACAGGTAGGGTACTTGACCTCATGCTTAGTTACATTTTCCCTTTCATGTTTTCCTTCACTGTTAAACAGAACAGTGAGTTGAATACCAGAAATTCAACCAGGGTGAGTAAATTACCAAGGTAATAGCAATAATGGCCATTTGTAGAACAGTGTGGTATGATGGAAAGAACAGGAGTCAGTAGGAACTAATTTTGAATCTGTGCTTAGTTAACCAGCTCGGTAGCTTTCAACAAGTGACTTCACTCAGTTTCCTTATCTAAAAAAAAATAGGTGTCATAATTCCTACCAGATAAGTTTTTTGAGAGAAGTAAACTATATTTAATTCCTCAAGGGTTGAGTGCATAATATATTCTTCATATACTCAGTATCTATAGAGCACCTGGCACACAGTAGGTAGAAAGTGAAAGATAGCAGTTAGTAATATTTATTTGGGAGAGAATATATTATAAACATCCAGGCAAATCAAGAAAGAGAACGATCATCTTGTTCTTCACTGTATGGATCTCAAAATCAGAAAGGCAGATGGGTTAAGAGTTCAAGGCAGTTCTAATTACAACGCTAATGTTATTAGCTGTTAATTATCTGCATGTTGCTATCAACTTAGCTCAGTCAGATGTGGTCTCTCTTTCTGAAAGCAAATCTTGGTTCTCTAAAATATCTCTAATGTAATTAATATATTTCATTACCTTTGTTCTGGCATTAGCTGCTCAAACTAAACAAAACATGGGCAGATTTTGGCCACTTATTGAGGAACTGTTTTGTGTGTGTGTGTGTGTGTGTGTGTGTGTGTGTGTGTGTGTGTGTGTAGAGAGAAAGAGAGAGAGACAGACAGACACAGACAGACAGAGACAGAGAGCTAGACAGAGATGTCGCCAGCTCTGTTGATTATGGATTTTGCTATATAGAATTACAGTTAAATGCTTATGTCAGATTAGCAGTGGTTAGCTGGGGAGAAGGTTGTATACAAGTTGAGGACTAAAGGTAACCTTTGAAATAGTTGCACTGTTGCTTTTTGGATGGGCAGATACGATTTGAAGTCCCTTGATCATATCTGAGATCATCCTTTTATGGCAGAACAGCCAGATTTTGCTTTGCCAAGTCAATCTAAAAAGTAACTCAAACAGAACTGTGGTGGGGCCTGGCCTCTACATTCAGGTACTTGTAGGAATAAGATAAGGAATAGGTATATGTTGAATGAGGTATAATAAGAATTTGAAATACCTTTTAACCAGATAACTACAAAGGCAAGAAACTTATCATGTTTCTAAAGAGAGCAAGGAAATGCCAGCCTGTAACCCTCAGGTTTAAGGGTCAACTCTCATTTCCCTCAAGGATTATGGTAACTAGTCCCTATAATCAATAAGAAACCTCTGGTACCCTCTGAACTTTTGTAAGAATCTTGAAAGATGCTTCTTCATGTGTACATACAGTAATTCAACAAATGTTTGAACACCAACTATGTGCCCAGCAGAGAGATGAATAAGATATGGTTCTGTCTGTAAAGCGTCCACAATCTAATGAAGGAAAAAGATATCATAGTATGCAGTAGTATGATACATGCTACGATAGAGGTTTGTGCAAACCACTGTGAAAGCACAGAAGATATACCTACATCTGTCTAGGCAAGGAGGGGCTTAGAGAATGCCCTCGAAGGTGGTCACGATGAATAGGAATTAACTAGATCAACAAGTGTGAAGGAAGTCATTTGAGGCTGAGGGACCAACATGTGCAAAAGCCTGGAAATGAAATAGAAGTTAGTCCATTCTAGGAACTGTAAATACTTGAGAATAGTTTGAGCACAAAGAAGAAAAACTGGGAAAAAAAATGAGGAGGGGTGTTTGCCCAAGTGCTTTATGAAAGCCAGAGATGAGCGCCCACCCCTCTCCCAACGTATGACATTTTGAATGTTGCTATTTCCTGCCCCTAAAGATCCTTTATCACTGGAATAGTGGTATTCTGTTAAGTTTAGGCCTCAGCCTATCCACTTAAAAAGGTACCTGGTTGACTAGCCTCCAGAATCAAATGAGATAGTGGATACAAAGAACGTAACATAATCCTGTCACTCCATGGAGTCAGAAGACCTGTTTAATCACTAGCTTTGACATTTAGGGCCCAAGTGTGAACTTGGGAAAAAGCTATTTAACTAGCCTGAACTTCAGTTTCTTTATTTATCAAATGGGTGTGCTTATGGAGAGGATTCAATAAAATAATTTTCTATCATTCAATATATAAACCGAGTTTTGCTGCTTAAGCAAAATGGTTTATTAGTATTAATCCTGTGGGTATCTGGACCCCTGTTCCATTTATGCATGTGTCCAGATCAAGTTGTCTAACTTGCCACACTGATGAGCTTGAGTTCTCCCAACAGCTTTGGTCAACTAGAATCCCAGCTGACCATACAGGCTGGCTCTTTGCTGCCCCCACCTGTCTGGAGCCAGCTTCCACAGTAGCAACAGGACTGGAAGCCCAGCCTGGTGCTGCAGCTTTGGCCTCCCTCCCACACATCCTGATATGTCAGGAATAGAAAGTGCAGCACCTAGGACTAACCTCAGCTCATACCCCTTCCCAGTGTGTGTTTTTGTGTGCTTGCAGATGCACCTGGGAGATGCAGATCCATTTTGGGTGAATGGTGGAGGCTGTGTAGTCAGTAGGCAAAAAGCTAATACGTTCCTGTTTGTCCAGAGCCTCAGTGACTTCTTAAGCACCTGAGAGTCTGCAGTCTTACCGGAAACATTCCCGAGATTAGGTCAAATTCATATCTGATAGTCAAATTTGGAAAGGCCACCATTCTCCTTCAGAAGCAAATGATTTCACCAGCTCCATCTTCCAGCCGGAAACATTCCCGAGATTAGGTCAAATTCATATCTGATAGTCAAATTTGGAAAGGCCACCATTCTCCTTCAGAAGCAAATGATTTCACCAGCTCCATCTTCCAGCTGCGTAAATTAGTTAATTACAAAGGCTGTAATTTGCAATCAATATTATCTCCGTGGCATCTACTTCACCGAAGGAAAATATTTATGGCCATATTTGAAAAGGGGCATATTGCCTTAATTGGGAGCCATACATGAAACATTGCACTAAGTGACTCTTAGGGCACTGATGTCAGTTTTTGCTTTTTTGGTCTGGGAGGTTTGGGGGAGAAAACACAGGCAGATTCTAGATAAAGGCCCTGATTTTCACAAGATAAAAACAGCCACAGACACTGATCCTCAGACACAAATCCTAAACACAGAGAAATGCTTTATGCACAAAGATGCCTGTGATTGAATTTTTTATAATGGTGAAAAAATATGCACTTAAACGTTCAACCAAACAGTTATTTACTTACTTATTTACTTGATGGAATATTATCTAGTCTTAAAAACAATGGTTATGAACAACTATATATTAACATGGAAAATTCTAATACTGTAATATTAAGAGAAAAAAGAGTAAGAAAAATACTAGATATTTGACATCTTCTTTATAATATGCATGCAAAAAACAGCCTGGAAAGAAATACATCAATATAGCAACGGTGATAGTTTTTGAGCATTTTAAGTTTATTTTTTCATGTGTTTTTCTTGAATAGACATATATTGATTGGCAAGCAGAGGAAATGATTTGTCATAATGGCAACCCCACAAAGTCACTATATTCCACATCCTGGAGTGAGGAAGCTAGCCTGCATCATGGAAATATATTTTCCTTCAATTAGGAAGCAAGTATTAAAAATATATACAATGGACTGGATGCTTGTCTTTGCCCTCAAAGCTTCATGAAATATTGAAGAAGGACAACTCTGCTGCTGTGTGAAAGAGGCTCGTACAGACAGTTTTCTCCTAAATCAGCCTGGGTGGTCAGTGAAGGCTTCCTAGAGATGACGATATTGAAAATAGATTTTGAAGGATAAGGAGGCAGATAAGGAGATAAAGCATTCTGGAAAAATAAAACAGGACAAAAAGGTATGGAAGTGTGAAAGAATCTGTTATGTTTTGGGGAATAACCAGTGCTTAGTTGTGGCTAAAATGCTGGGTGCATGAAAAGGAGTGATAAAAGGGGTCATTAGGCCAGATTCTGAAGAGCCTTGAATGCCAGTGTAAAGCAGCCCTTCTCTGAGAAAGGCTAGAGAGGTTGGCATTTATCCTGAGGGCAATAAGGAAGCATCAAAAGTGTTAAGCAGGGTCAGGAAGTGGCCAGAGTCATATGCCAAGAAGGTCTCTCCGGCTGCAGCATGGACTTGGGAATGGATTTAAGGGGTGGATTTGTGGGGGATACAGATACAGGTTGAAGGTAGAGAGGCCAATTTGGGGACTACAGCAGTAGTTCTGGTGAAAGTTGCAAAGTGTGAACCAAGGAATGCTAGACTTACAAGAGCCCCTGGAAATCTTCTAGTCCAGTGTTTGCATTTGACATTGGAGGAAAAACAAGCTCCAGAAGGGGAAGAACTTTTATTTGTAAGGAGTTCTTTGCAAGACTCTTAATAGGCTTTAGCCCATCCACCAATGTATGGTGTTTCTGTTCTCTTTAAAGTGTTCTTGCCAATAGGTGGTCCAGCTTTTGCTCACACACATCCAGTGATGGGGATCTTGCCACCTAAGAAAGCTGATAGTAACCCCACTCTTGATTCAAATGGTTCTTCTATTGAGCCTAAAATGGGCTCTCTTAAGCTCTGCTCTCCAATCATAGTATTCCCTCATGTAGCCACACAAAGCCATTCTGCTGCCTTCTGCATTGTGCTGTGTGTTTTCATGCTGATTGTCTAATTCAACCTTCCTAACTTCCATTCTAAGTAAGCACAATTATTATTTCTACTTTACAGGTGGAAAAATTGAAACAAGAAATTACATGGAACAAGGATAAGGTCTTTTCTCTGGGTTTTCTATTTGTTATCCTCAGGTTATTTTGACTCCAGTGCTATAGTTCTGAGTACTGTCTGGGCCCTGGGACTTCCTTAGAAAACACTCTCATTTAAGGTTTGAAGATCTGAACTGAATATCGGGTTCCCCAGAGACCTATAACTGGTACAGAATATAGAGGCATCATCACTCCTTGTGATGGTTAATTTTATGTGTCACCTTGACTGGCTATGAGGAGGTACACAAATATTGGATCAAACATTATTTTGGGTGTTTCTGGGAGGGCATTTTTGGATGAGTTTAACACTTAAATTGATAAATGTTAAACTATGCTTTATTGTTGAGTAAAGCAGATTGCCCTCCGTAATGTGGGTGGGCTTCATCCAATCAGTTGAAAGTCTGAATACAACAAAAGGCTAAATAAGAGAATATTATTCCCTGAATAAGAGGCAACTCCTCTTACCTCCCTGATTTTGAACTGGGAAACCAGCTTTTTCCCTGCCTTCAAACTCCAACCGAAATATCAGCTGTTCCTAGGTCTTGAGCCTGTCAACCTTTGGACTGGAACTATAGTTGGCTCTACCTAGTTCTCAGGCCTTTGAACTCAGATTAGAGCTATACCATTAGGGGACTTAATAAATGATAAAGTTTCTGCACAGCTAAAGAAATAACAGGGTAAACGGACAAGCTACAGAATGGGAGAAAATATTTGCGAAATATGTGTCTGACAAAGGACTAATATCCAGAATCTACAATAAACTCAAACAATTCAACAAGAAAAAAAACCAAACAATCCCATTAAAAAGTGGACAAAGGATGTGAACAGATATTTCTCAAAAGAAGACATACAAGTGGCCAATAAACATATGAAAAAATGCTCAACATCACTAATCATCAGAGAAATGCAAATTAAAACCACATTGAGATATCATCTTACACCAGTAAGAATGGCTATCATTAAAAAGCAAAACAACAACAGATATTAGTGTGGATGTGGAGAAAAGGGATATGTTGATGGAAATGTAAATTAGTATAACATCTATGAAAAACAGTATGGGGATTTCTCAAAGAACTAAAAATAGAACTACCATTTGACCTAGCAATGTCACTACTGGGCATCTACCCAAAAGAAAATAAATCATTGTTTCAAAAAGACACATGCACTTATATTTTTATCACAGCACAATTCACAATTGCAAAGTCATGGAATCAGTCTAAGTGTCCATCAGTGGCTGGCTGGATAAAGAAAATGTGGTATATATACACCATGAAATACTATGCAGCCATGAAAAGAATGAAATCATGTCCTTTGCAGCAACATGGATGGATCTGGAGACCATATTCCTAAGTGAAATAACTCAGAAACAGAAAGTCAAGTACCACATGTTTTCACTTACAAATGGGAGCTAAACAATGGACACATATGGATATAAAGATGAAAATAACAGACACTGGGGACTCCAAAAGCTGCGAGAGTGGGAGGAGGGGGAACGTTAAAAAATGACCTGTTGGGGACAACATTAACTCTATGGTTGATGGGTACACTAGAAGCCCAAACCTCACCATTATGCAATATATCCATGTAACAAAACCTGCACATGTGCCCCTGAATCTAAAATTTTTAAAAATTAGAGATATTAAGAAAGTGAAAAGGCAAGCAACAACAGGGGAAAGCATTGACAATAATATAATTAGCAAATGATTTATATCCAAAATATATTAAGAACTCATACAAATCCATAACAAAGAGACGATCCAATTTTGGTAAGAGCAAAAGATTGAACAGACATTTCACAGAAGAAGATATTTGAATGTCCAATAAACTCATGAAAAAGTGTTGAACATCATTACTTGTTAGGGAAATGCAAATTAAAGCCATAAGGAAATACTACTAAACACTCACTGGAGTAACAAAACTCAAAAGGAGTGACAATATCAAGTATTGACAAAGGTATGGAGCAATTGGACAAAACTGGGAGGAGTTATAAAATGATACAAACACCTTGGAAAACTGGAAGTTTCTTATATAATTGATTCTGCAATTATATTCCTGGCTACTTATCCAATGAAATCAAAACATATATTCACAAAAAAGACTTGTTCAAGAATGATGATAGCATATTTTTCCAGAAAAGCCAAAAACTGAAAACAATTCAAATAGGTGAATGGATAAACAAATTATGGTATATTATGAGCAATGGAATGCTAAAGAAGACTAAAAAGGAATAAACTATTGATACATGCAACAATCTGGATGAATCTAAAAAATAATATATTGAGGAAGCAATCGGACCTAGAAGAGCACATGCTATATGATTTGATTTATGTGAAGTCCAATTGTTCCAGCACCATCTGTTGAAAAGATAATCCTTTCTTCATTGAATTGCCTTTGCATCTTTGTTCAAAATCAATTGACCATATTTGTGTGGGTAGAACTCTCTACTCTGCTCTATTGATCTAAATGTATATGTCTTTGTCAATACCACACTGTCTTGATTATATTAACTTTACAGTAGTTATTACAATTGAGTATTGTGATTCCTCCAAATAAACAAACAAACAAAATAAACTACACCATTGGCTCTCCTGGGACTCCAGCTTGCTGACTGCAGGCCTTGGAACTTGTCAGTCTTCATAATTGCATGGCCCAGTTCTTTATAGCATACACACACACATCTTACTGGTTCTGTATCTCTGGAGAACTCTGACTAATAAATATATCCCTCCTTGTTTTATAATTAGACTTCTATTAACACAGACTTTGATCACATTGGCCTTTTTGGCATCCACATTGCCTAAGTGGCATCAGAGTTGACCTAATGAATTTGAGAGATAGAATGCAAACCTAGGTCTCATGGTCCCAGCCCAGGACCTTTTCATTCCATTGCATTGCACCAAACATACCAGGACTATTCGATAGAAAACATTCTTATTCCTTGTACCACTCTTCTGGCACCAGACTTCCCAAGATTCTAGAAGTGACTTGGTTTTCTAATACATCTAACTATTCACTACATGTTTATTTATTAATAGAGCAAATATTTTCTTCCTTCTAATAGTGTGTTTTACAGTAGGCACAGTCAGGAAGCAAACTCTAAGAAGCAATTTTGATTTCCCATCACCATCTATCACCTCTGGTTCCCTCTGTTATGTCTAACACTGCTCAGTAGGCTGGAACACAGTGCCAAATAATTAACCAACATCCCCTGCTAAGTAAGCCAGCCCTAGCTGGAGGCCTATGCACACTCCAAGGTTGGCTAGACTCCAACACCAGGGGAAAGGTCAGCTGGGGCAGACTGAGTACTCTGGTGATTTAAAGGTGCAAGTCCTTACCAATCACCTTTCCTGATTCTCTCCTTCTTCTTTTCCCAAGGCCTCTGTTTAGAATGTACTTCACCTTTGTTGTCTGCCTGAGAAGTTCCCATTTTCCCCTCAAAACCCAGCTTCAATGCCTCCTGCTTAGGAAAAGCTTCCTGCCCCTTCCTTGCTGCTCACACAGCACCCTGCACACATTTCTACTTGGCTATGACTATTGTACTGCATTGCTTCACTTCTCCTTGTCCTCCTTTAGACTTTCTCTAGGTCAGGAATAAATCTGATTCTCCTGTTTCCCAGTGGCCAACACAAAATATGGAACAGAAGAGGTACCAAAGCATGTGTAATGCATGGATGAATAATTGAACAAATGAATGTTGATATCACTTGAATTTCAGGTCTATTTATTTCATCTCTGAATTAAGGAACCTCTGCTAGGCCTTAGTTTTGGCATCTGTAGAATGGGAATATCTGCTTATCAGAATCGTTACCAGGAATACATAAGAGAAAAGGATGGTGGGACAAAAGGTGTGTGTGTGTGTGTGTATATGTGCACATGTCATTAGGATAGTTTCCTTCTCCCAAGATGTGTCAATAAGACTGTGAGCCCTCCAAGAGCCATGTGTTTCTTTGAGCCTTTCTCTCTTCCTCCCTCCCTTCTTTCTTCCTTCTTTTCCTCTGTTTTCACTGAACACCTAATATATGCCACTGGGAATGTAAAGAAAGGAAAGTCAAACCTATTTTTCTGCTTTTAAGTGGCTCACAATGGGGGAGTCATATATAAGATGACAGTCACAAACCAGCACACCAAGAGCTAGGACCTAAAATACATGGGGGTCATGTGAGCATGGATGAAGAACATTCACCATAACCCACATGATCAGAGCAGACTTTTCTTATGAAGACTTAACCTCTAATAAATGGGAGTCAGTTAACTGAAGGCACAGGAATAGATAGGTTAGGAAGAGCAGTAAGAAAGAATGGAGGACATCAGAAAGTTCAGAGTGCAGAGTGTTAGGGTGAGGGGTGGTAGAGGAGATAGTGGTTGGGTAAATGTTAAAATGTAAGACTGGAGAGGCAGACAGAGGTCAGTCACACAAGGCTTTATTAGCTCTAGTGAGGTATTGGTGTTTAGATGCAGGTCAGTGGGAGTTGGGGGAGGAATCTACTTGCTGGAGTAGCATGCCTAGATTTGCTCTCCAAAGGAACAAACAAGATCCCAGTGGAAGAAGAACAACTAGGGGTAAAAAGGCTCTAAACCTGACATCCTTGGGATAAAAGCTAATGGCTGGGGAGCTTGGCCTGGAGAAGAGATGACTTGGAGGTAGGCCAGGTTACTGCCTTCAAAGCTGAGGGGCTACGGGGGCAAGCGAGGAAGCAGATGTGCTCTGCGTGCTCCAGAGAGCAGTGCTAGAACAAGTGGGTGTGACTGGCTGACCTGGAATCTCAGCTCTGCAACTACCTGTGTAAAACTGGCAAATCTCTTAACCTTACTGAGCCTCAGTTTCTCCATTTATGCAATTAGAACTGTAATACTGACCTCAGCACATTGCTGTAAGGATTTAATGTGAAGATGTACATCAAGTGCCTAGCACATGTTTGGCACATGGGAGATGCTCATGTTAGGCTCTTTATGACTCTAAAATGAATACTGAGATGGGTGAGAAACATACCGGCAGGGGTAGCTTGGAGGGAGGAGGGAAACAAGAATAATTTCAGCTTCGAACACAAACACAATTCTCTTCGCTTCCTATTTTGGGAATTGCTGCGGAGGCCAGGAGGGAGGGAAAGATTCCGATTTTAGCGCAACCCGCCTTCTCACTGGGTCTGTGACTTCCAATACTCCAACCAGCCTCTGGAGTCAGTTTTATAGAAGATTCTGTCCCTGAACTGTCCTGATGGTATCAGAGGTCTTAAGGGTCAATTTAAATATCCCACCTCAGAAAAGCCCTCCTTGATATCCCAGCATAACTAGGACTTTGTGGCACAATATCTTATTGCACCATTTATTTTTTCTTTGCCCTGATTAGAGTTTGTCTGTATATATTTGTGTGATTGTTTAATACTTTCCACCTTCCCCCATGTAAGCAGAGACTATTGATATTTTATGATGTTTTCTATTGTATTCCCAGTGCCCAGAGGAGTGCTTGGCGTATAATAGGTATTTTATTCGCTCATTGACTAAGTGAATAAGTGCATAAATAAAGGAACAAGTAGGAACCAAGGGGAAAGGGCATTTTCCTCAGAAGAAAGAGCATGAGCAAAGGCAAAGAAGTGGTAAAATGCATCATATATGCAAGTACCAAGTGAAAAACTCAGAGCATCTAAGAGATAAAAATGGAAATATCTCTTGGAGGTAGTCTGTATGTGTCTCTCAGTGCCCTGTTAATGACATTGCACTGTCTTCTATGGGCAATGGGGAGACAAGGAAGGTGCTTAAGCAGGGAAGTCCTGTGCTGGAAGATTTAGGGGGGAAGAAATGAAAGGAAGGACTTCTCCACTGCTTTCAGACTCCGTGGCTTTGCCCTCTGCTTGTCTAGGACCTTCATTTTGGATCTCAGAGCCCTTCTACCTTCACCCACAATTCAAAGTGACAGGGACTTTCTCTTATAAACGATCCCTTTATTGCATTTAAGCCCCAAGCTTCAAGGAACAACTTCTTCCCTAAAATCTCAGGTAATGAGGATCTCCCTCCTGTCACTCCTTTGATAACCCTTCCCTCTACAGTCAATCTTTAGCTTGCTTCAGAAGATGAGAGTCCCAAGCCAGCCTCAGCTACTATCACATGCTTCAGTCTCACATTCTGTAAAATGGGGCTGATGATAATTGCATTATACCAATTGATAATTGGTAGGATAATTAAACAAAATAAAAGGTGTGAAGGAGTTTGCTGAATTGGCTGGCACTGTTAAAGCCATGTACCATCACCATGAACTACTGAAACTGGCATTCTGGGCCAGAGAACTGGCACACATTAGCAAAACATGTATGTGAGCTACAATCCCAGTCCACCACCTGGTTCCTTTGCACCCCACACCCAACCAAAAGCAGGTTTGTGGTGGGAGATAATAAGCTTCATTCAAAGAGACTCCAGAGCCTAGGAATCAGATGAACTTCAGGTTAAGAAAATTTGGAAATGGCCTCATGGCCCAAGAAAGAAGATATAAAGCAAGAGGAGGCTGGAAAGTTAGAGGTTACAAACACCTCCAGATAGTGGATTGAATAAAGGTCTAGGCAGGAGAAGAATAAGTTTTATCTTGTTCCCCTTAATTGTTTCCATGATTTTGATTCCATGCCAGCATATTGCCTATTTGAGCCCAACCTTCTGAACCCTAAAAGACTTAACAAACGCTGAGTCTTTCTGGTTAACAGGAAACCTTCAAGGATCTGGCTCCAATGTCCTTCCCACCCTCATCTTCCATTGCATCACTTCACACTCTCCTCTTATCCCCATGCCCCGGAGTCTGCTACATGGGACTATTCACCAGTCCTCAAATAGGCTCTGCACTCTTTCACCACTATGCTTTTCCCACTGCCTGAATATTCTTTCCCCCTCTATCAAGATCAAGATAAGTCAAGATCTCAAACAAGTCAAGATCTTGTTTGTCCTTCAAGATTCTGGACAAATGCTATGTTTTCTTTGAAATTACCCCTGATTTCTTAAATCAGAATTACCATTTTTGTATTGCCTCAGTATGCTATTACTGTACTATACTTTCATTTGGTAGAAAGTCTGCAGTATTTGAATTTTAGTTGGTTGCTTCCATGTCTTTCCTCCATTATACTGTCTCTGCATCTTTACTGACTAGAGCAGGTCTCGATATAGCCAAGGTGCTTAGTAAATTCATGCTGAAGCAAATGAAAGAGGAGTAATAGGGAAAGTAATTCTTATCTCTCACAAAATGGCATGGCAAGCACTTTGTAAATATTAACTCTTATAATCCTGGCCTCTCCCTAGCTTCCCAGGTCATGGGTCTTTACATACAGCCAACATCTGCTTATGCTACAGAAAAGCCCCAGAAGCCTACTGGGGTGAAAGCTCTGGTCTTGTGTCTTCACACTGTTGGCCACCATCCACACTGCTATCGTTTTCTTGGCTCTCAGATTGTCTGGCTCCATGTCCTTGCTCTGGATAACTGCCCCATGCAGTTATCAACTTCAACTCAAGGCAAACATAATTTCTTGAGTAACTACTGTGTGCAGACATGTAGTTCTGCATGCTTCCTTGTTTAGGAAGCCCTTTTAAGCGGGTTGCAAGCAAGAAACAGTCTTAGCTGTACAGAATCATGACAGCTGGGAAATTTTCCACAGGCTGGGGGATGAGACAAACCTCATGTGGTGGATATTCCCTTTTACAAATGGAGTCACAAAAGTGAAAACAGGCTGGGGACTAGCAGGGAGCTGCATTGCTAGTAAGTATTGAAAATGGGGGCCAGGAGCGGCGGCTCATGCCTGTAATCCCAGCACTTTGGGAGGCCGAGGCGGGCAGATCACGAGGTCAGGAGTTTGAGACCAGCCTGCCCAGCATGTGAGACCCCGTCTCTACTAAAAATACACACACACACACACACACACACACACACACACACACACACACACACAAATTAGCCGGGCATGGTGGTATGCACCTGTAGTCCCAGCTACTTGGGAGGCTGAGGCAGAAGAATTGCTTGAACCCAGCAGGTGGAGGTTGCAGTGAGCCAAGATTGCGCCACTGTACTCCAGCCTGGGCAACTCCATCTCAAAAAAAAAAAAAAAGAAAAAAAGAAAATGGGGTTCAAATCTCTCCCACCTCATGCCAAAACATCAGACAGTAGAAGAGAGAAGACGGATTACTCCCCTCCTACCACCATAGAGGTGTCTCTGGCAGCAGCTGAGTCTCCTCCATTGCTCTAGCACTTGCTGGATAGAGCCATGGAGGTTGCCAAGGCTCTATCTTTTGCTAGGTAACCATGGCTCCTAGGATCCAGTGCCACCTGTTCTCCCTTTGACCCTTATGCCCAGGGTGAGAGTATCTTCCTATTGTTGCTAATCTCTGAGTTTCTTTACCATTTCCTGTTTGGCTTCTCAACTGGTGCCAGTTCCCTGCATTGAATCCTCTTTGTTTCAAATATTTGGAGTGATTTTTTTTCTTGGTTATGTACTGACTGATACATTCAGATTTAGATGAAACTAAAAAATATCATGGAAATAATACATGATAACAACTCAGTCAAAACTATTAACTGTGCAACAGTAATGCTTGTTCACAACAGGTTGTGTTAAGGATAATTCTAGGCTGCCAGTTCTGCCAGTTAAAATCCATTACTTAGCTCTAGTTATAACTCAACTCCCTTTTTTTCCTCTCATATTTGAATTGTAAGAAAATGAAGAGTGACATTATCATTATCATAGAAGTAACTTTAAATCTGCTTTACCTCATATAAAAAAGTAGATCATTTGCAAACCTTGGTATTTTCACTATTCTTAGCATTGTGTACGTGTGTGTGTGTATGTGTGTAAGATATCTCACAACCATTGCTCTTTGCTATGATGCCTTCCAAAATAAAGGGTTGTTGAGATAGAATAGATCTTTAGTTTTGGCCATTCTGAGTCTGGAACTAGAGTGTCCAAGGTCTAAGATGAACCCAGTGACAGCTTACACTTCTCTTTTTGGGAGCTTGTTCCTGCCACTCATCATCAGAAACAGTCATGAGCACTTGCCATATGCCAGGCATTGTGGTCTTAGTGTGGACATAAGAGCTTGGTGGACCATCATAAACCATCAGAGCTACTTTATCAGGAAACTGAGTCACAGAGAAATTAAAGAACTATACCAGGATCGCATAGATAGTAAAAGGACAGTGTTGAGATGTGATCCTAGTCAGTCTGGCTCCAGAGTTACAGCCTATGCCGTTGGCCACAATGCTTTAATGCCTCTCTATAGAGCAGTCTTGTCTGCCTGGTGGCCCACTAGGACCCTCATTCAGTGTACCATGACCTCTGTTTCTCCCCTTTCAGTCTCCTTTCCAAAGGCATCATATATCCCCCCATTACTGAGATAGGAATGTGCACATTTTATAATCATGCCATTGGAAAAGTATAAGTTCTGCCCTATGGGGTGAAGGAGGGGATCAAAAAGGTTCTGTCTCATATTATTCCTCCTCACCCTTGAATATAACCAGTCAGAGAGAGGCTGAAACATCTCTCAGGGGAAGAGACTGAAGAACAGAAAATAGGGTAGTTGGAAGAATTTGTTTTTCCAGGAGTTAAACCACTTTGGAATGGAAAGCAGGAAAAAAAAAACCCACAAAAATGATTTTCTGCTTTTTTTTAAACTTAAAATTATGGAAATTGTTTCTGACAGCAAATTGCTCCTAATTAATTTCTTGGCTCTGCTGGGAAAATGTACTGTTCTGTTGATTTCTAAATTCCACCAGCTTAATTATCAAAATACATTTTTTTTCATAAAACTATTAACATGTGGGGTTGCAGTTAGGGGGCTGTCAGCATAGTGCAAAGGAAAAAGAGAGAGTAGGGGAGCAAGGGTTGGATGAGCACCAGGAGGCCTAGAGACTCAACTCAAGGCTTGGTACCCATGTTCCAAAGTCTGGGAGAAGGTAGCAGCCACAGGAAAAGAGGTCTTAATGATGCAGGCAGAATCACAATGCAGGGAGTGCCTGGGAATGAAGTTGGGAGATCTGGATTCAAATTCCATCTATACTACTTACCTTAGACAAACAGTTGAATTTTTGCTGCGCCTCAGTCGTTTCTATAAAATGAGGCTAGAAATAATGTTAATTAACATTTGTAGAACTCTTGCTATATGCCAGGCAGTATCCCAAGTGTTTCTATGTGCATTCACATGCCATTCTTCTCCACAGCCCTGTGAAATAGGCATTGCAACTCTACTTTACAGATGAGAAAACACAAGTTCAGAGGGGTCATACAAATTGCCTGAGGTTATACATGTTAAGAACCAAGTAGCCAGGATCACTGGTAAGAGAAAATGAGTTTCTAGCTTAGTGCCAAACTATTGCCTAACCTGTCTGTCTTCCTCATTAGACTGAGAGCCTCTTGAGGTCAGGGGACCAATTCCCCCGATTTTGTATCCACAATGTAGGTAATGTCTGATAAGTTAATAAATGAATGAACAAATGGTTTAGATGCTCAATTAGATACTGGCAGAATTCAAATCTGGAATCAGTTAATTTGGTGCCATTCAAGAAAAACATTCAATTTCAGTCACTTGGTAGATGTTAATCAAATATCTGCTGTATGCCAGTCACTGAGCTAATCAATAAATAACTTTGGGCACCTAGCAATTTTGCTTTTGGGAATAGATCATAAGAAAATATTTGGATAATTGTATAAAAATGGAAGAATAAAGCTGTTCATCACAACATTATTTCATTTTTTTTAAACGTAAAAGTTCATTCATCTAACAAATATTGCTGAGGGCCTGCTACATACCAAGCATTGTTCTAGACATTCCCATTGAACAAGACAAACAAGGTCCCTGTCCCCATCAACTCACAATCTTGTGGGGAAGATAGAGAAAACCCAAATGGTTATATAATGTCAGGTAGCAATGAGACCTGTGAAGTAAAAGGGAGCATTTTCGGGTAAGGAAATGAACTGTGAAAGGAATTAATTTTTGGATTGGGGCTCAGTAAAAGTCTCTCTGAGGAGAGGCCATTTGAGTCATTCTTAATGACATGAGGGAGTGAACCATATGAACATCTGGGAAGATTAGTGTAGAGGGCAGAAGTATAGTCTATAAGCTTGTTTTCTTTGTGACCTTGGGCAAGTCACCTCAGCTCTCTGGCCCTCTGGGCTGGAAGAACTAAGTCCCTCTCCTCCATCCTTCCAGCTATGATCCAGGCGCTCCTCCCTCCTACTGGGGCCCAGAACAAGGTTCCATATCTGAGAGAGCCTCTTGTTACCAAAATATTTTGCAAAATCCCAAGTGCTACAGAGATGTAAGTCAGATGCAAGTTAATCCTACCTCTCTGCTGAAGCCAAGTTCGACTATTACTTCCTTTCTGAAGCCTTGCCTTACTTTGTCGGGAAGGATGTCTCTGGGCTCCCTTTATACTTTTTATGCACCTCTGCTGTAACATTTAGTTTTTTGCAGCATATGATTTTTTAACTTCTTGAAGCAAGGACAATGTATCCTTTGTTTCTGAATCATAGCCACTAACTCAGTGCTTGGCACATGGTAGTACTTAATATGGGATAGCTGAATTAACTTGAAAGGGCATTTGTGGATTGAGCAAGATTTTGACATGAGTTGGGTGAGGTTTTTAGTTACATTGAAATCTATTCTCTCATACATAATCGGTACACAATAAAAACTCACTGAATGAATAAACACATGTTGTGAAAAGCAGTTTCTTTTTGCTGAGTGAGGATTACCTCATCTCTGCAAGGAAATCCATGTTTTGACAGTAATCAGACCTGGCAATACAGGGATATAGAGTGGGGACAAGTGGAGGGATGTGAGAAAGATTCACCTTCATTACAGATCTACTTTAGCAGGCAATGTGTTAGGTAGAACACTGAATCATTATCCCAGTTGATCCTCAGAACAACCCTGAGGGTACTTTTTAATTATCCCCATTTTATAAGTGAAGAAAAATGAGTCAGAGAGATTAAGGCATTACTTTCATACACAAAGTAGAAGGGGTGCAGTAGGATCAAGAAGTCAGGAGTGTCTGGCATAATGTCCTTGCTCCCCAGAGCCCTTGGCACTGAAGGTGGTTGGGGAAACACTGGAAAATGCTTGGGGTTTCCTCTCCTGGAGCTGCATCCGCTCACTGGCACTTACATAAGGAGATGGTTGCTGTTTTTAGAAGGTACTCATAGACTCATAGTCACACAAATAAACATCCTAATACTTTAGCGAGTTGATGGACCTGCCGTGTGAATTCTGCACAGCTCAGACTCCATCTCAGGGGAGAACATGGCTTTCTAAGGTAATCATGTTTTCTCTGCTCTAATGGCATCAATAACCTTTCCCTCTTATTGTTGCCACAAAGTTTTTCAAGGTACTCGCTAGGTTGTGAGTACCTTGAGGTTCAGGGCTTGGAATTCTTGCCCCTCTTGTGGGTAGCTCAGAGCCTGGCACAAAGAGGACCTCAAATTATTGCAAATAAAAGGAAAGAGACTGTGATGGTTAATTTTATGTGTCAACTTGACTGGATCACGGAGTGCCCAGATATTTGCTTGAATGTTATTTCTGGGCATGCCTATGTGGGTGTTTCTGGATGAGATTAATATTCAATTAATAGACTAAGTAAAGTAGATTGTCCTCTCTGGTGTGGGTGAGCCTCATTCAATCTGTTAAGAGCCTGGATAGAATAAAAAGGCAGAGAAAGGGAAAATTTGCTCTCTTCCTGAGTGCCTAAGCTTACACATCTTCTCCTGTCCTCAGACTCTGACTTATACCATTGGCTGTCCTGGTTCTCAGACCTTTGGACTTGGATAAGAATTTACACCATCAGTTCTGGTTCTCAGGCCTTCAGACTCAAACTGGAGCTACATCACCAGCTCTCCTGGGTCTCTAATTTGCCAGTTGCAGATGATGAGACCTCTCTGCCTCCCTAATCATGTGAGCCAATTACTTACAATACAGATCTAGGTCTCCTATTGGTTCTGTTTATCTACAGAACCCTAAGTAGTGCAGTTTAGTGCTGAGAAGTGGGATGCTGCTGCTAGAAATGCTGAAACACATAGCATGGCTTTGGAACTGGGTAGTGTGCAGAGGCTGGAAGAGTTTTGAGGTGCAAGTTAGACATATGAACATTAAAAGCACATCTGTTGATGTCTCAGATGGAAATGAGAAACATGTTATTAGATACTAGAGGGAAGGCAATCCTTTTGCAATCTGTTATTAAGTGACAAAGAACTTGGCTGAACTGTGTTCTAGTGTTTTGTGAAAGGTAGAACTTGCAAACAATGAAATTGGATATTTAGCTGAAGGGATTTCTAAGCAATGTGTAAAAGAACTAGCTTGGTTCCTCCTGGCTGCTTATAATAAAATGTGAGAAGAGAGATGAATTGAAAGGGTGAATTGTTAAGCAAAAAGCAAGCTGAATGTAAAGATTTGGAAAATTCTCAATTTATCCATATTGCAGAAAGTGAGAACATATGTTTAGAAGAGAACACCAAGGAGGTGGCCAGACTATCATTTGATAAACAGATCATTGGTCCATTGGTATAACTCATGAACTTAATCAGCCATCTCAACAGAAGCCATGAATAAATGAGATTATACCAGGGGAAACACTGCCAGCTAGAAGTAAAGGAGACTCAGAAATCAGGACAGAATGAAGCATGGTTGTTGGGCTTCTTGTATTTTACAAGATAAAAACATAGAGCTATTTAGCTATAAATGTGCCCTGTTCCTCAAAAAAGGGGAAGATTGACACCAAAAGTAATTCAGAGATTATCAGGACTGCCACTTCCACCACAGGCCCAGGGGACAGGGCTAGTTCCTTTTCCATTTCAAAGGGTGGGGTTCCCACTCTGGTGTTGACAGATCAGAATGCCCCTGCCCAGTACCTTAGGGGCAGAGCATTGAATCAAAGAGGGTTATTTGCAAGCCATAATATCTAATGGAGTTCTCCCTGGTATGTTTTGGACTTGCTCAGAATCCATCACCTCTTTCTTCCTTCCGATTTCTCCCTTTTTGGAATAGGAATGTCAATTCTATGACTACCCTAGCACTGTATTCTGGAAGCACATAACATATGTCTGGTTTCATAGCTTCATAGATGGAGATGAATTTTGCCTAAGGATAAATTGTATTTTGAGTCTCACCCATATCTGATTTAGATGATATTTAAGTGAGACTTTGAACATTAGATATTAGAGTTGATGCTGGAATGAGTTAAGACTCTGGGGCTGATGGGAGGAATTAATGTATTTTGCATGAGAGAACGATGTGAATATTGGGGGGCCAGGGGCGGAATATTGTGGTCTGAATGTTTGTGTCCTCCTAAAATTCATATTTTGAAGCCCTAACTTTCAATATGATAGTATGTGGAGGTAAGGCCTTTGGGAGGTCTTTAGGTTTACATGAGGCTATGAGAGTTGGGCCCTCATGATGGGATTAATGTCTTTATAAGAAGAGAAAGGGAGACCAGAAATCTTTTTCTCTTTCTACTGAGGACACAGCAAGAAGGAGGCTGTCTGCAAGCCAGAAAGAGAGCCCTCACCAAGGCACCTTGATCTTGGACTTTCCAGCCTCCAGAACTGTGAGAAATAAATGTTTGTTGTTTAAGCCACTAAGTCTATGGCATTTTGTTATAACAGGTTGAGCAGACAGGCAAAGAGTTAGGAAACTTCTCATTTCCAAGAGGAGTTTGAGTTGAGAATAAAATTCTGTTGACCTTTGTCATCATTGAACCATACCTTCACAAAGCCCCAGATTCCTAACTTGGTGAAAGTTGTTGCATGTTCAGCATCTGGAGAGACCATTCTTTCTTCAGAACCAGGGTGCTGGTGGCGGCTGGCTTTCTTTACCAGCCTTGTGATTTGTTCTTATAATTAGGCTTTGCAGTGATTGAGGTTTCAAACAAATGCCTTATCCTAATAAAAAATAGCTGTCTATCATAGACCCCAGGGTTCCTCTGTGAATGGTGAGTTATAAATGTGTTAAATACTCAAATGCTCTGGATTTAAACTGGGCTTCTCAGAAACAAAGGTCTCTAAGCACTATTTTATGCTACTAAATGGACTTATGGGTTTGGCCCTACTCAGTGAGGTTTGAGATGAGGGAGTCAGTCTACCCTGCCAAAATTATCTCTTAGAACCCCTATCAGGGGCAGAATGTTTATGTTTATCTATTTATTCAACAGATTAAACACCTTTTAAGTGACTAAGATTATGTCAGATGCTGGGATCTAATGATGAGCAAAAACAGACATGAACTCTGTCCTCCTGGAACTTATAGGCTAGTGGGAGAGACAGATGTTCCTTAAATAATCACACAAATATGGGTATAATTACACTCTGAGATGAGTGCTATGAAAGAAAGAACAGTGTTCTATGAGTGCATATAGCAAAGGGGTCTGACCAAGATTATGGGTTCAAGGAAGGTTTCCCTGAGGAAGTAAGTTTGAGTTGAGATACAAATGATGTGTAGGTAGTACTAGAGTGAAGAAAGCAAGAATGTTACAGTAAAATGGAAGCATTCAGGGGTAGTTCAGGGGTCTATAATCTTAATAAGCCTCTGCCAATTCTAAATATACAATCAAAAATAATCTAACTAAAAACAATTTGCTTTCTCTATAGAAATGCAACTTCAAGACCCTAGAACTCTCTAATCAGAATGCTGCTTTTAAGTTCTTCCAATAAGGAAATTTGAGAGACAACACTGATCCCAGCAGAGGGAATATCATGTCCAAAAACCTGTAATCACAGAAACCATGTAAATCACAGAAATTGGAAGAAGCCAGTATGGAATGAATACTGGGGCAGAGGAGGAATATGAGATAAGGCTGGTGTGATTACCCTGAAAATCTTGGAAAGTCACTGAAAGGTTTTAAGCCAGTGGAGATGGAAAAAGTGGGTACAGAAATGACCACATGTACTGTTTGACGAGTGGTTCCAGGGACACCAGTTAGAGGACTATTGCAGTAGTTCAGATGAAAGAGAATGACATTTTGGAGCAGGGTGGTGGCAGTGGAGATGGAAAAAAGTGAATGCATTGAGATCTTTAGGTGAAGCACCAGAAGGAGTAGAGGCAGAGGACAGGCAACCCAGATATGTCTTGGTTCTGTTACAAATTGCTCTATAACCTTGCACAAATCCCTTTCTGGGGCCTCAGCATCCCTCTCACCCACCAGGGAGGCTACTAAGTTTCCTCAAAAAAAAAAAAAAAAAAAAAGTAGGAATCTGCAAACCATAGGATTAGGTAATCCTTCAAAGGTCTTCCAGTGCTGACATTCTGTGGTTCAATAATTTTGTGATCTTAAAGCTTTTCTTCTTTATACTCCAAATGCCTAAGACTATCCTTCCTAAAAACATACTTGCGGGAATGATACTCATGCCAGTAGCTTGATGATAAATAGTTGTGACACCTTGAATCAGGGCTATGAAGCAAACATTGCCAGGTGTCTACTGCACAAAAGAAAAAAAAGGATCTTTGGTTGGAAGTTTCCCTAGGGATCAAAAAAACCCCACAAGAAAACCAATAACAAAAAATCAGTGTCAGATGGGAAAATGCCTTGGATGATGATAATGATGATGATACGTATAATAATTTCTTAACTTCGTTTGGTGTCTTAACATGCCTTGTCTCATCTGACAAAACAACCTTGTGAGATATGCCAGTTCATAGAAATGAGTAGAATGAGCCCAGGAGATAAGGAAATAAATGTCAGTGTTTAAATAGACTTAGATTCATTTATTAAACAAATATTTACAGAACTTCTTTTATGTGCTGGTTGTAGAGGCTGGGCTAAATGTAATAGACAAAGTCTTTATTCTCATGAGGGTTAAAAGATAATAAAATATAAAATAATAAAAAGATAATATATACAATATTATATGTAAATAAATAACATCATATATTATATATAGTAATATTATATAACATAAGTAATATGATAATATATAATTATTAATTATATAATAGTAAGATATATAGAGACATAAAATAATTATTGTTTCTAGTAAGTTCTATGAAGGAAAATCAATAGGATAGTGAGTTGGCAAGTAAAATGAGGAAAGCGATTTTCAATAGAATAGTCAGAAAATATTTTTGGTGAGATGGCATTACAGATAAAAAGAACAATAACTGTAGAGGCTAGTTACGGGTTTGACTTGTCTGAGTAACAAAATGGAGACCACTGTGATTGCAGCACAGTGAGTGTGATGGTTAATACTGAGTGTCAACTTGATTGGATTGAAGGATGCAAAGTATTGATTCTGGGTGTGTCCAAAGGAGATTAACATTTGAGTCAGTGGGCTGGGAAAGGCAGACCCATCCTTAATCTGGATGGGCACCATCTAATCAGGTGCCAGTGCAGCTAGGATATAAAGCAGGCAGAAAAACAGGAAGATCACTTAGCCTCCCAGCCTACATCTTTCTCCCATGCTGGATGCTTCCTGCCCTTGAACAATGAACTCCAAGTTCTTCAGCTTCGGGACTGGGACTGGCTTCCTTGCTGTTCAGCTTGCAGATGGCCTATTGTGGGGCCTTGTGATTGTGTGAGTTAATATTACTTAATGAACACACACACACACACACACACACGCACACACACGCACACACACACACTATATATATATATATATATATATATATATATCCTGTTAGTTCTGTCTCTCTAGAGAACCCTGACTAATACAGTGAGTGTGATAGAGAGAGTGGTATGAGGGGCATGGGAGAGATACAAGAACTCAAGCCAAAAGAGCTCTGTAGAACATAGGAAGGATTTTGGATTTTATTTTAAGTGAAGGGAAGCCATTAAAGGGTTTTAATCAGGAAGATTATACTACTTGATTCTGGTTCTTTTTAGAACCATATGACTCTGGCTGTTGTGAGGATAATGTACCAAAGAGTGGCAAGAATTAAAACTGGCAGACCAAGTAGGCAGCTATTACAGTAGTCCAGGCAAGAGGGGGATTGGTAGCATAGAAGAGAAACATGGCACTGCAGATGAAAAGCAATGAATAACTACCCAAAGCAATCTACAGATCAGTGCAATCCCTATAAAAATACCAATGAAATTCAACACAGAAATAGAAAAAAGCAATCCTAAAATTTTTCTGGAACCACAAAAGACCCAGAATAGCTAATAAGTTCCTGAGCAAAAGCACAAAGCTGGAGGCATCACATTACCTGACATCAAAGTATACTATAAAGCTGTATTAACCCAAACAGCATGATACTAGCATAAAAACAGACATATAGACCAGTAGAACAGAATAGAAAACCCAGAAATAAATCCACGTATTTAATTAACTCATTTTTGACAAAGGCATCAAGAACAAACATTGGAGAAAGGAAAAGCTCTTTAGTAAATGTGCTGGGAAAGCTGGGTATCCATATGCAGGAGAATAAAACTAGACCCCTATCTCTCACCATATATAAAAATCAAATAAAAATAGGTTAAAGATGTAAATGTATTACCTGCAACCATGAAACTACTAGAAGAAAACGTTGGGAAAATGCTTTAGGACATTGGTCTAGGCAAAGATTTCTTGAGTAAGACATCAAAAGTACAGACAATCAAAGCAAAAATCGACAAATGGGATTACATGAAGCTAAAAAGCTTTTATACACCAAAGGAAACAATCAACAAAGTGAAGAGACAAACTACAGAGTGGGGGAAAATATTTGCAAACAATTCAATTTACAAAGGATTAATAACCAGAATATATAAGGAACTCAACTCAATAGCAAGAAAACAATCTGATTTAAAAATGGGCAAAAGATCTGAATAGCAATTTCTGAAAAGAAGACATACAAATGGCCAACAGGTATAAAATGCTCAACATCACTAATTATCAGGGAAATGCAAATCAAAGCCACAATGAGGTATTATCTCACCCCAGTTAAACTGGCTATTATCAAAATAAAAAAGAAAATACAAATGCTGGTGATGACACAGAGAAAGGGGAATGATCATACACTGTTGATGGGAATGTAAATTAGTATAGCTACTATGGAAAACAGTAAGGAGGTTCTTCAAGAAACTACAATTAGAAATAACATACGATCCAGCAATTCCAATGCTGGATATCCATCGAAAAGAAAGGAAATCAGCATATTGAAGAGATAACTGCACTCCCATCTTATTGCAGCACTATTCATAACAGCCAAGATACTGGACTCAATCTAAGCAACCATTAAAGAACGGATGGATAAAGAAAATGTGGTGTGTGTGCATATACATAAATGTGTGTGTATATATACACACATATATGTGAAATTGAATGTCTTTATGTCTTTTTGACATAAAGAAGAATGAAATCCTGTCATTTGCAACAACTAGATGGAACTGGAGGACATTAGGTTAAGTGAAATAAGCCAAGTACAGAAAGACAAATGTCACATGTTCTTACTTGTATGTGAGAGCTAAAAACATTGATGTCCTGGAGGTAGTAAATAAAATGGTGGTTACCAGAGGCTGGAAAGGTTAGTGGAGAGGGGAGACAGAGAGTATAAGGTACATTTTAGAAGCAGAATACACAGGAGTTGGTGATGAATTAGGAGGTTGGTTGAAGGAAATTTTTTTTAACTTCTTCAACTTTGCATACGGGCAAATTGAAGCCCAGGAAAAATAAGAAATGGGAAATAACTGAAACAAAACCTCAATCCAAGACTTCTGGCCCCACATACAGTGCTCGTCCTGGTTCACCATACATCTCTGCTCTTGGTGTCAGCCCAGTGTGTGGTGGACAGAGGGTGCTCACTTAATTGCGTGTGTATCAACTGCGGCCAAATTTCTGTATGCAAGGGAGGCTTCTATGTCTTTTTATATAAGAAGTCCTGTAACTTGCTTCATTCCTCACTTGACAATTGCTCTCTGGTCCCAGCCTTGGTGGGTCAGGAAAGGAAGATGGCTTTCACTCCTGCTGAGGGTATATAGCTGCTCTTTGCCGATTTAGGAGAGAGAAGTGGAAAGATGATGAGTGTGTTTTATAGAGGAAGAAATGAGTCTGATGTTAAGTCTAACTCTTCCACACGTTCACGCTACCTTCAGTCTCTTAATTTTCATGTTTTCACTGGGATATTTGGGAACCATGGCCAATTAAAGCCCACTTCTCCTGGCTTAAATCTCTTTTACTCTATGCCCTATTCATACAGAATACCTCTGTGTATAAGACTCCCAAGGCAGAGATACCTCTGTGTGCCCGGTGCCTGACACAGAAGCTGGCATACAGTATACAATGCGTACCTGCTTATTGAGAAAAACGAGGCAGTTAAATTCTCCTGGCCTCAGTTTTCTCAACTTTTAAAATGGAATAATTAATAGTCATCTCACAAGGTTGTAAAGTTTAAATGACTTAACATGCATGTAAGATACCTAACAGTGTAGGAGCTTAAAATGAATTTATGTATTATTATACATGAAAAGCTTTCACTTGTTCAATATCATTAGACATTAGGGAAATGAGAATTAAAAACACAAGCTATCACTACAGACCAATTAGACTGGTGAGAATAAAATAAAAAAGACTGACAATTCCAAGTGCTAGCAAGGATGCAGAGTAACCAGAAATCTCAAATATTGCTGCTAGGAATGAAAATTGGTACAGCTTCTTAAAAGGTTAAACAAAGTTGTTATATGACCCAGCAATCTCACTGCTAGGTATTTACCATAGAGAAATGAAAAAACTTATGTTCACACAAAAACCTGTAAAAGAATGTTCACAGAAGCTTTTATTCATAATCGCCAAAACTGCAAACAATTCAGATGGCCTTCAGTGATGAATGGGTTAACAAACTGTGGCACATCTATACAATTGAATAATACAAGTCTAAGGAATTGTAAGCAATGAAAAGGCATGAACTATTGATACACACAATTTGGATGAATCTCAGAAGCATTAAGCTAAGTGAAAGCAGCTATTCTCAAAAGCTACATTGTATATGATTCCATGTTTATGACACTCTTAAAAAGACAAAATTCTAGTGATAGAGAACAGATCAGTGTTTGCTAGGGGTTAGGAGGAAGGGTGTGACTACCAGAGGTAGCACAAGGGAGTCTTCTAGGGTGATGGCACTGTTCTGTATCCTGGTTGTGGTGGCAGTTACTCAAATATATACCTGTGTTAAAATTCATAAAGCTGTATATTTAAAAAGTCAATTTAACGGTGTGTTAATAAAAAATGACATAAAATAAACAGCTTTCCCATATTGGCATTACTACCTAGTACTTGAGGCCTCCAAATTTTCTAAGGTGTCTTTGTAATCTAAGGGTAGAGTCTTGGTTATTCAAACTATCTCTTACTACAAAACCCCCCCCCCCCAAAAAAAAAGAAGAGAGAGAAGGAGCAGGTTGTAGACAGTGTGGAAGTATATGGGAGTCTGGTTTATCTAGAAGTTTCTAAAGCCAGAGCAGCGATTTCATTTCAATTTAATCCTGAACTTTCAAAGAGGAAACAGCTCCCCGCCCTCCAACCCCCCACCTTATTTTAAAGCTTTGCTAGTAAAACTGTCCTTGCACTGAACCAGCAATAAATCTACAGAACACTATGGTAATACCCAAGGAGAAGGCAAAAAGGGGCCTCCATAAACCATGAGATTTGAACTACTACAGATGTTGCAGTGAGAATTTATGGTTTTCGATGGATCCTTATCTCTTCTTGCCAGTTTCTGCACATTGAATCATGCACTAGCAGAGTCTATTTTAAGAGTCATAATTTTTTTCTTTAAATATTAAAAAAATCTGTGGCAATTAATTTCTTCCATACTGTTCCATCATGACAAATAAATGTGAAATGCATATTTACAGAGCACATGTAATTGCTTTTGGGCACATGCAAATGACATGCAAATCTTACGTTCTAAATGAGTTTGTTTATCATTCCTGAATTCTAATCCAAAGACCTTACTTTTTAAATTCAGTTTACATTCTGACATGTATACAAATGAGTTTGACTCTGGAAAATAACTTAATAAACTCAGGGTTAGCTATGCAATTAGAGGAGGCATCTGGGAGCTATAAAATCTGGGAAGCAACATTTACATCTTTTTCTGCATTCAAGGTTTCAATTTCCTTGCTCAATCCCTCCCCATCAGCCTGCACTTTCCTCACCCTACCACCCCATTTCCCATCATTCCAGCAATCTCATCTTTTGAAATGGCTTCCTTTCCTTTTTCTTTTTTTTTCTAGGAGAGGTGGATGAGTGTATTTCACTGAAGATGATCTCACCAAGTCATTGTCCTCTGTGTAGCGTTTTCAAAAACTAAGATCAGAGCGATAAATGAAATGAAAACTAACAGAATTAACATTGATCAGGACTTTCCATTCGAGTTTCTTATGATTATGGCTGCCCCAGTTCTCCTGTGGATGCTTAAGTCTTCCCATGGATTATTGACCCTCTAAAGAAAGCTATGAGCAGTCACAAATCTGATTTGTCAAAGGACATAAGAGAGAGAAGAGAAAATGGGATCATATTCCCTTTCACAGGGAAGAAAAGAGAACCATAAAGCAAAGTGGAATGGTGGTTCCTCAGAAAATTAAAACGAACTGCTGTATGATCCGGCAATCCTACTTCTGACTATTTAGTCAAAAAGACTGAAAGCAAGGTCTAAAAGAGATATTTTGCACATCCAGGTTCTTAGCAGCATTCTTTACAATAATCAAGGGTAGAAACAACATAAATTTCCATCGAGGGATGAATAGATAAGCAAAATTTGGTGTACAGATATAATGAAATATTATTCAGCTTTAAAAAGGAAGAAAATCTCGTTGCATGCTACAACATCAATGAACCATGAGGGCATTATGCTAAGTGAAATAAGCTAGCCACAAAAAAGAAAATATGGTATGAATTCCACTCACATGAGATATTTACAGTAGTCAAATTCATAGACACAGAAAGTAGAATGGTGGTTACCAGGAGCTGGGGGAAGGGGAAAAAGGGGAGCTGTTGTTTAATGAGTGTATGTAGAATTTCGATTTTGCAAGGTGAAAAATTCTGACGATCTGTTTAGTAGTGTTAAGTAATTTTACTTAACTCTACTGAGCTGTACACCTAAAAATGGTTAAAATGGTAAAACAATAGCAACAAACATTGTCCAGGGCAGGGGTACCTTATAAAAAAAATTTATATGTGTAATAAAATTGCCTTATTTTGGAACAACAATGATTGATTTAGGGTTATTGAACTATGTGTGACTTACGATTTCTGAAATTTTCATAATGAGGTGATATTTTGCCTAGAGCTTATATAAATTTCTAAGGATCATGTTTTAATATAAAATATTTTGTTAAAATGGAGGTTTTAAAATTAAGTTCAAAAGATCTTTTTGTTTTTAATAGAAATCAGCTTTAAATGATCATAGCAAAATCTGGCCCATGACCACCTGTTTTTGTATGGCCCATAAGCTAAAATGGTTTTCATATTTTCGAATAGTTAAACCATAATCAAAAGAAGAATATCTTATGACATATACAATTATATAATATTCAAATTTCAGTGTTTATAATGAAATTTTATTGCAACATACACACACATATACTCTAAACAAAAACAAAGTGGAAACAAAAAATTCCAAATTCTGAATTTCATTGACGCCCAGATTAATAGAACTTTCTAGTCAGAAAGGCCCTTTGAAATGATCTAGTATAAACTTCTCATTCTATAGATGAGAAAACCGAGACTGAGAGAGGTGAAATACTTGCCTTGAGTCCTGGTGAGATAATAGAACTGGAACTTCCCTCCATGCTGAGAACTTTTCTCTCTCAACAGAATGGGTAAACTCAATGGGTCAAACTGAGCCTCAGAGTTCTCTTCTGTTTCTTCCTGATTCCCACATTTTGGTTACATATATTGAATATTATATTTCTTATAAGCCATGCACTCCTCACAGTCTTAGTGCACTTAGTCCTCACATCTGTCCTGTGAAATAGTGTTATTCCTAAGCTGTAGAGCTCAGTATTAGTCTCCTTCTGCCCCCCAACACCAGCCATGCTGGTCTTTGTCAGGTTGTCTATCCATCTATGGTGAATTCTGTGCTCTGGCACCCACCTGCTCCAGCCTCCTGGGCCCTAGCTCTGCCCTGATGCCCTCTCACTGCAGGATCTTTAACATCTCCTCCTCTGCTTCCAAGACCTAACCCACAGTTAATCAACATGTTCAAATCCCTCTCAGCTTTTTTAAAAGCTATCCCTCAGTCCTACATCTCTTCTCAGTCAAGCTTCATGAAAGCGTAGTCTCCACGTGCAATCTCTCCTTCACTGATTTCTCACTCCTCTGCAATCTGGTATCCATGCTTTCCCATCTGACTACAATGACTTCTTTGTGTTTAAAATCAATGATGCTTTAAAAATTTTATTTGACACCAGTGATTACTATGTTCTTGAAACGCATGCACTAACTGAGCTCTCATGTGCAAAGTCATATGCCCTGTTAACAGGAAAGACAAAGATTGATAAACACCTTATTATTCCAGCCATTTTTAGTATTACTTCATCCTTTGCATATGCCTTCTCCTTTGCTTAGAACACTCTCCCATCTCCAGTGTTGTGAATTCCTGTGCATTTTTAAAGACCCAACTGACATTTCCTCCTTTGTCAGCGTTCTTGGTATGCTTTCAAGAAGAGTTGATCTCTTGCTTCTTTGCCTCCACTATGGCTTATATATTTAAGTCAACAGTGACCCTTATCACACAGTATGCATTTCTCATTTATACCTCATATGGATTATATTTTTCTTGAAGCAGGTAGGGACATGTCTGATTCATCTCTGTATGGTAGGATAAATTCCCATTTCAAGTCCTGTCCCTGCTTAGTGACCTCTTTCCTTTATGCTTCTACCAGAGGAAGATGGACTACAATGAACAATCTCATGGTAAACAAACATACAGGCAACACATTCATCAGCACAAGTGTATGGAATTCTTCCTGGGTAGTAGAGATGTAATTCTGGACAGCTAGTATGTTTTTTCTTGTATTAGGACCAGTCCCAAGGAGAGGCAGAAGGAAGTGAATATTTCTTGGAACAATAGTGGGGAGGGTGGTTGGTCAGTCCTAAAGAGTAAGGTCAAAGCTATGTTGATCAAAAAATTAGCTTTTTTTTCAGATAGGGAACAAGGCTACATCATATCAGAGAAAAGTGCTTGTCACTGTGACAGATACCTGCCTCATAGCTTCCATGGCTCTAATCGGAACAAGGTGACTTACATTTACTTTATTCACTGACCTAGGACTCAATCTACCTCCAGAAACTGAGAGGTCTGAACAAACATGAATAGCAGTAGTCATCAGGCTGCAGCCTGAAGGATTTCACACAGAATGCGGTATGAATGCACCTCCAGTGAGGAGCAATAGATTTGTTCTGAAGGAGCACAGTATGCTCACCACACTGGAAGATTTGAAGAGATGCCTGCATGAAATGTGGGTGAGGGAAGTTAAGGGGATTCAGAGTAAAGTCCAGAGGTATTAATCACTCTCTTTGCAAAAGCCTAAATATGGAGTTCTCTACCTCCCACCCCAAGAGCTGAAGCATAGCTAACTTAGCTAGCATTGTACCCTTTATTCCTCCTGTAACAACCTTTTGAGATTTTCCTAATTTTTAAGTAAAGAGCATCTATATGCCAGTAGAGTATAGCAGTTAAGAGTAAATTCTGGAGCCGAACTGCCTGGGTTCAAATTCCACCTTTGCTACAGGCCATGAAACTTTGGGCAAGTTATTTGCTCTCTGAGACTCAGTTTATTCATCTGTTAAATGATAACAATTATGGTATTTAATCATATAAGTTTTTGTGAAGATTAAGTGAGTTAATGTACCAAAAGTACTTAGAACAGTGCCTGGCATGTAGGTACTCATAAGTGTTATGTGTTATCACTGTTTTTCACAGCATAGGCTGAAGTATCTGGTCTAGTGGAGGCCAATGTGGTAGGAAGTCCAGGGAGGTACAGGTCTGACTTGTCCCACTTCCTTGAGAGTATTGGCTTAAAGGGTATAAACTCTTCTGGTTATCAGCAGTGTGAGAGCCACAACCTGGGAGCTATCATCAGAGAGAATTCAGGCCCAAAACACATCATTTAGACTAAATTTCTTGATTGTCCCACCCATAAGTATAGGAAGGTAACCATTTGTACTTTAAAAGAAAGGGGCCTGCTATACCTGGGTTATTATGGGTCTGTAGTACTGCTACATGCTAAATACTCAAGATTTGTAAGATAGATAGATAGATAGACAGATAGATAGATCGATAGATAAGAAAAAGAAAAGAAAGGAGAAAGAAAGAAGAAAGAAAGAAAGAAAGAAAGAAAGAAAGAAAGAAAGAAAGAAAGAAAGAAAGAAAGAAATTCATTTATAGTAGGCAAAATAAATAGTGGGTATCAAGACACAAGTACCTCCTGCCTGCTTCACACTGACCTTAACCCTCTGTTTCAGGCTTTAGGCCTTAGATATCCCTCTTATATTGCTTCATTGCCTATAATTCATTTAACTACCATTTATTTATTTCATGACTTTTGGCACGCCCTTTCTCCTCTTGGGCTCAGTTACTTCATATCCAAAGTGAAACAAACCAGTTTAGGCATGGTAAGTAGGTTTTATCTCACATGCAGATATAAGGGAATAGTGAGTGGCTAGAGTACTGTGTAAGAGAGGTTTTGAAAATGAATCCAGGCTCAGCAGGAAAGAGTTTACTGATGTCATGGGTATATGAGATAAGTGATTGGCAGTCCATGTGTCATGTATTTTTTTTTTTACTCTTGAACAACATAAAATAACCTACAATCATTTTCTTTTGAGAAGTCCTAAAGTATTACCCAACCTTAATGAGAGCATTGATTACAGTGTTGTGGTTTTCTCATTATAAGATATAGTTATCCCTTTGCACATGTCAAGTTACCCAGTTGAAACAAAAACAAAAACAAAAACAAAAAAACGAACTTGGCTGGGCCTGGTGGCTCATGCCTGTAATCCCAGCACTTCGGGAGGCCGAGGGGGGTGGATCACCTGAGGTTGGGAGTTCGAGACCAGCCTGATCAACATGGAGAAACCCCGTCTCTACTAAAAATACAAAATTAGCCAGGCATGGTGGCGCATGCCTGTAATCCCAGCTACTCGGGAGGCTGAGGCAGGAGAATCACTTGAACCCAGGAAGCGGAGGTTGCAGGGAGCCGAGTTCACACCATTGCACTCTAGCCTGGGCAACAAGAGCAAAACTCTGTCTCAAAACAAAAACAAAAACTTACTCTACCAGAAACTTCTCCACTCTTGTGTGAGCAGCTGAAACCAAGGTCAAAGAAGGCACTTTCATAAAGAAATGAGGCAAAAAAAAAAAAAAAGCCTGTATTTTAGAATTGGCGTTCTCAGCCACTTATGATCCTGAGTGAATCTCAGCTGGGTGATCCTGAGTGAATCACACAACCTAAATCTTAGCTTCTTCTTCTCTAAAATAGGATTTGATATTTACAATTATAAGATGGCAACTAGGATTTAGACAATAAAACGTATAGTACCTAGCAGAGTAAAGTACTTTGAAGGAGACCCTCAGTATTGATTCCTTTTCTCATCTTCAAAGTGAGTACAAGGAGTCCTGGACTATAAATGTCTTGGGGACAGAGACGGTGTCTTTTTTATCTCTTTATATCTAGTTCTGAACACAAATATTTAAGAAATATGTATTGGGTTGAATTAAACTTAGTTCAATTGAAATGAAATTAAATGATTTTTTACATCCCTTTCAGTACCAAACACAGAACCTGGTACACAGTCTGTGCTCATAAATGCTTATAGAATATAGTTCTATGGTGGCCTGATTCTAGAATTGGTACACATTAATAGAAAAACATAATTCTCAAAGGAACATTAGCAGAAGGGCCACACACCCACTCACTGTTGGCATTGTCTCATCAGAAGAACTGCCACTTGTAGCTGCTTCCTGCTCCATACCCTCTTTCTCAGAGGGAAGAAAGTGGCCCTAATAAATCCATTATGTTCCTTCAGCATTTATGTGAAGAAAAAAAAAAGTTTCTAATTTTCTACTGTGAAGCCAGGGGACACTGAGAAATCATATTCTTTCCTGTTTGGGCTCAGCCTATCTTGTCCCTGCAGGCTACGGTGAAAACCACTATTCCCCTTTCACATCATGTCAGTTTCCTTTCCAAGTTCCCTTACTGTCCCAGTGACTTAATGGGCGGACTACAACTATTTCAATGTCTGAGTCATTATCTCATTGTTCTAAATGACATATTTTTGCCACTGGCCCTATAACTGTTCTTCAGGTGAAGCCATAAAGTATTTCATGGCTTTAATGAGTACATCAGTTATTGTTCATGGAAGAGCCAATGTCTCCTTAAAGGTTATTTGAAGGTTGATTGCTATCTCAGTGCTTTATATCTGGCAAATCTATCTCGGCCTTATGAATGCATTTGACCTTTTTATAGGTACAGGGGAAAAATAACAGAACAAAAGTTAATTTAGATCTCTATAATACAACATTTTTTTTTCCGAAAGAAATGAAAGGGCATTGAAATCGATACCTGCAAAATAACATGCTGATGAATGTTGGGATCCAATTTTCTCATTTTGCTAACTCGAGATTGGGAATTCTGAATAGTTTTCAATCCTGCATTCTTTGGGCACTGTGAAGTCTGCCGTATTGTGTCCACAAAATGCTGCTGCACACTCATTATAGGAGTACCAGTGGTCCTGAAAAGGTCAGTTAGTTAGAAATGTCAACGTTCAATGGAGCCGCACAGACCTGTGTGCGCACAGATCCAATTAGAGTGGCCAGGCAACATCACTGTAACCCAGAATCCTAATGAGCAACTAAAAGAAAGATGGCAGCACCTTTTTCCCCTTTCTTCTTCTTATTCAAAAGAAATGGAGATTGCTTTTCAACCACCCTACATGGGGTTGTTTAAACTTTACCAAACACCACTTAGGCTCCAGGTGGGCTGGGAGGGGAACCCCAGCTTCTGCAAAAGTTAAACCTGCCTAGAACAGCCAGATGTGGAAAGGAAAATAATGAAGAAGGCAGGAGCAGTACTTCAGACTTCAGGCTGGTGGAATGGGTCATCCTTTGCAAGACTTAGGTTGATAGCTGACTAAGACGAAAATGGCCTCCTTATTAAGTTTATTTCTAAGCCCCTGCTATGTGCCAGGCCTTGTGGTAAAAACTGGCCTTTGCCTTTATTTTTTTCAAACCTAAAGCACTGGTACAAGCATGTATAAAGAGTGCATACAACTGCATTTATATATTGGCCGATGTTTCAACAGTGCCTCTCTCTTTCCAATTCATCATAAGCTGACATTTTGAAAAAGTATGCTGGTCATAAATATTATGCTGCAGCAATGTAAAACTGCTATTAAAGTTTCTAAATGCTTTCTCTCAATTTCTATATTTATCTCATTGTGGACAGTTTACACTCTGGCACCAGTCCATGGATGACACTTTGAGTAACAGTGTTCTAGCTACCTCTCCTTTGCTTCTTACCATCTACTCCTCACTCCCACCTTCACTGCTTCTCACTATTTATCTGCTGCTTCTAGGATGACAATCATACTAGTCACCCTTTTCTTGTTCACTCACTACATAATTATTTAAAACACTTTTTGAGACTGGGGGCGGTGGCTCACGCCTGTAATCCCAGCACTTTGGGAGGCCGAAGTGGACGAATCACTTGAGGTCAGGAGCTCAAGACTAGCCTGGCCAACATGGTGAAACCCTGTCTCTACTAAAAATATAAAAATTAGCTGGGTGTGGTGGCATGTGCCTGTAGTCCCAGCTACTTGGCAGGCTGAGGCAGGAAAATCGCTGGAACCGGGGAGGCAGAGGTTGCTGTGAGCCGAGATCGCACCACTGCACTCCAGCCTGGGTGAGAGAGCAAGACTCCATCTCAAAAAATAAAATAAAATAAGAAAATAAAAAATAAAACAGTTTTTGATATTTGTCTTTTGGTACCACAGACTCCACATATAGTGAGAACACTCTCCCAGCAGCCCCTGTCTGGGCTTCAGTGGTTAACTAGCCTGAAATAACAAATAAAAACTCTAGGTAATTTTGTTACAAATGATTCACCGACTATACTTTGAGAACAAATGGAGGATTTTACCTATCAATGGATTCCTAAACTCAACAAGTAGTGATGATCTGCTTGGCTCTAGGCCCCAGGCACTATAGCAACCCATCCCTTCAACTGAGGTGACTTAGCCCTGTTTGCAGCTGTCAGATCCCAGAATCATTCTGGCTTTGTGGTCAGGTAAGGGTAGGGACAGCAGATGGAAGAAGTACTGGGTTAGTAAATTGGTGGGTAAGGTTTGCTGTCTGCATTTGCTCTGACCTTTTTGCCTAATTTTCTGTAGCCAGACTCTTGTCTCAGGCCCCATGACTATCTCATCCCAATACTCATTTCTGCAGTAAATGGCTCATTTGTCCATTCATTTTTTTGTTTGGTTTTGTTTTTGTTTTTAGCCTAGGTCTCACTCTGTCACCCAGGCTAGAATGCAGTGGTGTGATCTCGGCTCACTGCAACTTCAACTTCCCAAGCTCAGGTGATCCTCCCACACCAACCTCCCAAGTAGCTGGGACTACTGGCATGTGCCACAACACCTGACTAATTTTCTGTAGAGACGGGGTTTCACCATGTTGCCCAGGCTGATCTCAAACTCCTGGGCTCAAGCGATCTGCCCGCCTCAGCCTCCCACCCATTCAGTTTTTCTTCTAATATCTCAGCAACCTCTGGATGAACCAGCATCCGTGATTAGGAAGGCAGCTGAGAAATCAGAAGTTCATTGGATTTTGAGTCGGAAAACTTGGGTTCAAACTCTGACTTTTCCACCTAGAAGCCATGTGAACCATAGACAAATCTTTTTATTTCTCTGAGCTTCAATGGCAAAAATAGGACTCAGATGCCTACTTCATATGGTTGTTTTGCTGTTTAAGCAAAATGTTGGTTGAAAAATCACCTTGTCCATTGTAATGTGCTATATGAAAACCACTTGTAGTGGTTGTCATTATTGCGCTATTATTATCGCCCCCTGCAGTGGATACCTTTTTAAAACACTTTTTGATATTTGTCCTGTGGCACCAGAGCCCTTATCCGTAGTGAGAACACTTACACAGCAGCCCATGTCTGGGCTTCAGTGAACTAAATAGCCCAAAGCAACAAAAACCCAGTGGAGAGAAAGTGGTTAGGTTGCCCCTCCTCTGCATCTTTAGGAAGGAAGGAAAGGATGATCCAAGAGATTTTGAGTAAAAAACATAGTCAGGGTAGAGGACTTAGTGGGACCAACACGAGCATGTTTCTGAAACAATCTCTGCTGGTTTAGCTGAGGGAACAAAACATAGGCAGGGGCCAGAGCATGGAAGGGGGTTAGTAATTGGAACCTGGCCTCTAAGACAGTATCATCAAGTGATATGAGATGCTTCCCTATGCACCGTCTAAGGCTGGAACTGAGCCCACCTGACAAACTCATTAAATGGCCCTTGATACAAAAAAGGAAGTCTTATTTCCCCTACAAATAGCTGAAAACCACCAGTTTTCTTTTCATTAATGCAATTAAGAACTCTTCTCTAACAAGCCAGTTTTCTGTATAATCTTTACCAGAAAGGAAATCCTTTGTAAGGACATCCAGCCAGCCATCAAAGAACGGACTTCATCTGGGTTGGGCTGATCCTCCCTCATTTTTTCAGTTTCTAGAGAGAAGTGCATCAGGCTTTTAAGATAATTATTCAGCAACCATCTGGACAGGAGGAAATTGCATGGCAAATGCCAAACATAGAGCCTATTGGCATGTCAGAGAATGACCTAATATCCTGTGGCTAAGTTATTGAGAAAAATAAAAAACAAAAAAAGAGATATCTGTGGTGACCATCCTCAGAGAAGAACTTCCCATAACAACATGAGCATTTCCAAGGTTCTGGTATGTGCCAGATACGTACTTTTTTTTTTTTTTTTTTTTTTTTCAGATACCTACTTTATCTTATCTAATGCTCATGACAGCCCTATGAAGTCAATATTATTAGTGCTATTTTAGGGATGAAAGACTTGAAGCTTTGACAAATTAAGTGTTTTGCCCCAAATCATATCAAGATCAAATGGCAGATCTAAGATTTGAACCCTGGCCTAACTGATCTCAAAGTTTCCACTGCATTTTAGACTTTCTTTTTCTTTTCTTTCTTTTTGAGATAGAGACTCTATTCTTTTGTCCCAGTAGTATTGGGTAAGCACCAGTAATGGCAGGTCAGTAAATCTTGCTAAGACCAAATGCCCATATTCCTCTAGCCTATCCTCCTCACTGTCTTTGATGATGTTTTAGACCAGAGCATGAAGGATGTGTACCACCCTCCGTGACATGCCCATGGGTCCTAATCTCTAGGAACTCCTAATGTATGTACTTGGATCACACTTGCCTGAATTCAGTAGCAGCCCCACACTCATTTGCCAAGTGTGTAAAGAACTGTGATATAAGCTGGAAACTAGACATTGGGGCACATAACCTTTTTTCCTAAATTAGAGAATTTTGCTTTTCTTAGTCCAGCAAATAGAAAATGTTTCACACTTTCACTACCAAAACAAGCATTCTTACAGTTTTAGGTCTACGTTAGGATAGGAAGGTGTAGATGGACAAATTTAGCTGTTTATTCATGGAAAAAATGTAGCTAGATTATTCTTAATACCTTTCTCCAAAATCTCTGCCAATCTCAAAAAGCGAGGCTAGGCAATCTCAAAAAGCCATATCTTGGGAAAAAGAAAATCCTTGGAGAAATGAGAAAAGATAAGTGGGTCTGAAGGAACCAAAGAAGTAATACTGATAATCATAATCATCATCATTATCATTTTGGCGCTGGCCTCCAGGATGCCCCTGAATGAATCTAACTTCCTAGTATTCACATCCTTGTCTAGTTTCCTCCCAGGTGAATAGGGCTGACTTACATAACTAGTAGGACATTATAGAAATGATAGGCTATGGCTTCTCAGCCTAGATCATAATAAACATTTTAGCTTCTACTTTGCCCTATTTTGGATTAGTCACTCTGAAGGAAGTCAATTGCCATGTTGTGACTCAAGCAGCCCCACAGAGAAGTCTATGTGGCAAGGAACTGAGGTCTCCTGCCAAAAGCCAGCACCAACCTACCATCCATAGGAATGAGTCATCTGGAAAGATGATCCTCCAGCCCCACTCAACCCTTCAAATAGATACAGCCTTGGCTGACATCTTAACTATAACCTCATGAGAGACCCCAAGCCAAAACCATCCAGCTAAGCTGTTACCAGATTCTTGACCTACAACAACTGTGTGAGATAATAAACATCTATTGATGTTTGAAACTGCTGAGGTTTAGGGTAATTTGTGATGCAGCAATGTAATCACAGTAATAACTGTTTATTTAAAATCTATGGGTCATGTACTTTACTACATTAGCCACTTTACATACATCACATCTAATCTTCACAAAACTCTAAGAAGTATTATTACTATCTTGCTTTTTTATAAACGGTAAAATGGAAGTAAGGCACTGAAAACTTAATAGGCCTTCCTAAGGCCAAACTGAAAGCAGAAGAGAGAGGATTCGAACATATAACATATGTATGTACTACAAATCAATTACAATGACAAAATTGATCGTTTTTTCCTTTATCCTTCAGATTCCCATGAGGTCTGTCTACCTCATGGCTGGGCTAGGTTGACTATAATTGCACTGCTTCAGGTCACAGCACATTACACTGGCCTACAAGAGATATTCCCTGATGCCCCATAAGTGTAGAGACAGACTTATGCTGCTGCAGACCTTCAGCCTGTGGATTTAGACCTCCATCCCTGAACCAATGAGAACCAGCATCCTCCCAGCTAAAGTTAGATGAGCTCTTATCTCCTCTCAAACCTCATTGTGCAGAAGGCCTGGTGTTATCAACAGAGCTCCTGTTCATAGCCTCTAACATGCATTACATTTACATGTTAATAATAAAGTCCTAGGGGATTTATTGTCATGATTACCTCACTTAATCTTTATTTCATCCCTATGAAATAGGTGCCACCATTCATATTTGATGAAAAACTAAGCCCCAAGGCAGTTTAACATCTTTCATAAGGACAGGGAGCTAAGAAGTGGCAGAATCAAGATAGGAACCCAGGTCTACCTGGTTCCTAATCTTTTACTCCATGATCTTGATTCATAAATAAGGCTGGCATCCTGCTCCATATCTGTTAATCATAGCTCCTAGACTCTGTGGTCTGCTCTCCCCAGGGCTTGCTGCCTGCTCCCAAGATCCTTGGTCACTGGTATGGGTCTGGCTTTAATCAGAAAAGCCCTCCTTAGGTCCAAGATATTACAACCACCTGATGATAAGTCCCTTCACTGCCCAGAGATTCTAGCTGTGGAGCCTCTAGTAGCCTTAATTTTTTGGATACAAGGAGTGAAGCAGAACAGATCCATGTTTGTTCTGCTCTCAGGCTTTATAATTCATATACTTGGCTTAAAATGGCCACAGAGATAGTCACTGCAAAATTTCAATATTGCAAAATTTGGGCCATTTTCAAGTAATGCCAGGCCCCAGTTTATCCCCCAATTTCAGGGGTGGTATTTATGAGCCACCTCTCAGCCAATCGGCACAACAGACTTTCCTGGACATATATACTTGTTCAAAGATGGGTTCATTATGACTCAATCACAGAATGAGAAGTGATAAAAAATTCTGCTAGGACTTCTGAGTGAGTCTCTTGTTTTTCCTAGGAGTAGAATTTGGGAGAATGTAAAGTCTGCAGCTGCTACAGCCATCGTGAGACCACATGTGGCCTGAGAATGGTGTTAATACTGAGAAAGTTGAGTTAAGAGAAGGAGAAAAACAGATTGGGTCCTTTGAGCCCTGTATCAAGATGCACAAGATGTCAGATTTATTTGTGGATTATTCATTTACAAGAACCAATGAGTTCTCTATTTTTGCTTAAGCTAATTTAGGCTTGGACTGAAGAATCCTACTTATATAGTCCCTGTGCCTTAATTTAATTTAGCTTTTGTGTCTTGAATTCAAGTTCCTCTAGGCCTGAGGCCTGCCTTCAGCCTAATAGTGAAGGTCTTAACCAGTTCTTTCCTGACCTGATCTCCCTCATGATGATCAGCTATGGTGCCTTGCGATGCCCTACCTTCCCAGAACTCAGTCCATTCAACTGGATGTTCCAAAATGGGACACCTGATCCCTTCCCAGTGATCAATCCCTTCACTGGAGCCCTGGAATAACGGCATCTTTCATAGATTTCTCAGGACAAATACCTTAGGAACATACTAATTAGTTTGTCTCTCAGAGACCACAAGCACATGTATGCTTCTCCCTGCCTTTATGCATTTCTCAAATTCTGAAGTTTCTTTATTCAGGTTTAACTAATCGTCCGAGTAACACCAATGTGATGTTTTTTGTTGTTGACCTGAGAGATGGAGTTTTTTGGGGGATGGAGGTGGGAGTATTAATTGGTACAATCTTTCCGGAAAATGAGTTGGCAATAAAGCCCAATAATTCCTTAAACATATTAATGGTCTTTGACCCAAAAATTCCATTTCTAAAATATCCAGTAAAAAACTAATATAAAAAAGTAAAAAGCTTTTTGCACAAATAAATTTATGGTAGAGTTATTTATAAGGGCAAAACATCTAGAAATAACATAATGCACAACAATAGAACTTTTTTTTTTGCAAATAAGGCTACAGATAAAAATTGGAACATACTAGAGACTTTAAGAATAAATATACTTTTAAAATGCTCATAGATCTGGTAATTCCATCCCTAGTAATCTATTTTAGGATAATAAACCAAAATATAGACAAAAACATACATGCAGAGGTTGAGAAATTATTCATAAGGTAGAGAAACAAGAATCAAGTTAAATATCCAACATTATTGACATGGGAAAATATTTCTGCTGTAATATTAAGTGAAAAATCAATAGAAAATTTTATATTCTATATGATCTCAACTATGTAAAACAAAATTATACATGCAGAGAAAAAAAGCAAAGAAGTAAATGTGCTAAAATATTAAATAGTCATTGCCTCTGGGAGATAACTGATATTTTCATCACTATAAATTTTCTGTGTTTCTCAAAATTTGTACAATGAGCATGTGCAATTTTTTAATAGAGAAAGTGATGATAAAAAGATGGTGTGTAAACTACATAGCAACATGGAGATTGTTTATGAAATAATGTTAAGTGAAAAAAGATGTATATAAAACTTACTGTGATTGCAATTATGTAAATATGTTTCTGCATATAGACAAGAACTAAAAGGGAAAATGTAAAAATAGAATTCGATTTTGTATTGTGCTAAGGTTGTGGGATTAGGAGTAATTTATTTTTCTTCTCTAAAGATGATTTTAAAGCTGTTTTAATGATGTGTATGCAGTTTTTGAAACAGCCCCTCGGCTGTTAGACCACTATACTGCTAGACTGGCTCTGCAGGTCTCATATTGGCTCTGAAAATGGCCATAAGGCAGTATCTAGTTTGGCCTCTCTTGTTCCCTTAGTCTCAGAAGGGCTGAGTTCAAATCATAGGAGACTTTAATTAGAGAAAAAGCCCAGAGTTGTCATGTACTGGGAAGCAGGATCAGTCCATCACCATCTAAAATAGGTATTGCTTTAACAAGGTTAAGAGGGGATAAAGAACTTTGTGAATATTTGCAGTACGGAATAAACCTAGCTGTGATTTTTTTCTGGAAGTTTCTATCATATTTTAGGAAATCAATTGTATCTTCAGAACACAGCCTCATTAGTGAAAAAAACCCAGTGACTATCATGTCCCTGACATTCTAGGCTTTCTTTATGCCTAGAAAAGTGGGTCAGCTTGAATTCTGTCTGGGGAAGAGGACTGAAAGGGATAATATCACAGATGAAGTGATATTTCTATGCAGCAGTGAAAAAGACAAAGGATTTAGAATACGATTTAGATTTGAATCCTGATTCCATTACTTATTAATTGTGTTCACGTGGACAGTTCATATAATCTCATAGCAGCTTGTTTTGCTTCTCTGCAAAACAGGAAAGATAACTGCCTTATGGTATAACAGGGAGATTTATGTGGAAAATATATATAAAGGGCTTAACCTAGCTCTGACTCTGAGTAGACATTCCTAAATGCTTTTCCTTTAGTTTACTCCACCAAATATCTATAACAATTTGACAAGATGGACAACATAATTCCATGAAGATAGAATAGTCTTCTCAACAAATAGTTCTGTGAAAACTGGCTGGCCACATGCAAAAGAGTAAAGTTAGACTCCTACCTTACATAATATAAACACATTAACTCAAAATGGATCTAATACCTAAATTTAAGAGATAAAGCTATAAAATTCTTAGAAGAGAGCATAGGTATGGGCCGGGTGAGGTGGCTCGTGCCTGTAATCCCAGCATTTGGGAGGCTGAGGCAGGCAGATCACAAGGTCAGGAGATCGAGAACATCCTGGCTAACACAGTGAAACCCCATCTCTGCTAAAAATACAAAAAATTAGCCGGGTGTGGTGGCAGGCGCCTGCAGTCCCAGCTACTCAGGAGGCTGAGGCAGGAGAATGGTGTGAACCCGGAAGGTGGAGCTTTCAGTGAGCCAAGATCGCACCGCTGCACTCCAGCCTGGGTGACAAAGTGAGACTCTGTCTAAAAAAAAAAGAGAAGAGAGCATAGGAGTACATTTTGAACCTTGGGTTAAACAGTGGTTTCTTAGATATGATATAAAAATCATAAACAGCAAAAGGAAAAATGGATAAACTTCATCAGAATTAAACTTTTTGCTTCAAAGAACAACAATAAAGAAGTGAAAAGACAGCACATAAAAATGTAAGAAAATATTTACAAATCATACATCTGATAAAATAGTATCCAGAATATATATTCTGAAAACCTCTTAAATGCAATAAAAAGACAAATATAGTCCAATCAAAAATGGGTAAAGGCAAATAATTAGAATAGACATTTCTCCATAGAAGTAATACAAAGGGCCCATAAGCACATGAAAATACATTTGTTATCATTAGACATCAGAAAAAATGCAAATTAAAGCCACAATGAGATACCACTTTACACCCATTAGGATGTTTGTAATAAAAAGATAGATAATAACAAGTGTCAGAGAGGATGTGGAGAAACTGGAACTGTCCTCCACTGATGATGGGAATATAAAAGGTGCAATGATTTTGTCAAGCAGTTTGGCAGTTTCTCAAAATCTTTATTGTAAAGTTTACCATATGACTAGCAATTCCATTCCTAGGTACATATGCAAGATAATTAAAAACATCTGTCCACACAAAAACTTTTGTGCAAATGTTCATAGCAGATTATTCGTAAAATCCCCAAATGGAAACATCCCAAATGTCCAATAACAGATGAATGAAAAAATAAATTGTGGTGTATCTAATGTAATACTATTTGGCAAGAAAAAGGAATGAAGTATGCTGATACATGCTACAACATGGGTGAACCTTGAAAACACTGTGGTAAGTGAAAAAAGCCAGTCACAATAGGCCATATATGGTATGATTTGATTTATATAAAATGTCCACAATAGGCAAATCCATAGAGACAGAAAGTTATAACAGCGGTTGCCAGGGGTCAGGAAAAGGAGAAATTGAGAATGACTGCCAGTCGGTATGGAGTTTATGTTTGGGGTGATGGCAGTGTTCTGGAACTAGGTAGTGGTAATGGTTGCACAACTGTGTAAATATGCTGAAAACCACTAAATTATCACTTTAATGAGGATTTTATGGCATGTGAATTATATCTCAATAAAGCTGTTATTAAAAAAAGGTATGACCAGCACTTTTAACTTGGTGGGAATATAAAAATCTTTCTAAAAGTATGATAAAGTATATTAGTCATTGAAAAATATTCATGTCATCCTCATTGCAGTGCACTTCCCTATGGGAAGATTGCACATATCTACCCATTTGAATTTATGGTCATATGACCATAAATTCAAATCCTTGCTTTGATCAAGGATATTTAGGCAGAAGTGACGCCTTCTAAGAGTTTTTAAGGGGAGAGTCGTGGCTCCTCATCCCTCCCTTTTCCCTCTGTCACAATGACTAACATGGCAAATGCTAGGCCTCCCCACAATCCAACCTATTTTCCCAGCTTATTATTTCTGGATGTGTTGAATAACTTCCAACTGGCAACACCTGCAAATCCATCCCGAAGGTTTTCTCTGACCCATTGGAATCTGGTCATTGCATACATTGAGCAGATCAGAAGTGTCAGGGAATCAACACCTCCACCCTCTCTCCTGCTCCTTTGTCCCTGAGAAGTATAACTATGTAGCTTATTTTCCACACTGGTTCCATGGGCTCTCCAGTGGGATTAAGTCCCAGTTGCCCTCTGTGGTAGCTTGCTTGATAATGAATCTTTCTCGGCTTTTTTTCTTTTCCTGTCTCACTTCCTCACTCCTCTACCAATGTCTCTGGGATCACCTCCAATTTGCACTAAAGTCTTTGTGTAAAGGTCTGCTTCTTAGTGAACCCCAACTAAGACACCCAGTGATATTACAAATAGAGGATGACTGTTCCGCCTGGCTGCTAGAACACAAAAGATACAAAGCATAACTGGCTGCAGTCCAAAAGGGACATGTACCAAGAGTGAATAAGCCTTTGCTTTTTAAGCTTTTGCAATTTGATGTAATTGTTACTTCAGTGTCACAACTAGTGAATGATGTATACCTCTCCTCAGTAATTCTTATTCTAGGAATTTTTCCTAAAGAAATAGTTAGAGATATAGACCAAAATTTTTATATAAGAATGCTCACCGTGGTGTTATTTGTAATGAAATAATTGGAGACAACAACAGTAATAATATACAACAATAGGGGAATTAAAAATAGAATAGAATGCTTTTTAGCCATATAAGATTCCCTCTTAGAGAATATTAAATAATATTGGAAGATGTTCACACTACATTCGAATAACAATAGTTTATATGGTATCATTCAAATTTCATTTTAAAAATTATATCTACAACTGTGTATACTTGGACAAAAAATAAGTCTCTCTCCTCAGTCTGCTGGTAAGGATTTTACCTGGACAGGAAAAGAATACGGTACTTCCTCATATTGCCTCCCTTCTACTGACGAGGTTATAGGAAAATCAACTTTCTAAAAAGTAAAGAAGAAACTGTAGTTGAACTTCTGGGCCAAACGACTAAATAAGTTCATATTTCAATAAGCCCATTTATTCCCATCAAATAGTAATATTGGATAATATGTGAAAAAAGAAATGAAACTATATTGTTGGGCTCCATTGTGGGAGACATCACCACAAAGCTCAAATGTACAGAAATGCAAAAGGGTAAGTGGTTCTGGGGCTACTGGCTAGCTGAAATCTGAATGTAGAAGAAGACAGTAGCAGTTGGACGTCTGCCTCCTATGGGATAAGGGAGACTAAAAGTACACTACAGGAGATGGGAATCAGAGATAAGCTTCTGCTTAGAGCAAGGACCTTGGGTGGGGCTCTCCTGTCATGAAAGGAGCCTAGAAAAAAAGGCTGCTGCATAACTTTTGGGAGATAGCTCTCATCCATTGTAGGTATAGAGAGGTGAGGAATATAGACTCAGGAACCAGATGCAATGGTTCTGTTAACTTTTTGTCATTGAATCTGCAATATACTCAATATTCCCCAGGTCCTATACTGAAGATGTGGGTAGAGGCAACTGCAAAAACCATCACACAGGGAGATGTGAACACAGTGGGAGTTTGAGGGGTGAGAAAAGAGAAAACCAGAAAATTTCCTTCTCAAAGTGATCTTACAAATTAAAATTTCAAAACACATGAAGAAATCGAATGCTAAAAATGATACTAAACAAAATCAACAATTGGAACTTGAATTTCCTCCAGATGAAACTTATTTTATGGAACAAAGATTTTAAAATAAGCATATTGAGGATGTTCAAAGAAACAAATGAAGACATTAAAACTGAACAAGAAATTATGAAACAGAACAGGCAGAAATAAAACAAGAACAGGTGGGTATGAATAAAATTAGAAATCTTGGAAATGAAAAAACATAGTCATTGAAATATTGAAAGAGACAGAAAAAAATCTAGACTAGACATGGTCAAAAGTGAATTTATAAATGCAAGTTACTTGTGAGGAATTCAAAATCAGTGCAGTAAGACAAAAATAATAAAAGTTATGAAAAATCAATTAAGAACCATGGAGGGCTGCTTAATAGCATCTAGCATTTGTCCAATAGAAATTGTTGAAGAGAGTCAAAGGAATAAAGGATAAAAGCAATATTTGAAGAGTTAATTTGCCAATAATTTCCCTAAATTAAAGAAAGACATAGAATCTTAAGTGAAAAGTATACTCAGAGTATCAAGCAGGATAAATAAAAATAAATTCACATCTAGACCCAACAAAGTGAAAAGGCAAAACATTCAGATTAAAAAATAATATTGAAACCTGCCCAAGAAAAAAATAGGTTACCAAAACAATTATATGATGGCAGACTTCTCATCAGCAACTATGGATCCCAGAAGACAATGAAAAAATAGGCATACTTCTCCACTGTGAATTCTACTGCTGTTGCATCCTCTATATGGGAATGCAAGACAGGCTTTCCCAGTGACTTTCCAGACCTTTTACCATAATGCAACAACTATCATCTATAAGTCTTGGTACTCATCAATATTTTCAACTCCAAATAGATCAGTTTCATTCTGACACCCAATGACTATGCCTCCTTTCAGCAGGGAGTAGCCAGAATGAATATGGTGACAACCAAATCCCAACAAAATGAAATGGAACTTGGCAGTGGAGAACTGATTGTAATGGTGTGCCCCCATTTTCCTAAGAGATAGTTTATTTTTCTCTCTCTGTCTCTTCTTTTCTCATTTCCCTGGTTTCCTACTTCCTACTTAGCCCTGTAGAAATGCAAATATAATATTTTACCACCCCTTCACCAGACACTCTTTACAGGGCAAATTTATCTAACTATGTGCCTAGAAGCTCCAACAAGGAACTCCTTCCCACCAGGAGACTGCCTTGAGAGATCACAGTTGATTCATAACTCAAAGTCCCACTATAAAACTCTCTCCCACCTGGGGAGTTTTCAGCCTACTGCTGCCCATGAAGGCACAAGCAGTCACCAGCTCAACTGCCCGGTTGATAAGGCACCAGAGCTAGCACATGGACCTCCCCAACCTGCTCACTTCCTCCCCTGCGTGCCATTCTCCTTTAAAAGTGCCGGCTTCTTCCCCTAAGATAGTTTTGGGATTAAAAGTCACTTTAAAAAATTTTTTATATTTTTTTGACAGGACTTACTTTGTCATTCAGGCTGGGTGATCTCCGCTCACTGCAAGCTCTGCCTCCCAGGTTCACGCCATTCTCCTGCCTCAGCCTCCCGAGTAGATGGGACTACAGGCGCCCGCCACCACGCTCGGCTAATTTTTTGTATTTTTAGTAGAGACAGGGCTTCACCGTGTTAGCCAGGATGGTCTCTATTTCCTGACCTCGTGATCTGCCTGCCTCAGCCTCCCAGTGTGCTGGGATTACAGGTGTGAGCCACTGTGCCCAGACTAAAAGTCACTTTCTTTATACCAGACTTCATTTTTGTTAACTGGACTCTGCAAATGGCAAGTGACTGAACCTGCATTTTGGTTACATCACTACACATATACATCACTACTGCATTTTGGTTACATCACTATCCCCAAAATGTACTGCTGTTTTGCATGCTTTTAAGCTTATATAAATGGTATTATGCTCCAAACAAAGAAAAAATCCTTAAAGTTCAAAGGAACATCCTCCTCAAACTCAAATTTATACCCAGCCAAGTTATCATTCCAGACAGAAGTCAAAACAAGAATATATACAGATTAAGAGGGTTACCATGGACTCTCACTAAAATAGCTATTAAAGAATGCACTTTGGTAAGGTAATATAGGAAAGGCTTGATATACAATAAACAAAAGAATGCAAAAATTCATAAACTATGTAGGAAAAGTCAATGAGCTAATAATAATAATACATTGTTTTCCTTTTTCCAAAAAGTTTAACTTAGTCTAAACAAGAATAACTAGGTGACAGTGTTCAATAGGTGGTTAAAGCATGTAAGGCCTTTATGTGGCTGAAAGAATGCTAGAAAGTCGCAGTAACTGTAGACTTTGTTGTAAGAAAATGTATAGCTAAGTACATACCCACATATAACCAGTTAAGGTTAGAAATAAAATAGATAGCATCCAAATCCACAGAGAATGCAATAAAAAAGGTAACATATAAAAATGTTTAAAAGGCAGAAAAGAAATAAAGTGAATGATAAACAGAAAACACAAATATGGTGGTAGAAATATGTCTAAATATATTAGTTATTATAATAAATGAAAATACATTAAATTCACCTGTCACAATATAAGGATTATTATACTGTATTTTAAAAATTTAATTGTTGCTTTCAAAAGATAAGCATGAAAGGCAAAGGTCCAAGGGTATTTCCCCATAAATTATTAAGATGATATGAAAATTAGAATTTATTATAAATAAGACAATGTTGAATCGATGCAGAATTAAGCGTGGTAGGCCAATGCAATAGTATCGAGAAGAAAATAGATTTTGTATATAGTAAAATTGATAGATGACAGATGTGTAATTACTAATGGGTAGAAATATAGACTAGTGGTTTATGGTGCTGAGACAATGGGTTATCCATACACACACAAAAAAATAAATTCCTATTTCATATACAAAGATCAGTCCTAAATGAGACAAGTAAAGACCCAAGTGTGACACAAAACTTGAGAAATTTTAGAAGTAAATACAGGAGAATACGATATTTAGATAGGGAGGATTTCTTAAATAAGCCACAAAAGTAAAGCCTATAAAACAAGAGATCGATAAATTCAACTACATAAAAAAATTTTTTAAAACCTCGCATATATCAAAACACATCATGGAAAAAATTTAAAAATACAAGCCATAGTCTGGGAGAAGACGTTTGCAATGTATATAAGTGACACAGTACTGATACTCAGAACAATAAACTCCTAAAAATCAATAAAAAGAGACAACCCAATAGAATACAGATAAAGGATATGAAAAATCAATTCACAGAAGAAACCAAAGTGGACAATAAAGATATAAAAAGATGCCCTATCTCATTAGTAATTAGGGAAACATATATTATAACAGCAATAAGATACCATTTCATGTTCATCATGACAACTGGCAAAATTTATAAGTCTGACAATTTCAAGTGTTAAGGCTGCAGAGGAATGAAAACTCTTACATTCTGCTATTGGAAGAGTAAATATGTTCAATTACTTTGGAAAACAATTGGTCATTATGTAGTTAATTTGAAGATGCATATAATTAATAAATCATTTTCCCTAGAGAAATTCTCATACTCATACGTAAAGAGACATGCACAAAAATGCTCTAAGCAGCATTATTTGCAATTGCAAGTGGCTATAAATAACCTAAATTCTGATCAATACAATGGATAAATTGTAATTCAATCATATATGGAATATCTAACAGCAATTAAAATAAATGAAGCAGAGCTATGTGTTTCAATATAAGTGAATCTCTACAATATAATCATGAGTAGGGAAAAAGTCATAGAATGACATTGATAGTGTGATACCACAGGAATTTGTAAAGCAATACCAGTTACATTTTTTGATACAAAGATAAGGAAAAACATTGAATTCATGACAGTGCTTACCTGTAGGGTGAAGGGACAAAGATGTATTAGGAAGGAGTATAGAATAGTCTCAGTTACATTTATAATTTTCGTCCAAAAATAGGTGACTCTGGCATATAAGACACATGTTGATATGACAAAGCCAAGGGGTTGGCATGGGGGCAATAAATGGCTGTTCATTATATCGCTACTCTTTTCTGCATATTTGAAATTATTCACAATAAACAAAATAAGACTTTAAAGAAGGTATCAAGCAGATTAAGGCTTTCAAATTCCTGGTCAGCATTTCAGAAGGCTCCCAGTCTATGACTGGCCACATCACACTGCAGTTCTGTTGTTGAAGATGGTCTGGGGAGGAGTTCAGACAAGCCAGTACCTCCTACTGGCAGCGCAAGAAAGGTAGCAAGTTGATTCCTAGCTGCTGCAGCTCCTGGTGAGATGTAGAATGGGGGTGAATTTGATAGCACAAGATAGTGAATGAAAGTCCTTTTGACATGGAATAGAGTCATCCAGATAATAGCATGATCCAATGGTGCTTCCTAACCTTTCTAAGTCATGGCACACATTGATAATATTTGTCTGACACATTGGAGTGGAAGCTACCACCTAGGGGGCTTCAGTTGCGCTAGGTCCTACCTGTGTCCCTGAGAGCTGAGTGAATCGGTATCTCACAATATCACACAAGTATAGCCCATTTGCAATACACCAGTGTGCCACAACACACCTTTTGGGATGCCCTGGCTCAGAATTTATTCTTTTCACATCTAAGAGGAGGGATAATAATGAACCACTCAAAACTCCGGCAGTGCTGATTTTTTTTTCAATCCCAAAGCTGTCTAAATGGACTGTACTAAAGAGTCACACCTACTTTGCTTGCATTTGTGAAGTAGTAATTAGGAACAGAAAGAGGTTGTACAAAAGAAATGCACTTAACAGAGCCTGAAGATTTCCCCCTAAAGCAACTGAAGACAGATCAACAACTCTCTCCAATTCATACTTAGCTATCATATCAGGGTGTGACCTGATAAACTCAGATGTGGAAGCAGGCAATATGGACAGTGTATTGTGGAGTAGAACAGGATGCAATTAAAAGCAATTAAACTGTATCGGACATAGATAATCCCTCACCACCACCTTAGGAGGAATTGGTAGGTCATACAAGTGAGCCACTCTAGTCATGTCAGCCCAGGATTTGGAATTTCTATATATGTTAATCATATATATGTTAAATGTAGATCATTCTATGGAATAGAGTAAACTTTTTTTGAACTAATTCTATCTTTATTCTTCAGAAGTCTCAAGCTCAAAGAGTTCTGTCAGGTATAGAACTATAGTAAGGTCACCCAAACTAGTGGCTGCACCTTACAGTTGCAGTCACTTTTTTATACCCTAGTTATGTAGACCAGATAATTGCTAGGATAGTGACTACAGAGGGCAATATCTCAGTCTCTTTGAAAGTGAGGCACTGGCCCATGGATACAGCATGGTAGGCTTTGTGGAGGGAAGGGCTGACAGAGTTCAGCCATGCTGGTTACTAATATATTGAAACATATCCAAATGTATTGGTAATTAGTCATCCCCTGAGACCCACAAACCTGCCGTATGACCACTGTGCCACACTAGCTCCTCCTCCAGAACCCCAACTCCCCACAGTCCAGTAACCAAAGTGTTAATGCCTAGCATAGCAGATGGCTGTTAAATATTTTGAATATCACCCATGGATGAAGATAACCACCACATCAACTCTCAAATGCTCACTAACCCTGCTGGCACCATCATCCCCATGATCATAAGACAGAACAGTACCTCTTTTTGTCCAACTTTGCCTTAAGTTTCCAAACCAGAGTAAAATACCTCTCTGAAAGAATTAAACTGCTCAGCCTCTTCTAGGCCAGATGTCAGCTATAGAGGGGAAAAAAGACCTTTTAATCCCATGGTCATGGTCACAGCTTTTTGGGTGGACCTGACCTTCCCTTAAAAGTGAGAGACAAAAGTTATCTTGACCCTCTACACAGCCAACCAAATCTGCTCACTTTCCCAGACTGGCCCAATCTTATGAGCCATCCTCCCTTCATTCTATGGCACCTTCCAAGCAGATTCTCCATTCCACATGATTCTAAAACTTATTTCTCAGGGACTGGGAGACTTCCTTGACACGTGGGTCCAATGAGTGATTTGGAGAGAACTTGACCCTAGAATATGCAGCAACATCCAGAGTATCAGCCCTGCCACCCATAGTCAAGAGGAGGCAGCACAGGGCTGGCAGGGAGAAAATAAACTGCCTGTGGAGCAGAGGGTAGGGGAGGAGAAGAATCATTCATGGTGCAAGAGTTCTGCCGTTCATTCAGGGAGCCAAAAGAGAAGGGCAAGAATTGCATTTGGATAGGCAACAAGGCATCATTCAAGAAATAAGGGAAAAGCAAAGGCAGAAGGGCCACGCCTACTCACCAGGGCTGGTTATCGTCAGGAGGTCAAGCTTTCGTTGTTGCTGCAAAAGAAAACACACTGTGAGGGCACTGATTTGAGCCAGAGCCAAAATTGTGCTTAGCAGGTCAGGGCGGACAAGCAAAGAGGATGTTGGGACATACTGCAGGGTAAATCATACGGAATGTGGTACTCACTTCCAATTCTGCAGAGAGGGTTTGTACCCTAGAGACAAAGGGGGATGGATGGGCTTTTTGTTTGTCTTTGGAAGCGTAGGTGGTTAGAGCTTAGAGGTCTCTCAGACAAATTATACCATACTTATGGAAAATGAGGCCCTGAGCAGAATGTGGCTCACCTAGAGCCACAGAGAAGGTCCCTTTCCAGTTTCCCAGTCATGGGCTCATTCTTCTGTACCAGATAGCTTTAGATTTCCCTTTGCTTATACTGGCTGCACTGGTTGAGTGTCCGATATATTGGCAATGCTCTTTGCCTTGAGTGCCTGTTGTACTGCCACCCTCCAGATACTTCTTTTTAACCAAGATATTTCTAGATTGGTTTCATTCTTAAGTCTGCTCATAATACTATAACAATTTCAATTAGTGATGACCAACCATTCCTTTTCTAACTGAATCCTTATCCTTTTTTACCACACAATATTCACACAGAATAATATTTGTCTAGCACACTAGGCTATAGGGATGAGGCAGCTTATGTTTGGAAGCAACTGGCCTTGGATACCCCAAAGCCTGAGGTGATCAATATCTCAAAAGGCCTGTTCCCTATTACAGCACAGCTACTGTCCTAGACTGGATGCCATGAAAACCTGAGGGTAGAGAAGTGGGTACAGGAGGCTGCAGCTGGTGAAGTGGTGAGCAGCCCTTCTAAAGACTTGAGTCAGGGTTCCTTAAGTCCCAGTCCTCCTGCTGACCTCTTTCTCTTTCCTACACTTGATTTTCCCTAAATAGTATTGGAAATCTCTGTTTCTGTTTTCTTAAAAGAGGTCCAAACAAATTCCATTTTGAGAGTCATTGCTCTAGATTACAAATTGCAGGAGCTTTCAATCACCTAGTATTTTGTGCAGTGGAGGCCTTGCTATATTTTACCTCCCCTGCATTTCCCTCTTTATCTTGCCTCTATCCAAGAATGGCTTCCTAAAATTCTGCTTAAGCAGAAAGGGGAAGGCAGAAACATTTTAAAATACTAACTGTGGTCAGGCACAGTACTAAGTACTTTGATGTATCAATTTTTTTCATACTCCTGGCAATTGTACAGGAGAGAAGGACATGATATTTAGAGGGGAGAAACTGTCTGTCCAAGACATCTTCATTAAATGGCAGGGTCAGGATTAAAATTTAGTCAGTTCTGATTCTGACTCTAGAGTCCAAAATATGGCAATGAATATAAATAATCTAGCATGATGCCTGGTACTTAAAAGGTTCTCAATAAAAAGATCTATGCAGTATTGATGTTGTTATTATTACAGAACATCTGATCCTTGGTTTATGTAAGATGGCTCTTACTTTTTCATGAATTTTACTTATTTAAAGTTCAGAGATTTGACCTGCCACGTGGGCAGGGACCCCCTAAATGTCCCCACCAATTGTATAAACTGCTTCTGTTTCATCTTCTTTCTTGGTAGAGAACCCACTACTTTTTTTGGTTAGACAGGTCTACTTTGAGCAAGGTTAAAAGCTGCTTCCTGATGACACAATCACTGTTTCTAGCTACTTCAGTCCATGACAATAGTTTGGAGAGCTGATGAAGATCTGTGTTGTCTTCTCTCCAGTCTAAATATTCCCAGGTCCTTTGTCCTTTACTCATAAGACCTGGTCTCAAATCTCCCTCTCCTCAGGGTCACCCTCCTTCTTCATTAACTTTGATCTGTTTCAGTCAAAATCTCTGTAAGATTTCTCTACCCCTTGCTTCAATGACTTCTCATGTACCTAAAAGGAGGTCCAGATCCCTCCAGTGCCTTCTCAAACACACATACCTGTTTTCCTGCCAACTCATAATTCATTCCAGTTGACACTTTCAAGCAAACAATGCAACTCTAAGATGTCACTAATCTACACAGTAAGAACATATCCTAGCACTGATATGAAACACCCACCCACGCATGTGGGCTAGAAGGAACGCTGGAGCCAGACCTTCTTCCTTCCCTAACACGGAACCAGGCCAGTGGGACATCTGGCTTAAGCTGCCTTTGCCAAGGTCAACCTATGTGGCTTGGCACTTTCTTCATACATAAGGGAAGAATCCATCATGTCCTTTTTTCATACACTTGACTTTGTGATGATCACAGTTGGTGAAGATGGCCTATTTGTCTGAAATGTATTTTTTTCTAATTAAGAACTATTGCTAAACGGCAACTCTGTGCCTAGGATTCTTTAAAGAAAAAAGGGAAGAAAAGCTGACAGAGTCAGACAGGCCTGGGCTTGTGTCCTGGCTTTCTGTCTCTGGCCTCAAACTTGGCAACTCTAAAATGAGCAAGTGAGACTGAAATGCCATCAGTGACTGGGAGCCAAACGCAACCAGGTAGTGTGCTTACAGGCTCCCTCTTCTGGTGTAGAACTCCCTGAGAACCTGTAGCCAGCACACTGGGGGCTCAAAGGACAGAGTCAGATTTTAAAAGGGACCACATTTTCAACTATCCTCTCACATTTTAATTTTCTGTGCATGTATCAGTCTTTCTCACTAGATGAGGAGCATCTTAAGGGCCTAGAACACCTATTATTAATTTTAGTAAAATCAGTACATGTCACAGAGTACCCCTCAGTAAGTATTGGCTGAACTCAACTGAACTAGTCCCCAAATCCACAGACATTATCCTTTCAAACCTCCATGCCTTTGCTTATGCTATCATCTCTGTCTACCCTCTTGAAATCTTCCTGAAGATTTCAACCTTCCTGAAGATTTCAACCATGGAAACCTCAAGATTTCCATGAAGTCTTCTTTGAACACCACCTCCCAAACCTAACCACTTTATCTCCCTTCCTCAGAACAGAATTTCACACTTTGTTCTTCCAATGCATCTTGCAAAGCCTATCTCACTAGGATCCTCAAGTAGGATCCTAGTGAGAAAGACAATGAAGACAGTATCATGTACTGTCTTCCTTGTCTGTCTTTGTCATGTACTGTCTTTCTCACTAGGAGAAAGTATCATGTACCGTCTTCATTGTCTGCCTTTCTCACTGATCCTACTTGAGGACAGGGCTATGTCATTTCACCTCTGTGTCCCCAGTTCCCAGAACAAAGGTCTGGAAGGAATGTTTGATGTCATCTAGCTCAAATAAATGTTTCAACTATGCTGTTATGCCTCTGCAATGACCCTGTTGATTAGGAATTAATCAGCATGGAGAGTAAACATGCTCTTTCTTTTCCAAGACTTTTCCCCTGCTACATCTTTGGGGTTCTTTGCCTTTAAGATTTTGCTCCTGCCATGTCTGTAGCCAGGAATACTGTCAATCCATCTCCTCTGGGAGGGTTTCCCTTCTTTACTGTTGCCCAGAGCATTACTATCTCTCCCCACTCCTACAGCTCCTACTGTCTGTACCACCTCTGTGGTGATAAATTAACACTAACCTGGTGATAAGCCCCTTTAACCCACCGATCACTGACATATGTGTGCACCACCTAGTGGCACAAGCAGATATGCGTAGGCTGTTGTTTTAACCTCTAGCTCTTAAAACAGGATTACAAAACCTGCATGTTCTAGGTGCAAACGAAAACAAAAGTGTATGTTCCAGAATGACTCTGCAACAATTTTTAGCTAAGAAACTGGAATATTTAAATAATTCCCTCAAAGTCATTCAAAAATAAAAGGACTGAAATGAAGTGAAAATTTTCCTTACTAGTCTACCAGGCACAATCATTTGAGATTGCCAATGAAAACTATGTGGCATTTGTAAAAATAGAGCACATGGTTTATAGAATTTGACCAATAATGTACAATCAGCCATATACAGAGAGGGGCATGTTGGACATAAAGAATTACCAAATTATTATAATTGGTTGCCAACTGAGAGAGATAAGAGCCTTTAATATGGATGGTAGGATAGGGAGGAAATGAAGCCAGTAAGGTAGGTGGCAGGTTTAATAGGCAGACAGGGCCTGATGACTCTTGAACCACTTTCTGACCAAAAGCTACAGTCTAAGGAAGGCAGAGCCTTCACATGTGTAGTAGTGGTTGTGTGTGTGTGTGTGTGTGTGTGTGTGTGTGTTTGTGTGTGTATGTGCGTTTGGGGTCGGGGAGAGGACATTCATCTCAGACAAAGAAGTTCCACATTTGGATGGAGGAGAATGCATCCAAGTGTGCCTGTGTGGGATTCTATGGACTACTGAAGGAATGTGGGTATGCCAGCGTTGGATCAATCAGGAGTAGATATGTGGACTCCTGGCTGTGTATGACCCCTGCATCCAGCCTTCCCTGATAAACATGGTGCCCCATGGACATTCAGAGGAAACCAATTTCTTTGCTTAACCACTGTGTGGTGAATGCTGAGTATGACCTCATAAGGACAATGGAGGGTGGGGATTCTAAGGTCAGCAGGAGTAACCTCTGAATTGGGTATCCAGGGATTGCCAGAGTGTCTATAGTGGATGCTTGAGGAATTGTCCACCAGCACCCTTGCTCCAGGAATTATCCATTATTCCCCCATGCATCGAGTGAATGCTGTTATATTAGTACCATGTCACCCCACCTCTAGTCACAGTGGACTTCTCCAAAGGTAGAAGTCCTAAAAGCTGGGCTAATTAGACACCTTACTCAAGAACTTTGGACCTTTTCTGGATTCAATTATTCTCTCTGAAAACTATAGTTGTCCTAAGTTAAAGAACCTATCTTTAAAATTTTCATAATTATGAAAATCACACATGCTGATTTTTGTCATTTTCCAAATTTCCAGAAAATTCAGAGTAAAAGTAGAAAAATTGCTTTGAGTCAACTGCAACCAAGAACTGGGAATATTTCCAGAAAATTCAGAGTAAAAGTGAAAAGTAATGAAATCCTACCACTGAAAGAGAACCATAGTTAATATTTTGGTGTATTTTCTTATCATCTTTCTCACTATGTGTATATATTTAATGATATTGTATTTATATATAATAAATGAAGTACAAGTCTAATCCTGTGCAACATTATGTTCATATAATTTTTCATCCCAGGCTGCATCTTTGTTTTGAAGTAGGAGAGTGTAAGTCACATATATTTATGGTCATAGCTAATACATTTGATCTTACAACTGTGATTTTGTTTCTAATCTTTTTCTTTTCAGGGAAGGTAGCATTAATCAACAAGATACCAGTAGGATAAACACTTGCTTATTTTGTCACAAGGAGCCAGTTTGAAAAGCCCAGCTACTGCAGCCTACCAATATAGATAAAGCCTTCTGAATCTGGGAGACTCTTCAGGCAATATTCAACTTAGAAGATACTCTTTTATTTTTTCATATCTGAAGCCCCTATGATTGCAGTTACAGAAAGCATTAAAAACAAACAAAACAAACAAACAAACAAACAAACAACCAAGAAAGCATTCTGAAGAGTGCTGGATTCAAAATCAGACAGACAAAGGTGAATTCTGATTCTATAACCTCTGAGCTCTGTTATCCTAGGCAAGTTATTTAAGCTAGCTGGCAATGAGGTACTCAGCCATAAAAAGAGCGTACGCCAACCCCCAGGGGCCTAACAGGAAGGCGAAGCAAAGAGAAAAAGGAAGAATCACTCTAAACGGGGGAGCAACAGGCAGAGTGGGGGAATGCACTGGTTGAATACTAGGATTTCCGAGTGCTGGCTACATCTCTGTGTCACCTCAGGCTGAGCCTTTGGGCTTCTCACTATCTGGTACCTAGCCCTTTACTATGGCCTCTTAAAGCTCTCCCAGTTTCTAGTTTTCTTTCCTACAGGTCATCCTCCACACTGCAGCTGGAGTGAGCTTTCTAGAATGCACATCTTAAAACTCATCAGGATTCCTATAAGACAAAATCTTAGCCTTAGGTGGCTTTTGGAGGACTTCTATAACCTGGCTTTTGCCTTCCATCTCTTGTCCTCTCAGACTCTGAGCTCTAGCTATGATCAACCACTTCTGGTTGCCAAATTTGCCGTGCTTTCGTCATTTGCCTTTGCACATGTTGTTCCCTCTAATTGGAACAACAACCCCATACCCAAACTAGTGAGGAACTGTCTAACTAATTCCTGCTTGTTATTTGGCTCTTAACTCACGCTACCTCTGCTGTAAAGCGTTGCTTAACTTGCCAAGGCTGTGCTAGATCGGGTCCTTCCCCTGTCCTTCCCCATCAGAGCACCATCACATTGTATTTCCGTGACCTCCTCACTCCTCCATCCTCTCTAGTGGTTGTGTGAGTTTCCTGAAGGCAGGCGCTGTGCCCTCTTTATTTCTCTCCTCTCAGGGACTAGCCTAGCACCTGACCAACAGATAATGCTCAATTCAGATTTGGTGATTACTTGCTCCCAGGATGGCAACTAAACAGGGTCCCACTGAATTGGTCACCAAAAGAGGTCTTTAGTTTTACCCCTTGTCTTCCAATAGGCACACATCAACATACCCATACAAAACTCATGCACTACCCCCATAATTTTTGTGAAAACTCTATTTCTGTCTTGGGGACCCAGGAATTGGACCACAGAGAATTTGGCCTTCTTCATCTTGATGGGTAGTTACGAGTCTATGGTTAAAAATTCACTTTTCGTTTTGGTCACGACTGCATTGCAATTACCTCCCAGAATGAGAAGGGACGTGTTGTTCTGGGAGCTCAGTGGCTGGTTTGATGTGTGGGGTTCTGCGTGGTAGAAGAGAATAGTCACTGATTATGTGTTCTGTTTTGCTTTCTGTGTTTCGTGCAAGATAGCTATTTGGGGAAAAGTCAGTCTTTCACAGCATAGACTGGAGATGATTTAAATAAGAACACCAGTAATCCCCAGGCATTCTCCTGTCACTCCAGAAGCCAGCCATCGGGGGAGGACTTGGGGATCAACACTCTCCAGAAACAGGCGCCACAGGGGCATAAGCACACATTTGGCTTCAGGGCTCAAGCCCTTTCCTTTCCTGTAACCCCTCCCTTCTCTGCTCAGTTCATTCCCTCCCCCAGCCATAGTCACTTTCTAGGCATCTAGGGATCCCATGCCCTGCTCCCTGCCCTATCCCCAAGTGTAGCCTGCTTCCTGGATATATTTTATGTGGGACAGGCCTCTCTCCAAACTCACTGCTTCTAATCTCTCTTACTCCAATCTAGCCTCTTCACTGGCTATAGGACTGATCATTCTAAAATTAAATTTGCTCTTTTCTTTGAATAATTTAATGATTCCCATTGCATTTTTGGGAAGACTAGATTTCTTAGTTTGGCATTCAAGGAGGGTGCCAAAAATCTCCACGAGTTGTATGTGTTATTTGAAAAAATAGTTTTTACATTATAATATTTACATCCAAATATTACATACTTGGAAAACAAACCAAAAATACCTATTATTTTCAGAACCAAGTTTCAGACAATAAAGTGGGGCCTGTAATTATGTCAGTCAGTGTGATATGTAGCAGACTGATTCTCATCTGGCTGGAGGAAGGAGTGGGGAGGGGCCAGTTTCCTCTGTGAGGAAAGAGAGCAGAGATCATCGAAATTTGGGAAACACTATCTCAAGGCCCTGAGCTCATGCCCACCCCCAAGCCTTCTATATGCAAGACCATTCTGTGCACCACCACCTTACCTGCTTCCAACCTTGGCTCCTGCCCTTGACAAGATCTTCTTTCTACCTCTCCTTTTGCTGAACAACTGATGGGCAGCATGGCTTTCCCAGATAACACCTTGCCTCAACTCCATGACTCTCCATTTATTTATTTGTTAATTCAACAAATACCAATGAAGCATTTGCTATGTATGTGCCAGGTATCTTGCTGGGGATAGAGTGAGAAAGACACAGCCCCTGCCCTCAAAGAGCTAGCTAGACAGATAGAAGACAGATATGTCAAGCAAATAATCACACAATATGAATTTATTTTAATTGTGGTAAGTGCTCCCAAGAAAAATATGGGAAAAGGTATTCTGATGGGGGTTCAAAGTATCCCTCAAGCTTTACCTTGGTCCACTGACTGATATCTGGATGCCATACCCGATCACCTCTCAACCTCACTGCCTTCAGGGGAAACATGAACAGTGGCTGAGGCTCACCCTCCCTTTCCAGGACCTACCCTCATCAGAATAATAAAAAATGCTTTAGCATGTTACTCAGAGAGAGAGTAGATAAGCGTGGACATCACTCAAAGCTGAAATAAAATTCCACAACTAGGGGTTATAATCCAGTGGGAAGCAGAGTGGGGTAGCAAACAAAACCTCAGCTGCACATGTGAGATTGCTTCAATATATTTTGCAGAGTAGTTTCTGCTCCTGTAACTCTCTTTTATTGGAAAATTCAGGCATGCAAGTGTCTTTCATCCCCAGGGCAACTTAAAGGAGCATCTTGGTTCAGCCTCTGGCGGCCGGCACAAAAGCAGGGCAAGTGGAAATAGAGAGGAGCATATAAAACTGCAAAGACAATTTGCAAGTAGAATTAATAGCTGCTGTGGCTGAAGCAGCTGCCATTTGCTGAGCACTTTGTATGTGCCAATCTTCACAACAGCCGTTTGAGGCAGGTATTGTTGCCCTTTTTTACAAATGAAGAAACTTGCTCAAGGTCACAGCTGCTAAGTGGAAAAACCTACACTCAAACCCATACTGATTGCCTCTGAAGCCTACGCTCCATTAGTCGTGACAGCAGTTAGTTGTGAGGGATGAGGGAAAAATCTTGGCTTATTCGCAGGTTTATAGGCAGAAAAGCAGCATGAATTGCTGTGGGTGACACCACACACCTGGAGCAGCCTCTGCACAAGGGAGTGAAAGAAGCCACAACTCAAGTGTGATCTTTTGTACTTTTCCTCCATAGGGTTCACAATTTGAAATTCTCTATTAACTTGTGTTTATATTTGATTAATGCTATTCTCATTACATTCTAAGCTCCATGGCAAAAGGACAGTGTTTAAGTCTCCTGGCAGTGTGGGCTCTGTCTAGATATGTGTTAGGCGAGTGAATACAGAAACCTCGATCAAGTTCCTAAAGAGGACTGGATAAACAGCTGAAACCCTTACTCCTGCTGGAGAGAAATGAAACATGCCTCATCCTAAAATCTTACACAGTCAGATGGGGGTTGTGCTAGAGGATTTCACTTTCCTTTGCTCTGGAGGAAAGACCCAGGCATCAAGAGGCAGCGAGAGGAAGGCCGTTCCAGTCATGAGTCAGAAGATTACATGCTAGGGCAGTAATTCTCTGCTCTAGCCCTAAAAGGTCATGTGGGGACCTGCAAGAAGAGACTGGTATTTCAAGTGACAGTAGGTTGTGCTCAAAGCTGACAAATGCCCACCCAGTGCACCCATGGGCCCCACAGCATCTAGGCAGTGATTACCTAACATGTCTCATGTTACAGTTAGGTGCTTACATATTGGTCTACCTCTTCTCTCTTCATGTGCCACCCTCTGCCTTCTCTTCCAACATGAGGACCTGAATATTTTTCATATATTGATAGTTTTTTAATACCTGTTCCCTGATAGGGCTTTGAGAAGTTTGTTGCAGATGTGATGTTTTAGCTTATTGACAGAGCAAGTTTCATGATTATAAATTATTTTGATATGTTTTTAATAAGTCACATTTCTTTTTGTGGAATCAAACTTTAGAATTAAGATGTGCCTTTAAGGACTTCAAATGATACTTCAGTGCTATGATTACTCTTCATTATTAAGGAAGTTAAGATGCAGCATGCATGATGCTATCCCAAATCACACACTGCTGGGATGTCAGAGCAAGGGTCTTTGGAGATCCACTAGCCCAACTATTTTAAAGAAAAGTAAACTGAGGCCACAGAAGGAAAGGGATCTGCTCAAAATCACCTGCCATATTGTTCTGTACTGTTTACTTGTTTCTCTCCTTCAGTAGGGTGGACGAAGCAGATTTATGTCTATAATCCAGTGCCTAGAAAAGAACAAATGCCCATAAAAACTTGTCAAAGAAAGCAAGGTAGTGGGGTGTAAGTAGAGGAAGGGGAAATATTTAGTTCGTAATTAGTTCTGGATTCCAAAGTTATGCTATTTATTTGATTCAAGCTGTTTTAACTGAAGATTTACCAAGAGGGCCTCGTTTTAGACATGGTAATTAACGTAGATATAATAAAAGGAAAGAAACCTAGGTTAGCGATGAGGCCCTAGCTACCTTCTGTCTCCAAGAATGGGTCTGTTATGCTTGACATAGTCTTAAGACTATCAGGAAATCTCTCTGAAACACCACATTCTGTTTCTTTACATATTTGATTATTTATAATATACTAATTCCAAAAAAAGAATTTGAAGATCTTACAATAAAAGAAATGCAACAAAATAAAAATAATGCAATTAAAGACATGGAGAAAAAAATAAGGATAGGCAAAATTAGATGATACTAGGTGCAAGGTCATGACTCACAATTCATATCCTTAGTGTCCTTAGGAAGGATATGCTGAGGCCTTTAGGGTGGTAGGACTTGCCCCAGTTCATGTAGTGAAATACCAGCAGACTGAACTCCCCTGTGTTGTTTGAATAAGGATTAGGAGCACAGAGATAGGTGAAATATGGCAGCAGGGAGAGCAATGGTGCCAGAATAAGATGCCCCAGCTCTGGGCCATAGATCAGAGCAAAAAACAGACAACTGGACAAGTCCTAGCTTACACATTCACCAGCACTAAAGCCCTTGAACAAATGACTTCATCTCTCTCTCATTTTCGCATCTCTAAAATGAGGACTAAATGGAATATAAACTGGAATATAACTTCACTCAGAAGTTTCATATTACAAGAAATATTACTATAGTAATAGGATACAATACAAAATTTTCTTTTTAAAGATAAAACATTAAAGGATGAAAGCTTCAGATTTTTTGAGAGTATCAAGGTCAGTCTCTAGTTGGGTGGAAGAGTTTGGAGGCTGTGACTTTTAAAAAGATCCTATCATACTCAAGTAAGTGTTCAATAACATCTTTTTTGGTTCCCATTCTCCTTCAGACTCAGCAATTGTACAAAGTAGCTCACAGCAGCTCCACATAGAACTGTGGTATAGACTGAATGAAATGGATCAGGAACACTTAGAAGCCAGGAGCTGTGTTTTCTGGCCCCAGCTTTGCCACTAACTTGGTGTAGGAATCAACAATTCACCTTCTCTGAACTTACCTCTGCCATACACTGTCTAAGTGACCATGAACAAGTCAGTTAAATACTTTGAAATGGGTTTAACAAAACTCGCCTACGAGTAGAGCAGTTAGCTAAGTGCTTGGAATTTTTAATTCCAAGACCCCTTGTTTGGAAAGTCTTCCCTCCTGTCTTTCTTTATATATGACTCAGCACCTTGTATTACCCTTGGCCACAGACATTATCACTGTATATTACAGTGATCTGTCTGAGTCATCTGACTGTGAGCTTTTACCAGCAAGGACACTGTGATTCAGATCGGTATCTCCAGCTCCTACCACTGTACTTGGCACATAGCAGGCTCTCAGTCATGTTTGCTGAATTGCACGATATTGTGGAGTTCCTGTGAAAAATATCATGACATTCAAAATAAAAGTCTGGCACTGAAAGTGATGCAACATTAATCTGTATTCCTGCCCAGCCGGAGTAATGCCTCTTCACGATGTCAGAGTTATATATACTCCAGGAAGTAAAAGTGCCAGGCCATAAAAGTCTATTTTCTGCATTTGACTGTCTCTCAAGGAAGCTCCATTCCACGCTGATTGACCAAGACTTTCTACAAAAAATTGCCAGCTTGATTATGAGGAAAGAATCCAGATCTAATTGTTCTTTGTAAGCCTGGGACAGAAGGTATTGTTGCTTGAAAAATGGAACTGTCTAAATTAATTTTCCTGAAACAAACATCTTTGCCAAATAAAAGCAATGCATAATAACAACCCATAATTAAAAGCAAAATGATACCTTTTGTTACATGGAGAAAGCAAATGTGTTCAGTATAAAAAAAAAAAAAAGACAAAAATGTTATTTTCTTGGATTTCCAGGGACACATCTTGAAGTCTGTTGAGAGGGGTCAGTGTGTGTGTGTGTGTGTGTGCACGAGTGTGCACACAAGCATACTCGCTTGTGTTTAGAAGTAGCACGCAATGAAAAAGATGTCTCTTTCTTTCCTTTCTTTGTTACTGAAAAAGAAGTTTTGAAAAACAAGCATTGTTTATCTCTGATTTCTCAACAATGCAGCCAGAATATTCTAAAATTCCCTTACACTTTGTATAGACAAGAATTAGAAAAGTGAGGGAAATTCATATTTATTGAACTGCTTTTATTTTCCCTTGCCTAACTTTCCTAACATATTTTAATTTATTTCAATTTTTTGACATATATATACATTTGTAAATTGATAAATGCTTTCATAAAAAGCTCATTAAGATATAAAAAATTTTAGTGAACATCTACTATGCAAATAATGCTTTATTTATGTTAACTTATCTTATCCTCACAACATATCTGTACCATAATGCAGGTATTTAACTCCATTTTAGAGATAAGGAAACTGAAGCTCAAAGAAGTTAATTAAATTGCCCAAGTCGTACAGATAGTAAGTGATGGAGCTCAGATTAAAACTGAGCTTTTGATTCTGAAGCCTATGCCCTTAAAAATACTTTGATCATAGTATACAGTATTACTAAATAATTCTACCAATGATATCAAAATAAAAAATGAAAAATACATATAAAATCTCAACATCTCAATATTTTCTTTTTTACATTTTTAAAAAATGTTCATAGGTTATTGGGGGAACAGGTGGTATTTGGTTACATGAGTAAGTTCTTTGGCGGTAATTTGTGAGATTTTGGTGCACCCACCACCTGAGCAGTATACACTGAACTCTGTTTGTAGTCTTTTATCCCTTATCCCCTTCCCACCATTTCCCCCTGACTCTCCAAAGTCCATTGTGTCATTGTTATCCCTTAGCATCCTTATAGCTTAGCTACCACTTATGAGTGAGAACATGTGATGTTTGGTTTTTCATTCCTGAGTTACTTCACTCAGAATAATAGTCTCCAATCTTATCCAGGTCACTGCGAATGCCATTAATTCATTCCTTTTTAAGGCTGAGTAGTATTCCATCATACATATATATACCAGTTTCTTTATCCACTCATTAATTGATGGTCATTTGGGTTGGTGCCTCATTTTTGCAATTGCGAATTGTGCTGCTGTAAACATACATGTGCAATTATCTTTTTCATATAATGACTTCTTTTCCTCTAGGTAGATACCCAGTAGTGGGATTGCTGATTCAAATGGTAGATCTACCTTTACATCTTTAAGGAATGTCCACACTGTTTTCCACAGTGGTTGTACTAGTTTACATTCCCACTAGCAGGGTAGAAGTGCTCCCTGTTCACTGCATCCATGCCAACACCTATTATTTTTTTATTTTCTGATTATGGCCATTCTTGCAGGAGTAAGGTGGTATCACATTGTGGTTTTGATTTGCATTTCCATGATCATTAGTGACCAACAGCTAGTCTCACTTTTTTCCATGCTTTTTTCTAGCCATTGTCTAAGTATCTGTGTTTGTGATGCATAGGTAATAATTACATATTAAAAACAAAGATATAATCATGGCATTAATATGATGTTGTGACTTGGTGTATTCTGTTATTTTTAGTTTATATAATAAGAATTTTTCCAATACTGTTACATAGTCATCGTGAATGTTATTTTAATTACTTTATAATGTTCCTTTTATGGAAAGAGCATAGTTTACTTAAATTTTAATATAAGACATTTAGACTGTTATTATTTTGTTATTATAAATGACATCACATAAAACATCTTCCTGAATATAGTTTTTTCCTTCATTTGGGTAACATAGGTAAGATGAATACCCATGAGTGAAATTCCTGGGTCTAAAAGTGTGTACCTTTTTATTACTCTTTGTTCATATTGCCACATTGATTTCCAGTAGGATCACTCCAGTTTACACTTCCATGAATAATGTGTGAGATAAAGATTTTACTTTAGCCTTGCCAGCATGTGGGATTACAACTGAAATTTTTTTTGTGATTACAATAGGTATCATATGGTATTGAACTGTTGTTTTAATTCCTTTTTTAAAAGATGATTTAGTGGGTTTGAAGTTTTTCATTATCTTGTTAATTCATTATAGCTCACATAGTGAAAACTGACTTTTCACGTGTATCTGTCGGGCATTAAGATTTTGGCTCTGTTTGCATTTTAAACTCTCAGGGGATAACCACCTCTTTTGTTCTCAGTTCACCAACTTTAGTAGCACTGGGAATATCCACTTGGGCCTGAATTGGCACCAAATGAAATGTTTTCCCTAAATAACAAGGCCCCTTTCAAAGTTTCCCGTCAAAGATGGATTCTAGCTAAAGTTGGAAATACACATCTAGATAGCGTTAATATAGCTCCACCAGAGTTTAAGGATTCTCTGATCTCCCCCCTCCACTTTTTATCCTCCCTGAGAATCAATAATGTCACTTCTCACAAGGCATGACAAGCTTTGCTCATCAAAGACACTGATTGGGCCACCGTGCAAGAGCTGTGCCTCTTTCCAGTGGTTCCTCTGGATCCCTTAATTCCTAGATGCTGGAGAGGATAGAAGGGTCCCAGGACCTACTCTACTTAGGAAGAGATACTCTTCTCACCCTCAGAGAAAGCTAGGTAAGATCCCCCATGAGGCTTTGAGAAAAGAGAGCCACATTGGCTTTGCCTCATGTTCAAAAGGAGTTCTCCTGGCTGGGCATGGTGGTTTATGCCTGTAACCCCAGTGCTTTGGGAGGCTGAGGTGGGAGGATTGCTTGAGGTCAGGAGTTTGAGATTTTGCCTCTGAAGTCTGGAATTCCTGGGCAAGAGTCTAGCTTTGCTGCCCTTGGGCAGGGGCATATACTACCAGTCTTTATAGTCTCAGGTAGTCATATACTACTCAGTCTTTATGTCATGTGAAAACAGACTAATACACTACCTAATGTGATCATGCTGCCCCTGTCTGTCTGTACAGCCTCCAAGCTTGCCACCACTCCCCTGTGAGTCAAAGTTCCTGATTAGGCAGGCTGATCTTCTTTATTCCTCAATATACAGTGCTTTCCTATTTCCTCCATGTCTTCTTTTAAAACAAATTTCATTTACTTTTTATTTAAAATATTTTTCCCTCAGCTTTACTAAGGTATAATTGACAAATAAAAATTGTATATATTTACAGTGTATAATATGTTTTAATACACTCATGTTGTTAAATGATATGATATGTAGTGTGTTAGTCCATTCTCACATGGCTATAAAGAACTACCTGAGATATATTAAGAATATATCTTGAATGTCCTTACCACAAAAAAAGTAAGTATGTGAGAGACAGATATGATAAACTAAGCTATTATCATATCTCTCACATATTATTTTTTGTGGTGAGAACACTCACGATATATTCTCTAAGCAATTTTCAAGTAAAATTATTGTCACCATGCTGTACAAAGGTTCTCCAGAACTTATCCCTCCTGTCTAACTGAAAATTTGTACCCTATGACCAACATGTTCCTGTCCCCAACCCCCATCCCCAGCCTCTGGCAACTACTGTTCTGCTCTCTGTTTCTATTAGCTCAACTTTTTTAGATTCCACATATAAATGAGATCATATAGTACTTGTATTTCTGTGCCTGGCTTATTTCACTTAGATTAATGTCCTTCAGGTTTATCTATGCTGTCACAAAAGACAGGAGTTCCTTCTTTTTAAAGACTGAATAGTATTTCATTGTGTATATATACCACAATTTTTTATCCATTCATCTGCTGATGGACACTTAGGTTGATTACATATCTCAGCTATTGTGAATAATGCTGCAATAAATATGAAAGTTCAGATTTTTCTTCAACATACAGATTTCATTTTCTTTGGGTATACACCCAGAAATGGAATTGCTGGGTCATATGGTAGTTCTATTTTTAATTTTTTGAGAAACCTCCATACTGTTTTCTATAATGGCTGTGCCAACTTGCATTCCTACCAACAGTGTACAAGGGTTTCCTTTCCTCCACATCCTCACCAATACTCATTATCTTTTGTCTTTGTGCTAATAGCCATTCTAACAGGTGTCAGGTGATGTCTCATTGTGGTCCTCCATGTCTTCTTACATGTTGATCCCTTTGCCTGCTACATCCTTCCTTGCCTAGCTACCTCCCACTCCTTTTTCAAATCTTAGTGACACAAGATTACTCATTTATAGACTGAAGTAATTATGAGGTGCCAAAATTATCAGATGATACAACGTTACTTCTATCTGTAAGCTTTCTTTGACTCTCCGTCCCCACTGCGGATTGGTTTAGATGCCATTTTTTACCGTGCTTGCATTTCTCCCTAACATAGTACTTTTGCTATCATTCTATAATTATCTGTTTATTTCCTCACTGGACTGTGAGATCCTTGAAGGTGAGAACTGTGTCCCATTCACCACTGTAGCCCCACCATCGAATCATAGTGCACAGCACAGAGTAGATGCCCAATAATACACTTCGATAAATTAATAAAGGAGCAGAATCAAAATAGTCTACAGAGTTGGTAAATAGCTGGTGGCTTAAGAAGTCAGGGTTTTCTAAATTGTCCTTTATTGTAGCTACTTAGAGTTGCTGGGTATTCCAGTCCAGCATTCCTTGGATGACTGCTGGAATAAACAATAAAAAGAGGGTCTATAAAAAACAAACAAACAAACAAACAAAAAACAAAGAGGAAGTCATTATTTATAGTTGATTAAGCTTTTGTTTTCCCAGCTACAGTCCCTCAGAGGGCCTTCCTGCTCCTAGCCTGCTACTCTACAAGCATTCTATAAAGGACAAAGTATGGGCTTTGCAATTACATCTTGGTTTGACTCATGGCTCTGCCTTTTTCTGGCTCTAGCTTTTCAGCAGCCCCTATTGAATAAATGCCTATTGTTTTTCAGGCACCTGTTATTGGTACTTTATGTATCTTAGCTCAAATCTGTAAGTATTTTTTACAAACCTGAATTGTAGGCATTACCATTCTCACACAGGTGAGGAAACTGAAGCTCTAAGAGTTACAATTTGTTTTTGTTTGTTTGTTTTTTTGTTTTGTTTTGTTTTTAGGTGGCATAAGCTAAAAAGTACCAGACCAAGGATTCAAACCCAAGTCTCACTGGTTCGAGAGCCTGGACTTTTTTTTTTTTTCCTATATTGCACTTCTAAGTTTCTCATAGTTATGAGCCCACAGTAGGTGATCACAAAATGTTATGAATTATTTGCATTCTTCTTATGAAGAATTACAGTTTCTCTGAGTCAAATCTTTTCTTCCCTGAGCCAGCTCCTATATGTGGGCAGATGGAAGACAGTGACAATTGTCCATTGCTTCCTTGAATATTGCATTTGTATCATGTTCACAAATACATTTACACAGATGTGTCTGTGGATAAAGATGGAGCAGACAAGACATGCTTTTCTTCATCTGCATATTATATCCCTAAATATGTCAATATTTTTTCTCTGCAAGTAGAGTACCACATTGGATCCTCCTTGTCTCTGTTTCAGTGGTTTTATAATTACTTAGACAAGCAAGAATTCAGCAGCTGGCTCCCTACAGAGAAAGAACACTGGCTCCAGTGCTCCAGTGCTTATACCAGTTGAAAGAAGAAAGAGCCCCTCATGCTGAGATGGATGATTGAGAGAAAAAGAGAGAAAGAGAAAGAAAGAAAGAGAGAGAGCAAGAATGAGAACCTGAGAATGACAAAGAGAGAGAGGCAGATTTAAAAAAAAAAAAAAAAAGGTAAAAAAGCAACAGGGGAAAAGAAAGGGAGAATAAGACCCAGCTTTCTAAGACTTACTTGACTGGGTGCTGGAAGGCCCCTGGAGATCATCTAGTCCAGGGGTGGCAAACTGCACACTAGCCAAATCTGGTCTGTTTCCTGTTTTGTTTAGCTCACAGCTAAATATGATTTATATATTTTTAAATGATTCAAAACAGACAAGAAAATAATATTTTGTGACATGTGGAAATTATGTGAAATTCCAACTGCAATGTCCATAAATATTTATTGGAACACAGTTACGCTCATTCATTCATATACCATCTATGCCCACTTTTGTACCACAAAGGTGGAGGTGAGTAGTTGTGGCAGAGATTGTTTGACCTGCAAAGTTTAAAATATTTACTCTATTGCCCTATAAGAAAAAGTTTGCTGATCTACTAATCTAGTCCAAACTTTAGACCCAACAGCCAACTTGAAGGCAGAGGTTATATGCATGTTTAAATCGATATTCCTGTTGCCCAGGACAGGGTCTAACACCAAGACCGGCCACATAATTTATGGGGCTCTGTGCAAAATGAAAATGCAGAGTTCCTTTTTCAAAAAGCAGAAAAAAATGGCATTAGAGGTACTAAAATATAAAGCCTTTCCCTTTCTTCTGCTGTTTCTCTTGACCTATCATGGCATTTTTAATCTCTTATTTAATGTTGTGCTCTCTTGGGTATAGGGGTAGTTGCAAAGTGAGTGCAGACCATCATGGGTGCCTAGAGGCTCCCCACTGAGATAAGATGCATAAGTGCACAGGGCCCACTGGCTGCTGGTTATACCACCATCTTGGCTTCTGCCAGCAAGAAAGACAGAGAAGTCCAGGCAGACGTCTCCCATTTCCATGGGTTGGCTTCCCCAATCTACTGTAGATGGCAACCCCAAATGGTATTGCAACCATCACACTGGGATGAACTACATACCTGGATGAGAGTGGACAACTGCTGAGTTCCTCATGCAGAAGCCTCTGCCAGGACCCACGAGCTCCCTTTCCCTTTTCTCCCCAAGATGGAACCCACTCTGCCACTTCCATCTTGGGGAGAGAGAGGTCAGGTGGGGCTCAGGACACCAGCAGGTGAGGAAGTAGGTGGCTAAGAGCCCTGCCTGAGGAGGTGGGGAGTTGGTAGAATGTGGAACTGTGCATGTGCTGAGACTCCAGAGAGTTTTAAGACAGCGACCACAGACCATTAAATTCTAAAGGCAGGGTCTTTCTGAGTGGGGGTCCCGTTCCACTGCACAGGTTGTGCATGTAGAAAGCTGGTCCTGCCTAGCACACACTAGAGGCTGAAGTGCTGTTGTATTAAGGATGTTTTTGGCTGAGACAATATGCCATGGTGAAAAAGTACCTGGATATCCAGCTCTACCACTTCCTGACCCAGAGCTGATTGTTTTGTCACTGTAAAACATGTATTTCTTTAAGTGTTCAAGTGTAATAAAAGGGAATAACAATGCTCTAAAACCTGCTGTGGGCGTCACACTTCTCCGGGAGCATCATTGGGCAGCTCAGCCGGCCACAAATTGTTTTTTATTTTTTATTTATTATTTTTTTGAGGTGGAGTCTCACTCTGTTGCCCAAGCTGGAGTGCAGTGGCGCTATCTCCACTCACTGCAAGCTCTGCCTCCTGGGTGCACGCTATTCTCCTGCCCCAGCCTCCCGAGTAGCTGGGACTACAGGCACCTGCCACCACGCCTGGCTAATGTTTTGTATTTTTAGTAGAGAGGAGTTTCACCATGTTAACCAGGATGGTCTCGATCTCCAGACCTCGTGATCCGCCCGCCTCGGCCTCCCAAAGTGCTGGCATTACAGGTGTGAGCCACCGCGCCCAGCCACGGTCAGCCACAAATTCTTATTGGCTCCACCATATTAGCTTCCAGTCTCATTCCCTGATTCCCAAGACATTCAGAGAGGTTTCAGGATGATGAGGTCAACAGATAAGTGTGAGAAGCCAAAAGGGTGCTGTGGGATCCCATGGAGGAAAGCAGTGAAGTCTAACTGGGGGCATCTTGACAAATTTCCTAAAGAGAAGGACTCAGGACTGTTTCTTATAGGGTGGCTGGATTTCTCAAGGTGGAGAAAGGGGAAAGAGGGCTTGTGGGCCCTGGCAGAATCTTCTGTGTGAGCAAAGACCCAGAGATAGGGAATCACGTGTGCATCTGCAGTGTGGTGAATATTCCAGTATGACGAGGGCATAGAGGAAAAAGATGACGTCTAGGAGGTGGTCTTGCTAAGGGCATACTCTAGAGTTTTCTATGCCCTACTTAGGAGTTTGACTTTTATTTCTGAGACAACTAAAACCCACTAAAGGGCACAGTGATGGAGAAGGAGGCCTTACTGATGTGTGCCCTTGGCCATGTCAGAAGCTGTAGACAGTGAGAATAGGCTCAGTGCAGTTTATTCCCACCGAAGAGGCAAGCACATGACAGGTAAGAGGGAACTAATGTTTGGAGGCAGTCTACCATGGCCCAGGGCTGTGTGAGGTATTTTTGTTCCTAGCACAACAACCCCATGGGAGAAGCATTATAAACCCCCTTTTATAGGGGGGAATTGAGGCTCAGAGAGAATAGACGTCCCTCTGAAGATCACACAGCTAGCAATGAGGCAGAGTCAGTATTTTGCCTTGGGTCTACCTAACACCCTTGGCCTAAACTCTTACTGATGTCCTACTTTGCTTTTCAAGATCCGAGCAAGCAGGCCAAAGCCACACATTTCCCAGGAGACAAGCCACAGGCCTTGTCAAAAGTCTCCTGATCCTCTAGGTAGAAATGACCACTACATTTTGGCCCTATTTTTGTTGAAATCACCAGTATCTGTAACTGTGTGCTCCTTGAGGACCTATCTCCTCTCTGTGTTCCTAGAATCTGGCAAAGGGCCTGGCACAGGGTAGATGATCAGTCTCTGTTTGTAGAATGAATGAGCAAATTAATGATCAGACTGGGATTTTTCTAATTCCTCTTGGAGTTCATGGCCCTCTTAATTGGAAGCCAAAGCCAAAAGCAACCCTTGCAGTTTTCAGAAAGAGGCATGCTGAGGCTGAGGGCTGTGAGGATGACACACAGTTCTAGCATCAGAACCAAATTTACAGCAAATAGTTCCCATAAACAGCACAAGCAACTCAGTTAGGCTAATTTATGTTCACACCAGGGCTGTCCTGGCCCCCAAAGCCCAGAGGTCTTTACAATTCCAAAATGATTAAAAGCATCATACAAACCCATATTTTCCATTTTTATTAAAAGCACTAAGGCGGGCAGTGCTTTCTGCATGTCAATGGGGAGCTACTTTCTGACCCAGGGAGAAAAGCCAAGGCAGAATCTGCACATCCAGCTCTGGGTATCCTTCTGCCTCAAAACCGCACTATCCTTCTGTCCGTTAGAGGAGTTCTGCCCCTTTCACCCACTTCCTCTGCGCCATAGCCTGCCCCACCCAAGCCCACCTTTGCTCAAACTATGTTCAGTTAGAGGCACAACCCTACTTAAGGTCTTTAAAGACTTTACTGTCCAAGCTTCTTAACCTGACATCCAAGGAAGGCCTTTCCCAGAATGGTGCAAACTGCCTGCTTCCCCTACACCTTCTGCCATGATTGATTGCAAGTTTCCTGAGGAATCTGCAGCCATGCCTCCTGTACAGCTTATGGAATCGTGAATCCATTAACCTTATTTTCATTATAAATACCAGGGTCAGTTAGTTCTTTATAGCAATGTGAGAACAGGCTAATACAGTATGCTTCTGCATTTTGGAATACAAGCTCAATGCAGGTAGGGAGTTGTGTATGCTTTGTTCCTTAGTCTATCCCCAGAACCCAAATGGTGCCTGGCGCATAGTAGGCATCGAATAAATATCTATGAAAATAATAAAATTACATTTGTTTTTATAACAACAGAGGCATCTGCACCTTTGTTTGGTCGCCTTTCTTTTAAAGAATTTGGTCTCAGCCTCAGGGCAACACTCCCAATGCAGGCAGAAAGCCTAGTTTATTTCCAGACCCTCCAACTTTCAACAAAGAAGCTAAAGGAGCCAAAGAGAAGGATCCACATGTAAAGTTCATGCCATCAGGAATCTTAGAAATGTGAGCTGTCAACCTTAGGCTCATAGCAAGAAGGTAGTGCTTGGGAAAGACCCACAGCACAAAGAAAAGCATTCTTTAAATGTAAACACTTTTAACATCACTACCAATGCCCTGCCCCTCCAAGGCACAATGACTGTGTTCAGTGTCACAGAAAGGAAAACACACATTAGCCAGATGGCAGGTTTCGGACGCACGCCTGTGACATTATCTCTAATCATATACAGTCTATTTAATATCCGCTTTTTTGTGGGCTTCACAACTTATAATTATTGCCAGCAGGAAGAAAGCAAAAAAAAGGTAGGGAAATGTTGGAAGGGAGGGGTATAGACAGGAGGAAGAATTCTGATAGCAATAAACTGAGTGAGAAAGATAGGCCAGAGCTTATTAGAAAATATTAGAAACTATATTTGGATTAAAACTAAGAAAAATAAATTGTACATAAGCTATGAGACTGTGCAAGTCAGGAAGATCTTATAAGGCTTTCGGACTGTCTCATTACACTGTGTGTCTATGACACTGGAAGGGAGTTAGTGGGAAGTTATGAAATGTGTCAGATTTAGGGTCCAGACTAAGTATTTCATAAATCTATACAGGACATGGAAAGGCCTCCAAGGTTAACAGCTGAACTCCTTCATTCTATAAAACAAAGGAAGGACCTGCAGGGCAAGGACTCAAATCTAGGCTTCCAGATTCAGAGCACAGTTGAATCCCCTATAGCAGGCAACTGTAACCAGAGGCCCTTTCTCATGTCAATTACCCAGGGTCTTGAATTGGGAGGAATTTCCTCCGAGTTTGGGACTGGGACGGGGAGGATGGCAGAGAACTTCTGAGAACAACATGAGGCTAAAATGGGAAACTCTTCTGGATCCAGTGATCCTAACACTCAAGATCACAGCCTGCTTGCGTGTGTGTGTGTGTGTGTGTGTGTGTGTGCATTTAGCAGGTGTGTACCTATGGTATACAGGTATTTGCCTATTGACAGAGCTGGGTTGTAACACTGGAACACAGGGCTAGAAGCAGAATCACCCACAGACAGGCAGGTTTCACTCCTGCTTTCCTTCCCACCAGTGCCTTGGCCTCCTTTCACCCTGTCTCTCACGCAGGTTTACCCATACCTCAAGACTACCAAGGAGGTCCCCCTCTCCATACCCAGAATACCTATGGTAGAGATGCAGTGGTTTAGCCTCCAAGCTTCAACTTGTGTCATCTCTCAGAACTCTCTTTGCTACTTGTAAAACCTTTATCTGAGTCTTAGCTTTCACATGTGTAAAAATTCCTACCTTTGCAGGATTGTGGTGAGGATTAAATATTATATTACTTTAAAGGGTACTAGTACAGTCAGATAATTTATTGGAGTAAGAATCTATGTATATATTCTTGCATTTTTCCTTTCTCTCTTGCTCCAAGCAATAGCTAGGCTACTAGTCTTTGTTTCCCCTAGGGGTTTCTGAAGGAGAGGCAGTCAGAAGCTCCTTGGAGTCAGTGATATTCTTGTGTTTTTGTGATGTCCAATGTCCACTGAAGAGACTGTGGATTGTGGATGTCCTTGAGGGGAAAAGAAGGAGCCAGGAAGAATGGATTTTGGGTGAAGATGCTGGGGGTTATTTCCCAAATAGAGAAGGGAATGAAGGTTGGTAAGTCTGTTACCCGTACTCTATTCTGTGGCAGCATCCCAGGGTGAGCTCAGGTTGGTATTTCATGGATACTTGCAGTCTGGCAGATTCATCAAAGATCGTTATGCCCATAGTAATGAATGAACGCAGAAGTGCAGGAACATGAGGGTGAAGGAAATGGTCGTGTTGGTGAGAACTGATCGGAACCAATAATCAATAATCAGAGAGACAGAGATACTACCCCAAATGCTTCTGATACTTTGATGCTGCATAAGATCCTGGGATCGTGGCGAAGTGTAGTGTTGGGGAGCCACAGAAATGGCAGAGACTCAATTTACTGATCAGTCCAGTAGGATGTGGGCTACAAATTTAATTTAAATGCTTTTAACTAAAAAGAAATACATTTCTTACATTACTGAGTTTGTAGAACAAGATTCATACCCATTACAGTAGCCTGCCATGAAGAAATGCTCCCTAACAGGCAGATATCATTATTATTAATTAAGTCACTAAATGTTTTTGAGTAAATAAAAATCATAGTGTGGATCAGGTCACAGGAGTCAGTAAAGGTCTAGGAATCAGGTCAAGACTTTTTAGCTTGTGCTAAAAAGCACAAGCAAAGAATCAGAAAAAAGCTGAACTCAAGGAACAGAAACAACAGAGTCAAAAATGACAAGAACCCAGTCCCAAATACCCTCTTCCAAAAACTTTCACTAAGCACGTATTTTGGACCAGGCACTAGATGCTGGAGTCATAATGATAAATCAAACCTGGTCCCTGGCATCAAGAAGCCCCCAGTCTGATGGAGGGCACATAAAGAGACCACTTCAGTTTAAAACGCTTGTTGCTATCTTAGGAACCTCTTACCAAAGGCCGGCTTCCTGTTTCAGCTCTACTGCCTTTTGTCTTCTGCCCAGAGATTTGCTTTCAAATAAGATAAGAGTTCAGGCACATAGGCATGGCTAATTAAGACAACTCACTGGTCAGGCAGAAAATTTGGTGGCTGGAAGAAAGCATTTCCTAGTACAGGCACTACATGGGAACTTCACTCTACTCCCAGCTGAGTATGAGGATTTCCCTGCCCATGGAGCTCATACAACCATTAAATGGCAGAACTAGGCCTTTAGCTAGGATGGTCAGACACCCAACCCTGAACTTTTTTCATTAAACCATGCTGTCTCCAGAAATGACCCTAGGAATTAATAGCTTATGTTCTAATAAAGGGAAGAGCAGAAATAAAAATGAGAATACACATTGTATTTATTTCCTAGGGCTGCCATAACAAATTACTACAAACTAGGTGACTTAAAACAATAGAAATTTATTTTATTACAGCTCTAGAGTCTAGAAGTCTAAAATTAAAGTGCAGAGAGTGCAGAGGCATGCTCTCTCCAAAAGTTCTAAGGAGTAATCTCAGAGGCAATAATTTTGCCTCTTCCAGCTTCTGGTGGTTGCTGGCAGTCTTTGGAGCTCCTTGGTTTGTGGCAGCATTATTCCCATCTCTGCTTCTGTTGTCACATGGCATTCTCTCTGACTGTCTGTGTCCTTGTGTCTTCACATTGCCTTCTTTTAAAGACACAAGTCACTGAATTTAGGGCCAACCCGAATCCAGTGTAATCACATCTTCACTTGATTGCATCTGCAAAGACCTTTTCTCTTTTTTCTTTTTTTTAATTTAGAAAGTTTATTTTGCCAAGGTTGAGGACACATGCCTAGGACACATGCCTGTAACACAGCCACAGGGGGTCCTGATGACATGTGCCCAAGGTGGTCAGAGCACAGCTTGGTTTTATACATTTTAGGGAGATGATAAACATCAATCAACATATGTAAAATGAACATTGGTTCCGTCTGAAAAGGCAGGACAACTCGAAGTAAAAGCGGGGCAACACTTGAAGCGGGGAGGGGGCTTCAGGGCACAGGTAGGTGAGAGACAAACAGTTGCATTCTTTTGAGTTTCTGATTAGCCTTTCCAAAGCAGGCAATTAGATACACATTTATCTCAGTGAGCAGAGGGATGACTTTGAATAGAATGGGAGGCAGGTTTGCCCTAAGCAGTTCCCAGCTTGAATTTTCCCTTTTGCTTAGTGATTTGGGGGCCCAGGATATTTTCCTCTAACCATTCCCCCCCTTTTCTTTTTTAAAATCTTTTGGAGAAAGCATTTTAAAAGAAAATGAGTTTCTGGTTAGACCATCTTTCTAAATAAGGTCGCATACACAGGTACCAGGGGTTCAGACTTTAATATATCTTTTAGGGGAATACAGTTAGACTCAGAATACACCCCTTCAAAATACACACACCTGCATATACACAGACAGAAAGGAGAAACCTTCTGGAGTGCACTTATCTACTGTACACTGCTGAATATCCATGAGAACACCCCTACAAAAATCGAAGTATACACTAAATAAACACATACTTGCCTGACAGCTGGGGCTGCTCAGCTGACTTTAGACCTGCCTGTACCAATGGGTGGTTTGGACCATGACAGAGGAGCTGGAGGTAGAGGAGAGAATCTACCAACCTAAAATGTACCCAGTCCCTGTTATGGACTGAATGTTTGTGTTCCCCCTCAATTTATGTGTTGAACTCCTACCCTGCAATGTGACGGTCTTAGGAAGTGGGGCTTTGGGGAAGTAATGAGGTCATGAGGGTGGAGCCCTTATGAATGAGATTAGTGCCCTTATAAAAAAGACTCCAGGCCGGGCGTGGTGGCTCATGCCTGTAATCCCAGCACTTTGGGAGGCTGAGATGGGCAGATCACGAGGTCAGGAGATTGAGACCATCATGGCTAACACAGTGAAACCCCGTCTCTACTAAAAATACAAAAAAAAAATTAGCTGGGCATGGTGGTGGGCTCCTGTAGTCCCAGCTACTCGGGAGGCTGAGGCAGGAGAATGGTGTGGACCTGAGAGGCGGAGCTTGCAGTGAGCCGAGATGGCGCCACTGCACTCCAGCCTGGGCAACAGAGTGAGACTCTGTCTCAAAAAATAAATAAATAAATAAAAAGATAAAAAAGACTCCAGAGAGCTGGGTAGCTCTCTTTCTACCATTTCTACCATGCGAGGCTACAAGAAGCCAGTAGTCTGCAACCTGAGAGAGGGCCCTCAGCAGAACCCAACCATGCTAACACTACGATCTCAGTCTTTCAGCCTCTAGTACTATAAGAAAAAAGTTCCATTGTCTACAAGCCACCCAGTTTATGGTACTTTGTTATGGCAGCCTGGACTGACTAAGAAAATCATCTAATTGTATAATGAGGAAACCAAGGAGCAAGAGGAGAAGGAACCTGCTTAAGCTTTCATCATGTACTGGCCACCAGAGTCGCAAATGTTGGCCAACATCAGGAGGCTGGTTTGAGGAAAAAATACTTCCGTAGCTTTTGAAAGTATTAGTCGACTTCAAAATGTGCAAACCCTTTGACCCAGTAATTCTACTGTTAGGAAATTAGCTTAATGGTTAATTAGCTGAAATGATGAAGATTTAGCTATAAGGAAGTTTATCAAAGCACATTAAGAAAGACAATAGTTACATAAACTGAAATTTACTTTATGTCAGACATTGTCCTAGGTGCTTTGCATACATTCTCATTTAATCCTCAAAACAACCTTTCATCTAAGATGAAAAAACTGATACTCAGGTTAATTAATTTTCTCAAGTACACACAGTTAATAATGTTAAGAACTTGGGTTGGAATCCACATCTATTTGATTCTAAAACATCTCTTATACCATACCTTCTGTATAAAGTCAGAAAGTCATCTTCAGGGGCCCCAAATGGAAATGCTAATGATTGGGAATTGGTTAAATACATTATGTGCATTAATACAATAAAATACAATAAGCCATTATATAAGCACTCTCCTCCAGGGTCACTTGTCACATGTCATGTTGTAGGTTAATATCTGATGATGTAGTATATAGTAAAAAAAAAAGGTTGATTATACATGTAACTTAGTGTGTGACATGTAGATACATTTACTGGTTAGAGTGGGTAGATAAATAAATATGAAAACATGAATCTCCATTATTTCTGGATAGGATTACAGGCAAATTTTAAGTTTGATTTTTAATATTTATAATTTGCTACAATGAACAAAGGATGAATTTAATGAGAAGAAAAAAAGAATTTATATTTCAAAACAAAGAGGTTTCCAGTACGTAGGGAGACAGGATTTCCTAAAAAGATATTTCTAAGACAGCATCTTTAGTTTGAATTTATGCTTCATCATATTAGCCTTTACCTCTCTAGACAAAGTTCATCCACCTATTTGGTAAGTCAAATTGGCAGTGTTTCACTAGTTAAAAGGGTTAATTTCCTTGGACTTAGCAGACGTACCTGGGCAGTTAACGCTGCTAAGGCACCTGAGTATCAGAGGGATTTTAGGGCATGTTCCCTCTGTTCTGTGGTTAGAGGAATCTAATAATATCCCACCATTTCTTTTTCTTCTTCCTTCTCCTGAAAATGCAGCAGGTAAAGTTCCTGATTGAATTCCATCTTGATTTCATTAAATATTCATAAAGGCCAATTAGAAGAGGAGAGAAAGAGCCCCCTTCTATCATCCTGTCAGAGGTCGGCTTGTTGACCGTCAGGCATGGGCCAGCCAGTGGTCAACATGGCCATGATCTTCCTGCACTTTCCTCTGGGGTCACTTCTCACCATCCCAGCAAGGGACCCAGGACTGGCAGGAAATGAGAGGCAGAGGCCTGGCAAGGAGAGACAGCTTATAATTCTGACAGCAAGGTGCTTAGCATGTAGAATGCAAAATGCAAATGCTGGGAAACATCCTCAATCATTTCTGGAATGGAAATCTTTCCCTAATGAGCGATGACGATGGCAGAGAGCTGATTGCACTGAAGAAAAACTGCTTAAAATTCATAATCAATCAAGCGAGTTGATTTTAGTCTTTTGTAACCAAGCTATCCCATTCTAGCTTCCTTTATTGGCCAACTGGAGCTTATCACTCCCTACCTTGTTCCCTTCATCTAGCTCAGATGGTAGGTCCCACTGGAGACCCTGAAAGAGACTCGAGCATATCAGGAAGGTAGACTGGTAGGACTCAGAAGAGCTCATCCATTCTGATCATTTAATTTTACAGTTGGGGTGTGGAGGATAAGAGAAGGCAAAGGACTTGACAATGTTACATGGGCAGTGGCAGTGCAACTAGCTTTCTGTCTGCAAGCCATTGAAGAATGCTATGAAAGAAAATGTACCAAAAGTCTAGAGTTCTACATTTGGGACCGGTTTTACTATGTGATATTGGAACAAAGCTGTGTAGTATTGGAACTAAGTGTTTATGCTATTTGCAGGTTGCCATTCAAAAATGGCGATGGCAATAATAATGCCTTTCTCCCTACTTCACAGGGTTCTTGTGACACTCACATAATAAAAAAGGATATAAAAGTGCTTTGAAAATGGCAAAGCACCCTGCTATTATTAAACATCTCCTTTCATTTTCCAGGCCCCTAGGTACTCCCCCTCTAAATCATATTCCACACAGGTATCTGCAAGTTCTTTTTAAAACTCAGATCTCACCTTGCCATTTCCCTGTTTAACTCCTCTCACATTGTCCTTTGGACAAAGTCTAAGCTCTAAGTCTGGCATTGAGGAACCTTCACAATTTTGGGAATTTGTCTTCTCTTCTCGAGCTTCAGTTTCCTGTTCATAAAACAAGAAAACTAATACCTACCTGAGAAGGCTGCTGTGATTAGAATTCACATCTACAAAGTGATCAGAATGGCTTCTGGCACATCATAGCTGGCCTATGTAGCTTAATTATAATCTTATTAAGTTTCACAACAATTCTGGAAGATGGCTACAGAAGAAGCAACTTCCACTCTGATTTTACAAGACACGAGAAGCCCAGAGAGGTGAAGACATTTAATAATGGCTGCACAGCCAGAACTCAGACCTGAGATTTCACTCTTGGGCTTTTGGCTCATGGAGGCAGGGGATGCAATGGGGAGTAGGTAGGAGAAGCAGGTGTGGTGCTACCTCAGGCTGCCAGCATGAAATGATTCTTTTCTGAGATACCTCTGCCTAGTCCAAAAGGTAGAGAATATAATTTTCCTTTCTTTCTTTTTTTTTACTAGTACAAATAAAAAGATTTATTTTGAAGCAAACTAATACTTGAAAAAAAGCAGCTTTAATTAGACAATGATACAAAAGTACGTATTCTTTTTGGGACTAGTTCTGAATGAGACTTTTGGGGTCTTCAAGGGTTTCACAGGCTAAGTGCACTTGTTATTTCAGATTTCTAATTTGCCTTTTAAATGGCAGATTTATCCCTAGTACAACTTTTACACTTATTAACATTGATGCCATTTGTTTTTTCTTTTGCAGACTGAGGTAATGTATAACATATCATCTTTACCATTTTAAGTGTTCAGTTCAGTGGTAATAAATACACTTATATCCTTTTTCCCCCTTCATCCCCTACTCCATCCCCTCCTTTCTGGCCTCTGGTAACCACCAATGTACTCTGTGTCATCATGAAATCCACATTTTTAGCTCCCATGTATGACCGACAACATGCAATATTTGTCTTTATGTACTTGGCTTATTTAACATAGTGGTCTCCAGTATCATCCATGTTGCTGCAAATGAGAGGGTTTCATTATTTTTTATGGCCGATTAATATTTCATTGTGCATATGTACCACACTTTATCCATTCATCCATTGATGGGCACTTAGGTTGATTCCGTATCTTGGCTATTGTGAACAATGCTGCAATAAACATGGGAGTACAGATATCTTTTTGATATACAGATTTCCTTTCTTTTGGATACGTATTCAGTAGTGGAATTGCTAGATCATATGTTAATTCTATTTTTAGTTTTTTGAAGAACCTCCATACTGTTCTTCATAGTGGTTGTACTAGTTTACATTTCTACCAACAGTGTATGAGGGTTCTCTTTTCTCCACATCCTCACTTGCATCTGTTATTATCTGTTTTTTTAATACAAGCCATTTTAACTGGGGTGAAATAACATGTTGTTTTAATTTGCATTTCTCTAATGATTAGTAATGTTGAGCATTTTTTCATATACCTGTTGGCCATTTTTATGTCTTCCTTTAAGAAATGTCTGTTCGGATCTTTTGCCCACTTTTTTTTTTTTTTTTTTTTTTAAGACGGAGTCTCGCTCTGTCACCAGGCCGGAGTGCAGTGGCACGATCTCGGTTCACTGCAACCTCTGCCTCCTGGGTTCAAGCGATTCTCCTGCCTCAGCCTCCCGACTAGCTGGGACTACAGGCACATGCCACCATACCCGGCTAATTTTTTTTGTATTTTTAGTAGAGATGGGGTTTCACCATGTTGGCCAGGATGGTCTCGATCTCTTGACCTCATGATCTGCCTGCCTTGGCCTCCCAAAGTGCTGGGATTATAGGTGTGAGCCACCCCACCCAGACTGCCCACTTTTTTGATTATTTGGCTTTTGTTTTTTTGTTTGTTTGTTTTGTTTTTGGCTTAAATTGTTTAGTCTCTTTGTTCTGGTCATTAATCCCTTGTCGGATGGATAGTTTAAAAATGTTTTCTCCCATTCTGTGGGTTGTCTCTCCCACTATGTTGAGTGTTTCCTTTGCTGTGCAGAAACTTTTTAGCTTAATGTAATCTCATTTGTCTGTTTTTGCTTTGTTGTCTGTGCTTTTGAGGTCTTATACAAAGAAAATCTTTTGCCCAGACCAAGGTCCTGGAGCACTTCCCCAGTGTGTTCTTCTAGTTTCATAGTTTCAGGTCTTAGATTTAAGCCTTTAATCCATTTTGATTTGATTTTTGTGTATGGTGAGAGAGAGGAATCTTGTTTCATTCTTCTGCATATAGTTATCTAGCTTTCCCCACACCATTTATTGAAAAGACCATCCTTTCCTCATTGTATGTTCTTGGCACCTTTGTTAAAGATGAGTTGGTATATCCGGATTCTCTATTCTGTTTCATTGGTCTATGTGCTTATTTTTTTTTTATGCCAGTACCATGTTGTTTTAGGTATTAGAGCTTTGTAGTAAATTTTGAAGTCTGGTAGTGTGATGCTTCCAGCCTTGTTCTTTTTGCTCAGGGTTGCTTTGGCTATTTGGGGCTTTTACGGTTCCATATATATTTTAGAATGATGCCCTTTGTGTTTGATCCACAAAAAGGGAGAGACATCCAGAGCTGAAGAGTTTTCCCTGAGAATTTTGTCAAGAGCGTCGCTCTCCAGGTACACGCCCCCCGTCAAAGGCGGCTCTAAGGTCCTCTCACGAGGGAGCGCCCATGGTACCTCCTTACTCTCAGCTATCTGTCTCTCCCCGACCCCAGAGTGATTGCGCTGCTTCCTCCAGAGGGCGGGAACCTTGGACGTGGCGGGGCTGGGTCAGCCACGTCGCTGGGCCTGAGGCGCTCGGCTCAGCCTCCCTGCAGGCTGGCCTTCCGCACCGTCGTGAAGCCCCCGACAGGCCCCACACCTGCCCAGGTAGAACGGCGCCAGCCCGAGTGACGCCTGGCGTGTAGCCGTGGGCAGGCGGCTCAGTGCCGCGGGGCGGGCGGGCGCCACACCTGTGCGGGCGAGGGCCTATAATTTTATTTTCTAACATGATCACAAGGCCATAGGTTCTAGGCCTGTCCAACTTCTCTTGCCTCATTTCAAACTAGTGGAAAATGAAATGAAGCAAAGGATGGTTATCTTATGCTAAACAGTTGCTTGAATAAAAAAGGAAAAATGAAATTCTCAAACAATAAGTTAATAGTTTTTTTTTTTTTCTCAGCTTCTCCTCTAAGCCGCATTTCCAGGCAGCAAAGAGAAATTGAGTGGAAATGCATAAATTGTTGCAAACAAATGTCTCATTCAAGAGAGATTTTCTCAAGATACCAGGCTCCATATGAGGTAGCTGGGTGAGTCTTTGGATGGGAGTAGAGAAACCTGGATCTGGCCTCACTTGGCTTAATCTTTTCTTTCCTGTTCTTCTTATGCATCAACTCAGGCCTGCTACAAGTCCTAGATCCACACTGATATGAAACAAAATGACGAGCATTCCAAAAATTCAACTTTATTCTTTCATTCATTTAACAAATATTTATTGAGCATCTACTATGTCCCAAGCTCTTTGCTAGGTGGAATACAAAGTTAAGAAAACAGACACAGATTCTGCCTTCATCTAGCATTTACAGTTTATTACGGGAAGAAAGACTTTTTAAAATAATCAAATATTCATGTATATGATTTCACCCTTTAATAAGTATCATGAAGAAATAAATATTGGGAGCTAGGAAATATTTAACAGGAATATCTGATATAATTAGGGGCTGGGGTGGGGTCAGAAAAGATTTCCATGAGGAGGAAACATTTGAGCTGAGGGGCATTTGGAGTTATGAAGGCAAAGGGATGTGAGTGGGGTGGGGTTGGAGTGCTCCAGTCAGAGAGGACAGCTTGTATTAAGGCTCTGAGGTAAAAGGGAGCAATGGCATATTCAAGGAATTGAGAGACCAGAGTGTCTGGAGTATAGAGATGGGGACCAAGAAAGATGAGGCTAGAGAGGAGAGAAGGGTGCAGACCCCACACAGCCTTCTAGGCCAGGGAATATAAGCTGGGAAACAAATTATTCTAAGCATGAGAGAAGCCATTAAAGAATTTTTAAAAGAGGATGGGCATGATCAGATTTGTATTGCAAAAAATCCACTAAATCCTAGCAGGCTTTGTTATAAAAATGTCATACTAATTCTGAAATTCATATGAAAATGCAAAGGACCTAGAATACCCAAAATAACTTTGAGAAAGAACAAAGTTGATGTACTGACACTACCTGATTTAAAGACTTATTATAAACCTACAGTAATCAAGACAGTGTGGTTTGGTTTTAGCATAATTAGATCCATAAAACAGAACAGAGTCCAGAAATAGACCCACACATATATAGACAACCAGTTTTCAACAAAGATTTGAAAGCAATTCAGTGGAGAAAAAAACAGTTTTTTCAACAAATGGAACTGAAACAATTGGTTATCCATATGGGGGAAAATAAGAATTTTGATCCATACCTCACACCACATATGTAAATTCATTCAAAATGGCACATAGTCCTAAATGTAAAACCTGAAACTCTAAAATTCTGGAAGAAAACATAGGAGAAGACCTTCATAACCTTAGATTAGGGAAAGATTTCTTAGAGACAACACCAAAAGCATGATCCATAAAAGAGCAAATTGATCAAAATTTCAAAACTTCTAATTGAAAGAACTGTTAAGAGAATTAAAAGACAAACCATAGATTAGGAGAAAATATTTGCAAATAATATATCTGATAAAGGGCTTGAATCTAGAATATGTATATAAAAACTCTAAAATGAAATAATAAAAAAAGCAACCTAATTTTAGTAAAAGCGGGCAAAAGATCTGAACAGATGCTTTACTGAAGGAGATGTATAGATGGTAAATAAGCACATAAGAAAGGCTCAATATCATTAGTCATTAGGAAAATGCAAATTAAAACCACAATGAGATATCACTAGACAACTATTAGAATGGATAAAATTAAGACTGCCCATACCAAGTGTTGGTAAGGAATGAAGGAACTGGAATTGTCATACACTACTGTTGGGAATATAAAATAGCACAGCCACCTTGGAATGAAGTTTGGCAATATCTTAAAATATTATATGTAAACTATCATATGATCCAGACATTCCACTCCTGGGTATTTTTCCAAGAGAAATTAAAGTATATGTCCTTGCAAAAAGTTGTATATGGGTGTTAAAAGTAGCTTTATTCATAATAGTCAAAACCTGGAGAAAATTCAAATGTGCACCAATTCGAACCTGGAAATAAGCAAATTGTGGTATATCTATACAATAAAATACTACTCGACAATAAAAACGAATGACCCACTGATGCACACAACATGGATGAATCTCAGAATGATTATTCTGAGTAAAAGAAGCCTGACAAAAAGCATACATATTGTATAATTCCATTTTTATAAAATTTTAGAAAATGCTGTATAATTCTGTTTATGTAAAATCTAGAAAATGCAAACTATAGTGACAGAAAGAAGAGCTTGTGGTTATGTGGGGATGAGTGGGAATAGGGGAGGGAGTGAGAAGAAGAGATTACATAGGGGCACAAGGAAAAGTTTGAGGGTGGTATATTGTTTATAATTTGATTGTGGTAATAGTGTATTGATCCATTTTTATGCTGCTGATAAAGACACACCTGAGACTGGGCAATTTACAAAAGAAAGAAGTTTGTTGGGCTTACAGTTCCACATGGCTGGGGAGGCCTCACAATCATGGCGGAAGGTGAAGGGCACGTCTTACATGGCAGCAGACAAGAGACGAGAGCCTGTGCAGGGAAACTCCCCATTATATAATCATCAGATCTCATGAGACTTGTTCACTATCATGAGAACAGCACAGGAAAGACCTGCCCCCATAATTCAATTACCTCCCACCAGGTCCCTCCCACAACACTTGGAAATTCAAGCTGAGATTTGGGTGGGGACACAGCCAAACCATATCAGATAGTTTCTTCAGTGTATACATATGCCAAAATGTATCAAATTGTACAGTTTAAATATGTGCATTTTATTGTATATTAATTATATCTCAATTAATTTTTTTAAAATAAAAAACCATAAACTAGATGTTATGAGGAAAATGAATAGGGACTATATGGTGGTAGTGGGAGGGAAGGCACAAGTGAGTTTACAATGAACAGTTAGAAGACTATAATAAAAGTCCAGGAGTCTGATGTTGATAATCTAGAAGAGAAGAAAAGCAGTGGAGATGCTGAGAAGTAGAAGGATCCAAAGTATTTAGTGGTTAAGAAGGAAAGAACTGGTGGTGGATTGGAAAGAGAGGAGTGCAGTGGTGACGAGTGAGGGCTAAAGGATGAAATCTAGATTTTTGGACTGCCTACTCTGTGCCATAGTGAAATTTATTCAGTATTCAAGGAATACAGAAGGAAGCCCTCATCTCCTTTTTCACATTCATCCCCTCCATATCCCCATTATCACATCCCTGGTTTAGATGGTATCATCTTTTGCTTGCATTGGTACAAAGCTTCTTCCCTAATCTTCTCATATCTAGATTTGCCTTTGGCAATTGAACCTTACACTAGAGACTGCAGTAAACTTCCTAAATGCCCTGTCTGGCCATTTCACTCTCATTCTAAATTCCTTCCCATAACTCCCCATTGCCCTCAGGATGATGTTCAAGATCCTTAGCCTGGCACTTGTGAGGCCTTCTAAGACTTGGCCCCTCTCATCTTCTGCAGTCCTCTGGCTCTGCCTGCCAACACCTGGACTTAGCTCCAGATATAATGAATTGCTTGTAGCTTCTTGGATCTTCTCACCTCCTTGCCTGTGCATAAATTGATTTCATTTGCCCCAAACTTGCTTCTTATAATGTCATCCGGTGCTCAAGGCTTAGTTTGTGCTCTTTCAGCATTTTGTGGATCCTTTTATCAGAGCAAATATTTCTCTAATTGGAATTTGTCTGCAACTCTGATTTGGTCTCTGTTCTTGGACCTTTTTCTCTTTCATCTCTATACAGATCTCCTTTAATCTCGCCTCCAAGTCTGGTAATCTGTTTGTTTCTCCTGGAACCCTCCCAGAATCTGAGTCCTATCCAGATTAAGTGAGGTTCAAGTGCAGAGTCGGTGCCTGAGGGATATCTGTGGAAGGCATGACAGCCTCAGCTTTGAGCCTCAGGCTTTGCTTCCTATGTGTAATGTTGACAGTTCTAATCAGCTATTTGCTTGTAGACTTGGCCTGACTCCCCAGTCCCTGGGATCTGCCTATCCACTGAGAGCTCCCTACTTTATCTTGTAGATTACTGGCTCAGCTCAATGGGAGACTCTTAACAGGATTTGGACACCAGGTGATGGCTTCAGTGATGTTGTCAGGGTTTGGTCTCTTGTTCAGCACTTCTCCTACCACTAGAGGCATGCACTGGACACTCCTTGTCTTTCATGCCTCACCTAGTGCCAGAGTTCCTTCCTTCCTCACACATTGTTTGACTCTATGGAGTCAAACCTGTGCTAGGCATTGGGGAGATAAAGACAGGTGAGATATAGTCACTGGCCTCAGGTAGCTCCAAATGTGTCACCAAACAAGTTGTTCCCACCTCCTTGCCTGTGTGTAAATTCTCATTCCCTGATTCTTGGTTTCCCCATCTGTAAAATAATGTTTAAGGTGCTTTTTCCTTTAATAACCTCATGCTTCTGAGATTAGGATGGAGCAAGTGACAGGAAGGTGAAGAAGAGTAAACTGTAGATGAAGAAAAGCTAAACACCTGAAAGAAAACCTGCAGCATTAATAAAATGATCTCGGCCAGGCATGGTGGCTCACAGCTGCAATCCCAGCACTTTGGGAGGCTAACGTGGGTGGATCACCTGAGGTTAGGAGTTCGAGACCAGCCTGACCAACATGGTGGAATCCCATCTCTAATAAATATACAAAAATTAACTGGGTGTAGTGGTGGGCGCCTGTAATCCCAGCTACTCGGGAGGTTGAGGCAGGAGAATCATTTGAACCTGGGAGGCAGAGGTTGCAGTGAGCCAAGATCACGCCATTGCACTCCAGCCTGGGTGAGAGAGACTCCATCTCAAGGAAAATAATAATACAATAAAATGATCTCAATTACTGCTTGGCTAATTAGTTAACTTATCTATGAAAGAAACAACTATGGTTGTGCTGAAACATGCATGGCCATGGGTTGCTGTCATTGCTCAAAGTCTAGTGTTTGTATTTAAAGCATGGACTATAAAGCGAGTAGCATGTCAAATGTTTATTTGACAGTTTAAGACAAGTTTCTGAGATGCATGGCCTGTGTCTTCAGAAGGCAGTTTAGAGTAAAGGTTAAGAATAAAGTTTCAGAGCTGTCTGTCTCTATTCAAATACGAGCTCAACAAATTCTTGGTTGTGTAAACTTGAGCTAATAACCATGCCTTTCTGTGCCTCTGTTTCCTCATATGTAAAATGGGGATATAATAAAAACCTACCTCTGGAGTGATTGTGAGGATTAAATAAGTTAATAAACATTAGCATGAGGTCAGTGCTCAATAATTATTGAACAATATTAGCAATAATTATTTTTATCTAAAAAGATCTAAGACCAATTTTGATTTCCCAAAGAAGAAACATGTAATTACCAACATAGAAAAACTTCAATGCAAGAATTATGAACAAACCTAACATTCATGTGTTGCTGCTTCCATTGGCTCATGCTTCTTCCCAGTGTCATAAGGCGAGACGCTGTACAGTCTGCAGTTGCAAGGCTCATGACACTCTCCAATAATAAATGTGATCATGTTCCCTGGAGGATTTTCTGTTTCAAAATTATAATTACAATCCAATGGCTTAATTTAATTAGATCCTTCAATCTACCTAAAAAGCTGGTGCAGAATAGAATAGGAAATTATGAGCCTGGGTAACTAACGAGGAATCTTTAGGAGGTGGAATCATAAATTGTGGGTTACTCATTGGATGCAAAGCCCTGTCCTTTTCAAGGGCCCTCAACCTTCAGAATCTTTCAGTCCTACCAGCCCCTCTATGAAAGACACTTACAACAAGAGGGAAGCAAAAAGCACAGTTTCCAAGAAGTTTATTTGTATGCTTGCAGGCCTTCTAATTTTACATTTACCACTTATGGTAAAAATTTAGGGACATAAATATTGCAACAATGTTTGGTAACAAATGTACTGCAATGTCTTCAAAACATAGTCAAAAAAGTAATGTAGAAATCATTGAGAATAAATACTAATTTGAATGCAACCCAAAACACAGTTATAATAAACAATGGAAGAATTAAAAAGATAATCCATGTTTCTCATATAGAAGGTTTCTGAAATTAAGAGAAGTTTAACAGCTCTCATTTATTTGAGAACTTCCTGTTCTTAGCACTTCATAGAAATTTTATTCTCTCAATAACCCTTTGAAGTAAGTGTTAGTGTTATCTCCTTTTTACAGATGGGAAAACTAAGGCATAGAATGATTAGGTAATTTGCCTACACTGACTCTAGTGACTGTGTGTAAAGTTCAGGCCCACCTAGACTTGCTATGTCACATAGGTGATGAATGTACCTTTGGTTGAGATCCACCATTCTAAGTATTATCCCCAAATCAGACATGGCAATACTACCACAGCAACAATTACCCAGGCCCTCTAGCTTTCACTGACTGACAATGCCTAGTAGTATTCATCCATTTATTTGAAAAATACTGATTGACCACTTCCAATGTGCCAGACTCTTACAGGAACTAGGAATATAATGATGAATAAAAGTGACAAAAATTCCTTCCCCCCATGGAGCTTACTTTTAAATGAAGGAAACAGACAATAACTAAAATGAGTAAAATTTATAGGATTTTAAGGTAGTGCTAAGTGTCACGAAGCAAATCAAAAAGGGAAGAAAGATATAATGGGTGTTCAGGTATTAACTTAAAATTTTAGATAGGGAAGGTAAGGGAAATCTCACCAAGAATGTGACATGAAAAACCAAAGAGGGGAGGGAACCATGAAGATAAGAGGTATGTTAATATTAAACAATAAACTTAATCTTCCTGTTCACCCATGAAAACAAACATAGCATGTTATTTTACCTAGAAAATAAAACTCCTCTTGGAGAGAGATAAATCATGTACTGATTTTGACTGTGTGCCAGGCATCATGCTAGGCACTGTGGAGTATGCAGAGACAAAAGACAGAGTCCCTGCCTTTAGCAAGCTTGGGTTACTGGGGAGAAAAGTATGTGAGGGATGGCTGTCTTATAAAGTATGTGAGGGAGGGGCAGTAAGTTTTAAAACAGAGGAATAAACAATTCTACAGAGGAAATGGTTACGACAAATTGGAAAGGGATTAGGGGTGAGGGAGGTAGACTTTGGAGCTGAGATGGGCCCCCAGGTCAGAGGAACAAATGGAACAGCATATTCAGAGTTGGGGGCCTGGAAAACAGAGAAATGCTGGTAATGACATTGTATGCAGATGGAGCGAGGGGAGCTAGGGAAGATTTGTGAGAAAGGTAAAAGGAGGTAAAAATTTATCTAATTTGGTTATTTCCTGTCATGAAAACAAAGAAATAAAATGATTTGCATTAATTGGCTTATGTGATTAGGCAGCTTAATACAATATAGAATCATTTTAAATCTGCAGAGGAATGATGTGAGCTATAAATAAGTAAATAAGTACATTGTACAATAGATGACTGAAGAAGATACGTTTCCTTCTGTGGTCACAAAAAACCACTTCACTGTCTGTACATCTGAGCTGAGTTTACATCAACTGTGAAAAACAGCCAGGCCTGCAGAGGTATGGAATATGGTCTTGAGGTAAGATGACAAGAACTGGTGACATCTGGGATGCCACTTAAACTTTCTGTATCTTGCTTCCCTCACTGGACAATGTGGGAGATCTTTACACTGCCTGCTTTTTAGGGCTGTGTAGTTTCAATGTGGTCTTGGATATGAAAAGCATTTTGCGAGCTTTAAAGCACTGAGTTAGCACCCACACGCAACTTTGCCTTATTGAATTTAAGTGAAAAATTTTAAGTGAGAATTAGAGATTGGAGGGAATCTTTCTCCTTCTTATGTTAGCCATGTGGATTTGGGAAAATCTTAGAACCTCTGTTTTCTCATCTAGAAGATGGAGTCTAATAATAACTAACAAGATAGTAATAAAGTTTGAATAAAATAATGTAGCTGTCATACTATGTTGCTGAATAAATGAGCACTTCTGTTCAAGCACTCTAAAGGTCCACGTGTTTCTCAAAAGCAGGAGAGTGGGCATAATCTATGACCATAGTTTATTATTATAATCTATAAGTGTTCCATTCTGGAGCAAGCCAGGGGGGAAAGGCCTGGTGGTAAGACACCCTGAAGCCTTATATCAAGCAGCCTGAGGGAAGCTCTAGCCTACGCAATTCATCATTCCATAGCCTGGAGGTCCTCACCCTGAAATGATTCACATCTGCAATCTTTTGGGGTCCCTGACCCTTATTCAGGTCAGCTCAAATAACTTTTGCTGGGTACATGCTGTTTCAGTCATAATATAGGTGCTAAGATATAGACAAGGTTAAAATTCAGAGGGGGCTCATGATATAGTTGGGGATGCACTGTGATAAATGCATGGTGCTGAGGACCCTGATGAGAGCTGCATACTCCATCCTGAGGAATCCTGGAAGAGAGCTCAGAAGGGTAGAAACAGTGCCATATCTTGGAGTATGAGTTTGCCAGGCCAAGAAAAGGAGGGTAAAGAGAGAATTATTTGAGCAGAAGTATGGAGTGTTAAAAGAACAGTATGTGAGTGTGTGTGTGTAGTGGTATCTTGAGAAGGCTAGGTTAGGGAATGTTGACTTTCAAAATTTTCTTGTGATACTTTCAAGCTCCTTCTTTCTGCTTCCTCCAAAGTTTTTGCAGTTCTCTCTTCTAAGAGGCACTCCTAAGACTCCCTGTTCCTTTTGGGAAGACAGTAATTTGGTCCTGACCTTGTAAGAGAACAGCTCTCAACCAAACTGTGCTTCTCTCCTCCAGGCCCCAGCTGACATCTTGTAATTATGCCAAATCCCAGTCACTTCACAAAGGGTCAACTCACTCTCACAGGGTCATCCTGATTCATGGCAAACTCTTTAAAGTAGTGAACAAAGTTGCCTTTTCAAAAAATTCGGGGAAAAAAAAAGATACAACCAATACAGCATCTTTTCTTCTTTTCTTCATGCTATCTCATGCCAAGACTCTAATTTTATAGGCAAGTTGTGAATCTCTGTGAAAATAAAGTAAATTCCCTATAAGTGAGGTCTTATGGATTTATTGCAATGGCATTTTTAAGTACACAAATGTCTTGTTTATTCCAAATTATCTATGGGTTTATGGAAGTAAGAATATTTTAGTATACTGAGCACTAGCAACAACATGCCAGGCAATGAGCTGGTGCCTCTATTTATGTTATCTGATTTAATTCTCACATCACCCCATGAATTAGAAGTGTTTTTTTCCATTGAACAGTGGAGAAAACTGAAGCTTAGGAAGGTTATTTTTCCATTCTACTGCTAGAAAAGGGAGGGCTGGTAATGAAACCCAGGTTCATTACTCCAGAGCCTATGTTCCCACAGAGCCTTAGTCTTTCACATATGTAGTTTCTAACAACTCAGCAAATTCCAAAGCTTTCTCATCATTTTTGGTATTTTGAATGTAATCTTTTAAAGTTATATCACATCCTCTTTTATGTTCCTATATAGGCAAAGCAGAACATAAATCAACCTTGCCTTTTTTTTTTTTCAGGACTAGTTTTTGCATCTACTCTGAACACCCTCCAAACACTATGCTGTTGCCTTGTTTGGTTAGCTTTTAAATGATCATTGGATTTAGCATGCACTTATATTACTAGCAGTATAGCAGATTTACCTCTTGCAAATCCTTCCAGTCCCTTTACATTTGCTGCTTACAAATTGTGTTAGGCTACTAAATAAAATAGCTATGCTTATTTGAGTATGCCCAAAACAAGGTATCATAGGGTTGAAGATAGTTGGGAGTGTCCAGAATATGTGAAGAGTGTCATTATTTTAATGCATATGTTTGTAATGATAGTTAAAAATAAGTTAACATGACATAGGAAATGTCATGCTGGTCACGGTTCTGTCTGCTTTCATTTCAGTACTCAATAAGGAATTTACTCTTCCTATTGAAAGGATTAAAGGCAAACTCTCCTCCCATCTGTACCTCCATAGCTAAGGCAGAAGCCATTAGATACAGCATGTTCAGATTAGAGAGAGAGATGTTGGCTTTAAACTCAGAGGGAGAAATGATTTCCACTGATTCATAAGCAATGGCCATTTTGCAGAACCTACAGGAGGAATGCAAAACCTCTTCAGACACACCATTGTTGAAGACTGCAATTAGAGTGAATTTGGAGCAAGCCCATAAGCAGGGACTAAATTTTTTCCTCAAGTAATAACAAGACTCCTATTACTAGGATGTGATATATCAGTATCAACTTGCTCGGGAAAAAAACAGTGAGCACATGAAAGACAGGAAGATGTCAAAGCATCTGCAATGCAGTAGAAAGAGAAATACGTACGAAACATACAGAACACATACCATTCTTTTAGTACATGTAACCACAAGTTTCCGTCAATTTCTTATTGAGAAGGAATTGAAAGCATATATAGAACTCCAGTGAATGCCTTGAAATATACTATATTTATGTTTATGTTTCCTATACATAATTTCTATAGTTAGTTCTCATTCCATGTGGTGCATTCCTTCTCACTAAATCCTCTTGCTTTTCCATAAATCCTGATTTTCAGACTCTCTCTCAGTATTGTGACAAAGATTTGGACTTAATGGACTCTATCTAACTATTGCAGTCAAATTTTTATTTCCTAGAATGGGCCAAAGGAAGTAAACAGACCCAATTAGAAAGAACTTCCTTAATGAATCTGAATTTTGTCTCAATGTATAATACAATAAACAGGGACCTTGTGACACATACCAAGAAGACTTTAGTTTTCTGGATTCCACACAGATGAGGCTGACTGAAAGGCAACCCTGACTATATTAAGCAGGTAAGTAGGTGCTCAGTGAATATCACTGTTCTCACTTGACGTGAAATGCGACTGAACCATAATTTCCAAGAGTAGTTGAAATTCACTGAACATTATTATTGATCAGGACTCTCTAAAATAATCTTCCTAAAATAATTTAAAGCCATTTTTAGTTGAGGCAATAGGATGCTGGTGTTCTCATTGAAGACTTTTGGTGTGGTAGATTCACTAACAGTTATTTTGAGATGCTCCTTAGCTCCTTAAAAGAAGAAAGTCTTTCCACATCACCCAGATGCAGAAAAATATGCAGGCCCCCCAAGAGCTTAAGAAAAACATTCATTAAGACAGACTGTCAAAACAGTCAGCTCGCAACCAAATTTAGGAACTTCACAAACAAGGCATGGGGTGACAGAAGCAAGAGAAAGAATGACAGTTCTGACAGGCTTTTTTTTCTTTTCCCTTCAGTAAACTGCCCGTGGGTGCCCCTGACCACTGGTTTCAGTGTTGAGGCATCCCCGAGGGAAAGACATTCAGGGTAGAAGAGGTGGCCGTAATTGCTGCTTGTCATTAATATTTTTACCAAATGGATTTCTCCATATGGCAGTTCCTTTCTGTCATGGGTTATTTATAATCCTTCCAATCTTTACCACCAAAGCTAATCTATACCACATTAGTAAAAACATTCCTAGGCCATTGAGTTGAGTTCCCTTATTTTATTTCCAGGAGGCAGGGCTATTAAAGTGAAGGCTGAATAAGCACAGACCTGCATGTGGCTTTGTTGGCTAATATCAAATAGGATTCTTGGATGTTTCTGGACAGAACTGGTTTTTTGATCAGTTTTGTGTGACCCTTTAAAAAAGAATGGAGCCTGTTTCTGATCCCATCAAGCTCATTCATCTTTCATTTGAACTTACTTCTGAAAATTCTATTCTCCCATTTATTGTCTCATTTAGTATTGATGAGCTCCTGCTTTATGTCAGGTCCTGTGCTAGGCACTGGGACTGAAAGAAGAATAGGACATACTTCCTGCTTATGAGGAGTCCTAGCTCCTCCACTAGCTAGCAGGTGATCTTGTTTAAGAGACTTCATCTCTCTGTCTTCTTGTCTATAAATTAGAAATCATAAGGACCTGGCCGGGCGTGGTGGCTCATGCCTGTAATCCCAGCACTTTGGGAGGCTGAGGCGGGTGGATCACGAGGTCAGGAGATCGAGACCATCCTGGCTAACACGGTGAAACCCCGTCTCTACTAAAAAAAATACAAAAAATTAGCCAGGCGTGGTGGTGGGTGCCTGTAGTCCCAGCTACTCTGGAGGCTGAGGCAGGAGAATGGCGTGAACCCGGGAGGCAGAGATTGCAGTGAGCTGAGATCACGCCACTGCACTCCAGCCTGGATGACTGAGCAAAACTCCGTCTCAAAAAAAAAAAAAAAAAAAATCATAAGGACCAACTTATAGGTTATTGAAAGGATAAACAGGAGATTGCATGACAGATATTTAACCCAACACCTAACACATTATAAGCACTCATATATGGTAGTTACTGTCATCCAAATTATTATAGTTCATATTATTAGCAATGGCTGGCTCCAGTGCTACCTTCTTTGAAATATTTTCACCAATTTTGCCAGTTAAAAGTAATTTCTCCTTTTCCTTTCCTTAGGGTTCTACAGCATATTGGACCCTGAGTTACTACTTATTTTATTCATCTTCTGTTATAAATAATTGCATTATTTTTATAATTGCATCTTCTGTTATAAACAATTTCGATAAACTGTGAACTGCTTGAGGGCAGAGATCATTTCTCATTTCCCTCTATTTAATATTAATTCACTCATTCACTCATTCATTCATGTAAAGAGCATATACTGAGCATCTGTGATATGCCAGACACTATGCTAGCCACGGAAAATATAGGGAACAATCATAATAAAACCATGGTCTAGTTCTCGCTATCATGTTTAGTGGTTGTAGGGTAAACACACCTGACAGCAACAATGTAAGCATACCCTTAGATTTATCCTGTATAGCATCGGTACCTGAATATGTGTTCCATGCTAGGGAATCCAGGAGTGGCCAGCCTGGAGATTTGTTGCTTATCTATGACAAACATCTGAACCACCAGCTCATCCCATTGAGCACAAGCCATACAGAGGATTGAGGAGTTGGTTTGGGGTTAAATGAAGGTTGCCAGTTGAAGATTGCTAGAGGGAGAGTGTTAAGCAAAAATGCTGTTTGCAGGCAGTTATGGTTTTCCTGCCCAGGACGTTGCCATTGGGTTATGTTGTCCAGACCACTGCCACTGGGCTGTAGGAAGGCAGATATGATGTTGTTCAGCCTGCTGCCACTGGACTGTATGTAAGGTGGATATGTTGTCCAGCCCACTGCCAATGGACTGTATGCAAGGCAGATATCTGGTCCAGCTCACTGCCATTGCACCATTTCTGTACATAAGGTGGTTTCCTGTCCAGCCACTGGGCTCTCTCCCCTGTATGTAAGCCCCTAATGAAACCTCATGTCTTGTTTGCTAGCTTTGGGTCTCTTCTTTGGCCTCTTCAACCTAGTGCCTTCCCTATTGAGGTTACTAGGAGCTTGGCACAACAGTTGTGGAGACAGATAAACAGCCTGACCAGCCTATGAAAGGAGTAGGAATAGGGGTCTATTAGAATAAACGTAAGGGATAATAAACTCAGACCATAAGAGTCAGTGAAAGTGTCCTAAAGGAAGTAGCATATAAACTTAATTCTGAGGGTCAAGTAGGAGACAGCTAGGATAGGGTGAAAGGGGCAAGGAAAATATTTCTGACAAAGGAAAGATCCAGAGGGAAAAGAAAGCAAGATGCATTCAAATAACTATGAAGTTTTATATCACTACAGGAAGAAATGTAAAGAGGAGAGGAGTGAGATGAGTTGAAGATGTAGGAAACACTGGATCATGCAAGACCTTGGAAGCCACGTTAAAAAGAATATGGGAAGTCACCAGAGGGTTTTAAGCAGGGGAGTGACATGATGGTCATCTAAACTAGAGTGGTGGAGAGGTAATGGGGGAAAGGACATTTTTGGAAGATCAGAATCAATACAAGTGAGTGATTGAGTCCTGTTGCTGTTGAGGATGGGGGAGTGAGAGGAGTCATAGATAGCTTAAGGCAGAAGTCCCCAAATCCCAGTTCTGTGTCCTGTTAGGAACTGGGATGCACAGCAGGAGGTGAGCGGCGGGCTAGAGAGCAAAGCTTCATCTGTATTTACAGCCCCTCCTCATCACTCACATTACCATCTGATCTCCACCTCCTGTCAGATCAACAGCAGCCTTAGATTCTCATAGGAGCGTGAACCCTATTGTGAACTGCACATGTGAAGGATCTAGGTTGTGGGCTCCTTATGAGAATCTAATGCCTGATGATCTGTTACTGCCTCCCATCACCCCCAGATGGGACTGTTTTAGTTGCAGGAAAACAAGCTCAGGGCTCCCACTAATTATTATGGTAAGTTGTATACTTATTTCATTACATGTTACAAAGTAATATTAATAGAAATAAAGTGCACAAAAAATGTAATGTGCTTGAAACATCCCAAAACCATCCCTCGCCCTGACCTAGTCTGTGGAAAAGTTGTCTTCCACAAAACTGGTCTCTGGTGCCAGAGAGGTTGGGGACTGCTGGCTTAAGGGTTTCTGGATCCAAGTAGATTGTCATGGGATTTTCATACCCGTGGAAGAAGGGTTGGTTTCGAATCTGGGGAAAGATAATGAGTCCTGTTTTAAAACACATTTCAGGTGCCTGAGATATCACAGTGGAGATATCAAGTGGGAAGTTGGAGGAAAGATTGGGAGTTCAAGAAAAAACAAAGTAGCAAAGCACAGATTTGAGTGTCTGCTGCAGAGAAATGATAATTGAAGCCACGAGAGGGGATCAGATCATACAAGAAGGCTGTGGAGAACGAGAAGAGAAGGCAGCCTAGGACGGAACCCTGAAGAATTCTAAGATTTGAACATTAGATAAGAATTGCTAACAAAACTGACTGGAAGGGTGTGGTGGAGGAGATAGAAGGGCACTCAGCAGAATGCTATGTCACAGTAGCCTATGGAAAATAGTGTTTCCAGATGAAGAGGATGGTCAGCAGTGTCATTAAAAAAACAGAACAGCATTTGCTGACCTTGACCAGAGAAGCTTCTGTAAAGTTGAGTGGGGCAGATGCCAATCTGTAAAGGATTGAGGAATTAGTGTGAAATGAGGGAGTGGAGGTAGCAAATATAGTAAATTCTTTTAAATAACTTTGTGAAAGAAAAGTCAGCAAACCTAGAGGGGACATGGGGTTAAGAAAGTTATTTTTTGTTTTATTTTAATATGGAAGAGACTTTACCAAAGCTGATGTGAAGGCAGTTCTCCTTCATAACACAGGCATGTAGTTAATACTATGTTTATAAAATGTTCTTTTGTTCATTCTCTCATGTCCTAGAAGCCTTGTGAGTTGGGTGGAAGAAGGACTGTTAACCAGTTTTTTAGTTGATGTTGTTAAATAGATGAGGAAAGTCAAGCACTAAAAAGAGAGACTTTGCCTGCACTCACCCAGTAGGTTAGTGCAGAGGCAAGACAAGTGTAGTGCCCAACACTGTCTGACACATAAGGAAGAGGAAGAGGAAGAGTTCAGGGTTTCTCAGAAAATGTCAGACTTTGAGCCAAGAACTTTCATATATCTCAGTATTTCTCTACCCAGGCTGCACATTACAATCACCTGCAAAGATTTAAAAAATATCAAAGATCTGACCCCACACTAAACCAATTAAATCAGTCTTACACTGGAAGTCCAAATTCCTCTGTAAAGCAGACTGATTCGTCCGTGAGGAAATCTCTATCGTGTTATTTTTCTGTTTTACTTATTTGTTATTTATTATTACCTGGAGTATGAAAAAGAAACATTTTAGCATGACATTCAAGACTTTGTACTAACCTCTTCAGCTTCATCTCTTCTAATCCTCACATTCCTGAAGATACTACCCATTCTCCCCACATTTCAGCCTCCATAAATCTTTTGTTGCATTTGGAACATGCTATGGCTTTTTGTACCACTATGCCTTGGTACATGCTGTTCACCTTTTCTGTTGCTGGTGAAGTCCTAGTCATCCTTCAAGGCCAGCTCAAATGCCACTGTCTTTGGGAAATTTTTGGTCTTCTTGACTATACAGGGACAGTTAATTACATAGTTATTTGTACTTTTGGAACATTGTCCCCACTCCTGTAGCACAGAAAAGTATTTTCCTATTTGTTTATATCTCCCATCTCCAGCCTGTGCTAGCTTTGAGCCCAGGGACTGTCTTGGTCACTGTGATATCACCAATATGTGGCATAATGCTTGGCACTTGTTAGTGCTCAATAAACACTAAAAAACGTGGTTCTCATAGTGTGTTCCCTTGGTCAGCGGAATCAGCATCACCTGGGAACTTGTTAGAAACGTAAGTTCTTAGGCTAATCCCAGATCTACTGAATTAAAAATACTGGGAGTGGGGTCTAGCTCTCCAGGTGATTCTGACGCATACTCAAGTTTGTGAACTGCTGTACTAAAGGATAGAAGGAATCAAAGAGGATTTCTCTGTGAGAAACAAGAGGGAAGGTCTCCCAGGGAAGGAAGCCTTTGGATTGGGCCTGATAGGGGTAAGATTTAGATACTAAGAAATAAAAGAAATAAAATAAAAAAAATTAAATTTTTCTCTCTGAAAGAGAAAAATGTAAGAACAAAGCAAGGAGATACAGAAGTATAGTGCATGGTCAGGCAATGCTGTTGGGCCTAGCTGCCTTGAGCCTAGAGAGAGTGGAAGAAAGTAAAGGAAGATCAGTTTGTTAATCAGCAGCTTCTCTCACTGGCCCATAAGTTCTTCCACAACAGGAACTGTGTTTGTTTTAGCCATATATCCTGATATCTGGCCCAGGGCAAGGGCTTAGTGAATGTTTGATGAATGATTGACTGAAGGCAGCTTGACTGAAGAAGAATGTCAGAGAAATAGACGTTCTGCGAGATCAGCCATATCATGCAACTGTTCCTGAAAAGGAAAGTACAGGGAAAATGGTTCCCCTGCAGTTAGAGCATAAACTTTCCCATCTGGCTCCATCTAGTGTCCTAATGGGCAGATTTCTGATCTAGGACATCTCTAGCCACAGAGGAAACATGCTCTACTCACTTTGTTATGCTGCAGGCACAGGGAGGAGAGGGAGGCGGGGCAACTGGGGTACTCAGGCCCTGTGCTTACTCCACAGCTTCAGATTGAAAACAACTTTAGGTCTGAGATTTCTTGATATTTCTAATTTGCTTATTTCAGTTAAATTTCCTGTAGTTCCGTTTTTTGTGTGTGTGTGACACACACACACACACACAGATACCTTTCTTGCATTTGATGTTTCCTTGTTCAAAAAAACCTGTGACTGATGAGAGACAAGCCTTGCTGATGCCAAATTCCAAAGGCTGTGCACTCAGAATCTTGAATTTCCATATCAGGGCATTTGTGACAGGTTTTGGTCATGTTCTGTAACCTCCACCAGGGGGTATCCCAGACTCTAGCAAAGTAGCATGAAGCCTAGGACTTGGGAAGGGGTCGTTTTTCTTTAAGGGTGATTAATAAATTATTGTCAATGCCTTTGATAAGGATTGAATGAGTGCTATTCTAAGGAAATAATCAGAGATGCAAAGAAAAGAGGTTGGTAAGAAATACAGTGACTGATATGTTGACTTGTAGAATTAGCAGCAATTTAAATTTAAATTCTATTTGTATAAATTTTCTATAATGAATGTTTATATTTAAAATATGAAATTACATTAAGAATTCAGCAGTAGCAGAAAAAGAAGGAAAATGTTAGGAGATGAAGAGAGGGATATTAGTCATTTTGGGGAGATGCAATCAAGTAGAAAATATGTAGTTCTAGTAGTTTGGGAAAACGTATTTTGCCAATATTACCCAGTATAATCCAGGACCTGTTCTTATTGCTGACCAAGAGGTCACATATTTGATGTTTTAATGAACTATTTTTTAAAGGATTAATTTATTTAAAATTATTATTTATAAAATACATTTATTTAAAAATAATTCCTACTTTTAAAATAATTAAATAAAATTAATTTGTACTTCGTTAGGCAATTTAGTTTTCAAGACCAAGATGCTACCTATGAGACAATAGATGTGTAGGCTGGTTGAAATGTTTAACCAGCTAAGCTGGAGGTAGAAAAAAAAATCACACATTTTTGATAATATTTATCCTTAATGAGCCCTCTATGAATACATCATTTACCTAGCAGCTGTACTATCCCAGATATTTTCACATAAATCTCACAAAACTCCCATGAACAAATCTTGACAGATATGCCACAATCCTTTTGCCTAAAAGAACACTGTCTCAAAACTGGCAGGTCAAGAAAGATTTGCTGGTACTTCTTAAGTGCCTCAAACTGACATTGTGCCTGTCCTCTCACAGATTTATATCAACAAATGTTCATAATGATATTTTGATATAGATGCTGTTAGCTTTGTTTTGTATATGAAAAAATTGGGGCTCAGAGAGGTGAAATGACTTCCCTAAGGTCATACAGCTAGTACACAAGTAGCAAAACCTGGTTGAAACAGATTTGTCCACTTGCAAACCCAGGTACTTCCTACTATATTCATCATTTTTATAGGGATCACCTCCAGGGGATGATTAAAAGGATAGAGGAAGAGAGGCAGTGACTGAAGCTCTCAGGAAGCACCACTGTGGCCCAGCTTCTGCTTTGCACTCCAGTGACCTTGAGGTTGAAAGGGACAAAGGAGCAGACTCCCCTGATGCTCCGTGATGAGTCAAGGGTAAAGGCAGCTCTCAGGGAAACAGCTGGCCTTTCTCCAGCAGCCAGGCCTGGGAGATAAACAGATCAATGCGGACACTCACCTCCACCTAATGAGCTAATGGCGCAGCCGGGGCACTGCCTTATTGGATTGCTGGTCGTGCTGACAAGCCTAGAGTTAAGCAGGTCCACTGCAGGGGTGGGGGCCTCATTATCCCCCAGCTCCTAGGGAGATCCAGTTCCTTCATATGAAAGCTAGGAATGCCTTGTTCCTTTATTTGTTTGTTCATTCGTTTGTTTGTGTGTGTTTGTTTTTACTCATTCTCCTATGACAATGTTGAGATTTGATAGGATGATGTCAGTGACCTTTCTGCTTTGTGGACCAAGTGTCACAGATGACGGAAACAACTGCCCTCCAAAGAGGCAGCCTGGTGTGTTGCTGCAATGGGCTGAATGTTTGTGTTCCTCCGAAATTTATGTTGAAATCCTAACCTCCAATGTGATGGCATTATGAAGCAGGGCCTTTGGGAGGTAATTAGGTCATCAGGGTAGAGCACTCACAAGTGGGATTAGTGCCCTTATAAAGGGACCCCAGAGAGCTAGCTAGCCATGTTGGGATACAACAAGAAGATGGCAGTCTGTGACCTGGAATAGGCCTCTCACCGAAACCTGACCATGCTGGCATTGTGATCTTGGACTTTCAGCCCCCAGAACTGTGAGAAATTGTTGTTTAGATGTCACCCAGTCTATGGTACTTCCATAGTAGCCTGGACTAAGACAGTTGCTAGGAGCCCTCACCTGGGCGTCAGCACAGCTGTATACCAATTTCATAGTGACTCATTGTGGACTTGAGGTACCTCTCTGCATCTCTCTTGAGTGGCCAGGAAAAGCTGCCTAGGGTTGGGTTCTGGGTCAGGTATCTCCCCAAGTCCCCTTCTCTGAATATTCAGATCTCTGAAGGCAGACCTGCTGTTTGCTGCACATGTACAAAAAGATCAAGGAGCTGAGCAGTCTCCATAATAGAAGGAAGCCAGGTAGGCCACTGGACTCACTCCAAGTCTGGAGAAAATAAACTGTAGTCACAGAGGCATTCTTTGAGCCTATTTTAAAATAGGAGCTTTATATTTGTTCTTTTCTAAGAAGTCTTCAGAGGGATTTTGGTCTAAAAGTGTCTGTAGGGATGAACTATCTCAGTGGTTTACAAATTCTTTAAGCTATGGAACTCTCTGTACAGAAAAAATTACATTCAAAGCCCATAGCATAAAATAGATGCAGTTGGCTGGGATGTTGTTAAGGCTCCATGGACCACAATTTGAAAATCACTAATCTATTTCAGGTCTTACATTTACCTGCTGCTGGTGAAGCTTTGACCAAACTTGGTCTCCTGGTCCATAGTCCAGTGCTCTTTCTCATATACACATTGCCTGATTTATGCACTCTGAATTTATTCCCCATCCAAGCAATATTAACTGAGATTCTACTATGTTGAATCTATTAAGGGAATCACCAGCAACACATCATTCAAGTCTACAAAGAGCTCACAGACCACCAATGCACAGGTCAAAGAAAGAAAGTCAGACACCTACAAATGGGTTAGATCAGGGTTTCTCAACACCAGCAGTACTGACAATGTGGATCGGGTAACTCCTCACTATGGGAGGCTGTCTTATGCATTGTAGGATGTTTAGCAGCATGCATGGCTCTTACCCACTAGATGCCAGTAACACCCCCTCCTCTCAAGTGTTGACAATCAAAAATGTCTCTAGACATTGCCAAATGTTTCTTGAGGAAAAAGGGGCAAAATTACCTCCAGTCAAAAACCACTGGGTTACTTAAGAGAACAACATAAGGGATCTCACTGGGTTGTATAAAATTAAAGGTCAGGTAAGCAGTGAAGACAAGTGTTGCAAGAACTCTGAGAAAAAGAAATCCTTCTTCTCTTGTGTTGCTCAGTATATGTAATCCATGCTGCCAGAAAAAAACTTTTGTTTGCTAGAAAAAGGATGGGGTATGGGAAGAAGCCATTGCCTGTATGATGATATGAGCCCAGTGGTAAAAAAGAAGGGGCAGACTCTTGGCTGAAGATAGATTGGCTCTGGTAGGTGAATACCATTGTTCTGTCACCCTATGCAATCATAAAGATTGCCTGTAGACTTCCCATGCAGCTGTCAGGCCAGGAAATTCCTCACTGTGCCACTAATTTATAGTATGACATTGGCCACATCCCTTTCCCTACTGAACTTTGGTTTCCTCATCTGTAACAAGATAAAAAGTGGGGACTGTAGTTTCACCAGTGATCCATAAATTCCCTCCTAGCTCCCAGGATTTCATTCTCTAATTTTTGCTACAATTCTAGAAAGATTGTCAGGCCAATGGCTACTTGATCTTAGGCCTTCTCTGCTACATCTGAAAGCCTACTTCCTCAGGCAGATTCTAGAGATAAATATAAGGGGAGTTTACGCTCCTATCCATACCTTGGAATTATAATGATGATGATAGTGATTCACCTTCATATGCAGCTTTATAGTTTATAAAGCACCTTCAGGTGTGATATTTACATACATGATCTTAAAAACAACCCTATGAGGTAAGAATAATTACTGCCACTTCATGGACAAGAAAATCAATGTTCAGAAAGGCTGAGTGCCTTGCTTAAGGTCGCTAAGGTCACGTAGACCTGCCTGACTTCAAACACCTTGCTGTTTGAGGTGTACCCAGCTGCCTGTGCTTCCGCATGTTGGAAACTATCCCTCCAAGTCTCCTAGAGATAGGCCAACTGACTAAGACACTCAGGCTGGATAGGGAGGGAAGAGACAATTTGCTGAGAATACCATGCTGACTGTGGTAGTGGCAACAGAACTGGCTGAACAAGTGCCAAGCCATGTGCTTTGAAAGGGATTGAAAAAAGGAAAAAAAAAAATCTTCCCACTGTTTGCCTGCCAAGGCCCTGTACTGGGACAAGGGTATGGAGCTCTGCTTAAGGCTTAATTCTATTGATTACACATTCCATTTTCCAAAGTGCCATTTGCCTGAAGGAGCAGGTGGTGTTTTCGGCATCCATTTAGCTGATGTATTAGCCATGTGGCTCAGTGCATCAGCAGGCCCGAGTCATCAATTTACAGCGAGATGACAGAGGGAATCACTCACTGCAGAACTGTAATGGGGAGAGGGGGAGGGGAAGTGGAACACAGAGAAGTAGACAAAAATATTGAAATAGTGGTCCTGACTGGCATGTGAGGAAGCAGGGAGCTATGTGGCAAAACATAGGACCTTTGGCTGAAAATAGCAAATGTACTCAGGATGACTCCATGGCAGGGCCTGTGCTGGACACTGGAGATGCAAATTCCTACCGTGACAGACTCACTTTAGTGGGGAAGACAAATATAAATAATTAATGACAATAATATCAGACATATGCTACAATAAAGCGATACGGTAGGTAATAGAAAAGTGTTTTAAAATTCCATAGCTCTGGCTCAAATTACACCTTTGTTATTTAGTAGCTATGTGGTTATATGCTAAGTCAGACTGGAAACTCCTAGAGGGTAAGCACTATGTCTTGTACATTTTTGGATGCTCACTGCTCTAGCCCAGAGTCTGGCATTGCTATTATAATATAACCAAATAATATTAACAGTATAATCATGATAACAATACAAGTAGTCACAATAGAATAATATTTAGTCCCTTAATCTCTATTTTATAGAGGAGCAGATGGAGCCTCAAGGAGGTAAATAACTTTCCCATGTCGTGCAGCTTATACATAATGGTAGAGCCAAGATTCAAACTCAGATCCGTCTGGCTTCACAGCCATACAGCCATTCAACATTATGAAAATCAGCTATTCCAGTTGTTACTTAACCTTGCAGAGACTCAGTTTCCTTATAAGTCAAGTAGATGTAATATTATTTTTCTTCTTTATGGTGCATTGTAAGCATCAGTTAAAACAATATACGTGGAACATTTAGTTAGCATATTCTAAAAATCTCAGCAAATTACTGGGTACAAATAGTACTCAGTACTATTATTATCATTATTTTTAAGGTTATTTTGTTCAGGCAAGATCTTTGAGGGGCACAGCCCTTCTAGTTTAAGGAAGTCTTCTCCAGTGCCTGTGTGATTATCAACTCTTCTCTGATGAAATGAAGCCAAGGTGTCTGCTCTGGCCCCTGTTCTTGCTAGCACCCCAGTGTGTTTCTTTTTAATTAGGTCACTAATGATTTATTTATTAAGACTTTTCTCATTTGTTATGCACAGAAAGGTGGCTCATGACAAAGGCAAAATATGAGCTAAGCCAATAACGGCTTTGGCAACTGCATTCCAATAAAAAGGCTAGTTGGCCCTTGAGTTTCAGAAGAAAAAAATTAGCTGGCAGAAGTGTAGAGGTGGAGGTAAGAGAAGGATGCTAGCCAGTTGCCTTGGAAAAGAATCCCACCACCACCCCATCTCTGTCTGGTCTGGCTGGAGAACACCCCTCTACTTCTCCCTGAGAAAGGAGTGACACTGAAGAAATGACAACTCAGTGGCATTCACTCTCTCATTGCCTTATTTATTCAGCACACATTTTTAAAGGCTTTGTTTTATGCCAGGCACCATACTAGGCACCGGACTTAGACACATGAATACGATTTCATTGTTATTCTTAATTTAGGAGACAGGTGATACTTGAATAGCTATAAAATAATGTGAACATTCATTGCTGTGTGACTTCACATATACTGTAATGTACTTGAGAACCATTTAAAGTATAAATTCTAGGAAATTTTTAATAATCATTTCAAAGGAATATTCACATCATGTCCAATTAATATCATTTAATTATTTAAATCATTGATTAAATAATGTCAAATAATGTGGGAAAATGCTCACAGTATATTAAATGATATATAAATGATATATAACTATAAAATATGTTCTCAACTATATATATATATACATACATATGCAAATAAATTAGGAAGAAAATATTCAGCATATTAATAGTAGTTATCTTTGCATTTAAGGATAATATTTTTCTCTAATATAACATTTTCTGTATGCACAAAATCTTCTATAATGGATATATAAACAGAAATTAAATAGAAAAAAATTAAAAAAAATATATAAAATAATTATTGTATTATACATATGTATAGAATATTCCTGGGATAGAAAAGGCTGACTTTCCAACGCTTCCATTTTATGGATAAATAAATTGAGCCTCCAAGAGATTAAGTGACTATTCTGAGACTTTCCAGCCCATAGGTGGCTGAAGCATAACTCAAACCCATGTCATCTCCTTCTAAATTGAGAACTCTTTCTGCTGAGCCACAGGGACTTTCCAAGAGCTAGCAGAGTGCCTGCTGAAATGTAGGGGTTGGCTTGCCTAGAAGGTCTCAAAGGGTCTGGCAGAGCTGCTGTTCTGATTGTTCCAGAAAAACCCAGAAGTCAAAAGGAAAGCCTGGGAGTGATTCAGTGGTGGATCTTGGAACACAGGTTAGCTGCTGATTTGGAGGAAGTGCACAGCACTGTAAAAGTAATCTTGACTGTTTGCATTTCAACTCTTCAAGATTTATGATAGTTAAATTAGAAGAGTAATATAGGTCTGGATATATGTTTAATGTTTTCGTTTAGATTTAGAACATACAGCCCCAGTATGGAGCTGATTTCAATATTTGAATATTTTAATGTCACTGTATTGTGTGCTCAGCATCCATGATCAAATATATCTCTTCAAGTCCAATTTACTTTTATCTTCATTATGGTCTAACATTTAACGAATTTGCATTTGGCCACATAGCCCAGGACCAATGTACATTTGTGTTCATACATCCGTGGGCATGTAAGTCTCCTAAGAGAAGTCCTCTTAAAACACAAGTATTTCCTGTTTTATGAAGGACCTATTGTCTTAGTTATTAGAGAATATTAGAGTACATAGGTACTGAGAGATGAATGCAGCCAACCTTCCACTTCTATTCTTAGATCTGGCCCAAAGGGACCCTACCCTGGGAACCTACTGATACAAACACTGCCAGCCCATCTCTGTCCCAAGAGACTACCCAGATGTATATAATAAGAATTAAGTTCAGATCTCTTTGATATTTTGCCAACTTCTTGTAAAAACTATAGCTTTACAAGCATCTTTCTAGTTTGTCATTATGGAAGGTTTTTTTGTCAAATTAGGAAGATAGATATATATTTTAATATTTTGCTAGCTATTCATACCCCAAACCTCAGCATCACACAACACACAATATATCCATGTAGCAAACCTACACATGTACCTGCTGAATCTAAAATATAAATAAATAAATAAATAAATAAATAAATAAATAAATAGGCTTATGCTTCATGGGTCTCTATTTGTTCTCTCACCTGAGACCTGCAAATGTTTTATGTGGGCCTGGAACTTCCCCCAGCTCCCAGTAAGTATACTGAGAGGGTCTGTTGGCAAAAGACTTTAAAATAAACCATGTCTTGCTCATCTCTGTATTTCTGGTGAATATCACAGTCCTTCACACTTGGAACACACTCAGTGAATGACAAATTGAAGTAAACTAATTTGGAGTTTTTCTTTTGTTTTGCATTTAGACTGGGGATTTTATAAGGGTAATAAAAAGGATAAATTCAGGAGACATAAAGCCAATAGAGTTCACTAAACAATTACCCAACAAATAGCTGCCCAAAAAATATCAATTAATATACATATCCAACTGTAGTATAATTCTGCAGCCTGAGGGGATGGAATTGCTGATGGACTCGTGTATGAGGTCATGTGTCTCATCTCTGACTCCATGGATAGATGTCTCTTTCAAACCACATGTTTAAAAGTGATCCTCCATAAGCAAGATTTGAGTGCTATTATCAGAAGAGGAGGAAATGGAACCTATACAACAAAATAAAATTTTAAATGTACTTTGAATTTGACATTTATAGATGCTACTTGACTCACAATGAGGTTATGTCCCATAAACCCACTGAAAATATGTTAAAAATATTTTAAGTCAGAAACGTGTGGCTGACTTGGAGCTGTGCTAGCTGCTACTGCCTAGCATCAAGAGAGAAGTAAGGTTTTTACTAAATGCGTATTGCTTTCCCACCATTATAAAGTCAAAAAAGCTGAGTCAAACCATTGTAAGCTGAGGACCATCTGTATATATATATATACATACACACACACACACACACACACACATATGTGTGTGTGTGTACAGTCATCCCTCAGTATCCATGGGAGATTGATTCCAGGACCTCCTGTGGATACAAAAATCCATGGACACTCAAGTCCTTTATTTAAAATAGCATAGTATTTTGCACATAACCCATGCATATACTCCTGTATACTTTAAATAATCTTAGATTACTTCTAATACCAAATACAATGTAAATTCTGTGTAAATAGTTGTTTTACTATATTGTTTCACACAAAAGTTTCTAAAACCCATGGCCCACAGGCCATATGCAGCCCAGAATGGCTTTGAATGTGGCCCAACACAAATTTGTAAACTTTCTTAAAACATTATGAGATTTTTTTTGTGTTTTTTTTTAAAAGCTCATCAGCTATCGTTAGTGTTAGTGTATTTTATGTGTGGCCCAAGACAATTATTCTTCTTCCAATGTGGCCCAGGGAAGCCAAAAGATTGGACACCCCTGGACTAGAGAATAATGACAAGAAAAAATAATCTGCACGTTTGATACAGATGCAATTCTTTTTTTGAATATTTTTGATCTGTAGTTAGTTGTAGCTATGGATGCAGAACTTACGGATATGGAGGGCCAACTATATATATGTGTGTATAGATTAATATATGCATATGTATGTAAAGTTTCCACCCGGTGAGATCAGCAGGCCATGAGGTGTTATCCACTGGGCAGCTGTAACTGTATAGAAGTTTTTTTCTGAGGTCTACAAGATTTGCACTGCCTCCACTCTCCCCCTACAACCCTCATCTCTGCCATCCCCCATTGAAGGAGGCATTCTCATTATGAGGTAATGGTAGTGGAATAGAGCTCTGTCACTGGATAATGATCTCCTGTGGTTAGATGAATGAGGACAGCAAATGTGGGCACCTTTAGAAACAGAACAGCAAGGGGCTGCCAAAATGTTGATTTTTCAAAGAGGGAGGTTTTAATCCTGTCACAATATTCTATTCAAAACAAACATTATATGCAGAAGAAGACAGCAACATCAAGAAGAGCAAGACGCTTGCAAGACTGAGATAAGACTAAGATAGAAGGTGGCTGACCACTTTGCATGACCATGAATTATTTTATTTTATTTTATTTTATTTTATTTTATTTTATTTTATTTATTTTTGGAGGCAGAGTCTCACTCTGTTGCCTATGCTGGAGTGCAGTGGCATGATCTGGGCTCACAGCAACCTCTGCCTCCAGGGTTCAAACAATTCTTGTCCCTCAGCCTCCCGAGTAGCTGGGATTACAGGCGTGGAACACCAGGCCTAGCTAATTTTTTTTTTTTTGTATTTTTAGTAGAGATGGGGGTTTCACCATGTTGGCCAGGCTAGTCTCAAACTCCTGACCTCAATTGATCCGCCCACCTCGGACTCCCAAAGTGCTGGGATTACAGGTATGAGGCGTCACACCGGCCAACCATGGATGATTTAAAATCATTGGGTAGCCCTCTGTTTTAGGCAGCTGAATTGCTTTGCTACCTAGAGAGAGGAAACTGATATATGTATAATACATTATGATTCTACTGCTACCCTATTACTACCAAACAGCAATTTGTGTCTTCCAGAACCCACACTGACTTCAGGGAGATAAAGACTGACTTGAAGTCTGTATTATAGAAGTAGAAGTAATGCTAATAGTAGCACTAGCAATGATAGTATTAATAATAGAAATACAAGTGTTAGTAGCAATAGTAGTAGTAGCACTAGTAGTGGCAGTTATAGTAGGAAGTGGTAGTTGTTGTGGTATTAATACTGCAGAGATGGAGATGTGAGTCTAAGAGCAGGAGTAATGGCTGAGAGAACTCTGGAGGTACCAGATCTTTTGCCTCATCCTCTGATTTTTTTCCTTTATTACCTTTTGCCTTTGTCTGTATCATTATGTACCTGGTCCATCTTAGAACAGTAGAAACCCCACTCCCCCTAAATGGAGGCAGGTCAATGGCTTACAGACAGCAGCCACAAGGAACAGGGAAGCCTGGTGTATTAGTCTGTTCTCATACTGCTAAAAAAGACGTACCTGAGACTGGATAATTTATAAGGAAAAAGAGGTTTAATGGGCTAACAGTTCCACGTGGCTGGGGAGGCCTCACAATCATGGCAGAAGGCAAAGGAGGAGCAAAGTCACATCTTACATGGCAGCAGGCAAGAGAGAGAGCATGTGCAGGGTAACTCCGCTTTATAAAACTGTCAGATCTCATGAGACTTATTCCCTATCATGAGAAGAACATGGGGAAGACCAACCCTCATGATTCAATTACCTCTCACCAGGTCCCTCCCATGAAATGTGGGAATTATGGGAGCTACAATTCGAGATTTGGGTGGGGATACAGCTAAACCATATTTCACCTAGAAACAGGTTTTCCCTTTCCAGACAAGGCCTGGATGTGTGGAGTGAGGATGAAGTCCCACGAAAGAATATGGAAGACAGGCACATTGAAGGGGGATATTAAGTGTCAGTGGGCAAGATGGATAACACTCTTGCTAAGCAGACAGAAGCGAAAGGAACTAACTGGCTTTGGCAAATGTGTCAAGCACTGTGTTGGGTACTTTCCTCAAAAGTGACATAGAAACTAAGGATCCAATCCAACTAACTCTAGTGTCTCAGAGCTATAAGGCTCAATGCTAGGATTCAAGCCCAACTCTGCCTGCCCAAAGTCTATGGTATTCCCATGAAATCCATACTGTCTCTCCAGGTACTCTTGTGTCTGCCCTTTAACCACTAAGATGCCTAATATGCCTTTCTTATGTGGCTCACAATGTGGTTCCACAGTTAAAAGCCAGAATGCTACCCCAGTTGGTCAGCCATCATGATAATATCTAAGTGTATGCGTTTTTTATATTGAAGGTTTTAAAAATGCACAGTTCAAGATCTGAGAAAGTTTTGAAAATCATGAATTCATCAGTGCTAATGGCTTTAGGAACTATACCAAGAATGCCACCTCTCCTCCTTTCTTCTCAGCTTCTGCGAGAAGCATCCACTGACAGGATGGGGAAGTCAGCACACTGCTAGAAGGAACAGACAGCCCCATCACTGGAGCTTAGGATCAGAGCCACATCCTTCCAGTAGCTAGAATGAAAGCTTAATCAACATTAGGATTAGTACATCCGCACTTACAGGGGTTTGAACTCAATTAAAAATTTCAACTGGAATCTTAGCACAGGTGCTGTGAGACAGAATCTGACTGTTCTGGGCTCTCCCCCCAATTTTAGTATGTATTCCTGGAAGAAAATAGTTGGGTCAGATGGATCTGGGGCTCACTTTAGACCTTTGGTATAAAAATGTAATAAAGTTCTATTTGGAATTTCATAACGATTTAGTTAAATTATAGAATCAGCTATTTCCATAGGTCTCTTTTTCCCTCAGGCTTAGTATTTTCCTTGAATTTGATGCCATTTTTTAAAGGGGTGGAGAAGCAGGGGAGGACTGGACTTGGCATCCAAAGGACTTCACACAAATTCTGGCTCCATTTACTAGCTAGATGCTCTTGGTCAAACCACTCAACCTCTCTGGGCCTTAGTTGTCTCACTTATAGACATATAGGCATAATAATAGGCATAATTATATAGGCATAATAATAGACATAATATATATAGGCATAATAATAGACAGCTCTTCCTCAAATGATGGCTGTGATAATTTAAATGAAATAATGTTGTCTGGTATATGGCATTGCTGAACTAATAATTTACTTTCCTGCAAAATCTTCATTTCTGACAGGTTCTAGTAAGTTATACCATGTGACATTTCAGTCCTTTACTAGCAGACTAGGTCCTAGCCCTCAATGGTTGCTTTAATTACAAGAGCCCCATTCTGAACCCTGGGATTTTGGTTAGTTATGCTACCTGCTAGGATTTTAGATTGGTTCTGCTACCTGCCTACATTCACCAATAACCTTCTCCAGACCTGGATCCTTCTCTTGCCCTTTGGCTGGCATGTCTCTGAGATGGTATAACTTGGCACATCTCCAATCCATTCTTGCCACAACAGAGATATCCTTTTAAAATACAAATCTGATTCTCACTCCCTTACTCAAGGTCTCTGAGGTAAAAGATTAAAATGTATCCCACGGCCTAGAGGGACCAGCACAATCTGGCCCCACCTACATCTCACCTACATCTCAAGTCTCATCCTCCCCTCAATATCTTTGCTTCAGCCGCATTTGTATCCTTTCAGTTAAAAAACATGCCACTTTGGCCTTCACTTTGTTCCCATTGTTCTCTTTCCTGGAGCAATTTTCTCTACCAACTTCCTTCCTGCCCCCCTTTTAAAATCAACTTATTTTTATAACTCAGCTCAAAATCACTTCCTCAGGAGTGTAACCTTTGAATCTGGAAACCACATCAGATTTTCCTATTATTTCTCTGATAAAACTTTTCACTCATGGCAACTTGTATGGCTTATAACTATATATTCAATTAATGCCTATCTTAACTATAAACTCCATTGAAGGCAGAGATCATGTGTTTCCTCGTCACTGTATTTTTGACATCTGATAAGTTGTATAGCACTGTTGATTTTGAAAAGTGGCACTCCAACATTGCCACTCCTTTATAGGTTATCCTGGAACCAACTGTCTTGACCCACTTCTGAATCCTAATTTCCTAGAGATTCTCCAGGCTTCTAACATCGGGACTCATTTCTTTCTTTCTTTCATTCAAACCTGATAATCAATACCACTTCTTATTCTGCCACCTCAGACTTTTCTCTGATTTTATTATTGTAGATCACTTCAAGGAAAGAACACTTCCAGGCTTAGGCCTCCTGGGATGTGCTACCAGATGTGTGCCAAACTCAATGGGCAGGACTTGTCTCCTGCCAAACTTAAATATATTGATCTATAACTGGAGGACTGGAATCATCTAGCCCTCGTTTTTCTAGGCCTAGATCTCTGTCTGGTCTTTCTGGAGTGTCCCTTTAGCCAGATCAACATTTTTAGGCCCCTTTTACCTAGCTTGCTGTACTTGGGCCCAAATACGATCACATACAGAAAGGAGCTTTGTAAACTTGAAAAGATTAGACACGTGTAAGGGATTAAGGGCTTAGTTCAGCCTCCCTTTCAATTCATAACTAGGCTTCTGCTTGGCACGCTCTGCCATCTGGAGAAATTTTCTACTTTTTTCTTCCCCAATGACAGTTCTAACTCTTTTCTCTCTGTTCCTTCTCCTGCACTGGCATAGCTAGAACAGGGTTTTAGTTGTTGTTGTTTTGAATGGCAGATCCATTGCTATTAAGCCAGTATGGTCCCTCATCTTTAAGTTTTTGTTGACTCCCTATATGATTTGCCACCATAAAGCTGCACAATAGCAACCTAGATAGCCAATACCATTTTAGCAACTTACATCTTGATATGAGCTAAATAATTCATGCTCACAGTTACTTTAGGATGAAGAATAATAGCACAAAATGACTTGCTCTATAACCTTGGGCAGATCCTCTTCCATTTCTGAGCCTCAAATTCCTCATCTGTAGGATAAGGAGTTAGATGAGTAAATGCTCACGTGCTGATTAAAACAGATCACACATTTAAGAGGGCTTGTATATGGCATGTCATAAATATTTTGTCACTACCATTTTTTAATCTAACTCCATCACTCTACAAAACAGAAATGGAAGTACATGGAGGTTCATTCACTCATTCATTCATTCATTCAATCAGTCGTTCTATAATGATTTGTTAGATGTCTTTTATGGGTCCTGCAGGCACTATGGCAGCATCTAAGTGACTTACCCAAGGTTGCACAGCAATCTCATGGCAGATGTGGGATATCAACAATAACAATGGCTATTATTTGTTGAGGGCTCACTATAAAACTAGCACTTGCTAAGTATTTTATATAGTCTAATTTAATTCTCAGAAATTGTTCCCTGTATTTTTTATGATAACAAAATTGAGCCCCAAAAACTTAAGTGCCATCTCAATGATTTTTACTCAAATATTTCTCCAAATGGTTGCATAGGTACCAAAAGATGACACTGAGATGTAGAAACTAATATATGGTGAACTAAAAATGATCTTGGTTATCAGTTTTCAAAAACAAGTTAAGCAAAATCTCTAATACTAAAGCATGAGGTGCCATGTTTAAAGATTTGCAAAGTTGGTAGGCAACAACATGACAGGATTGGGAGCTAGACAAATTCTTTCAGCCATAAAAATGACAGCTATTGTACAAATAAACCAGTTACTAAATGGACAGAAACACTCTTCCTCCATGTACCCTCTCACTTCATTCAGGTCTCTGTTCAAATGTGACCTACTTAGAGATCTTTCTCTGTCCACCCTATCTCAAGTAGCCCTTAACCTTCTCTATCTCTTATACTGCTGCATTTTTCTTTTCTTTCTTTCTCTTTCTCTCTCTTTTTTTTTGAGACACAGTTTTGTTCTGTCACCCAGGCTTGAGTGCAGTGGTGTGATCATGACTAACTGCAGCCTTGTTCTCCAGTGCTCAAATGGTCCTTAGACCTCAGCCTTCGGAGTAGCTGGAACTAAAGGCGTGTGCCACCACACCTAATTATTTGTAGATAACGGGGTTTTTCCATGTTGACCAGCCTGGTCTTGAATTCCAGGGCTCAAGCGATCTGCCAGCTTCGGCTTCCTGAAGTGCTGGGATTACAGGCATGAGTCACTGTGCCTGGCCTCTGTGGCATTTTTTTCTTCACAGCATCTGAAACCGTATTATTTATGGTTTATTTGTTCATTTGTTGGCTGAGTGACTGAACGAATGTGGTTACCTTCCTTTCCTCCTGGCTCCCATTCTGGTGCTCTTCTCCCTGCATGCAAAATCAGCCCATCCTTCCCAGGAAAGAGTATGGGAGTGAGTCTCCAGAAAGCTAGGTTTCCTGTCTGACTCCCCAAAGAGACTCTAAGGTTCTGCTGCATCCACTCAGGATGGTCCCTCTCTCCACCTGAGCAGTATGCAGTGGGAATCCTGCCAGCACCAGAGGAGGCTGCCTGCCTTCTTCTGGCCTGATTGCTTCTTGGTTACCCCAGGGCAGAGATGAAACAGAGATAGGTATGCAGGATGGTACAGCATGTCTTCCCTGAAAGAAAAGCTTTGCAAGTTTAATTAAACCCTAGTAATTTTCATAGACCACAGGTTGAAGAAGGAAAACTGTGTTCTTGGAGCTTTTCCTACCCTTAAAAAAATGTGTTCCTTTAGTCTAGTTTTGATTTCCCGTGTAAAAGGGTCATGAAATTAATGGAAAGGAAATGCCCAGGAAAGGAAAGATGCTGTTACTCGTTGAATTTGAAAGAATATGGGGATGATATTTCTGATCATATTTTTGGCTGTCAAAAGACCAGAGATGCTCTTTTAATGGTATAAGGACAAAAAGTTTTTCTTTTTGCAGACTTGCCAGAAATGAGACCCAGGAGAAAGGCATTGTTTCCTGCAATTACACAGTTGCCAGGGAAACTGTGTATGGAAGTTAGCCTAAGTGCAAGTAAAAAAATGAAGCATCTCATAAATTGTTATAAGATTATTTTGAAAAGTCTGGGCCAATCATGGCATAGAGTGACCCTTGTAGAACTGTAAGGATTTCTTAGCTGTGGCAGGAAATCACACTTAAAGGTTACCTTTCTGCTGTGAACCTCTTTAATGAATGTTTTTCTAGGAGTGAAAGTCTTCAGGTAATTTTTTTTTACACAACTCCATCACCAAAAACAAAACAAAACAAAACAAAAATAAACAACCAACTAACCGGAAACAATGTTTGACTGTAGTCTAGAGAAACAGGTAAAAACACACACACACACACACCTTTGGGAAACAGTATTTGGTAATCTTACATGTCAGAAAAAGACTTCATTTTTTTCCTCTTTACTATTTTTTTCCTTTTACCTCTTTGTTTATGCAAAGATTATATGTGGTTTGCTTTAAAGAAAGGCCTGAACTAGTATCAATTATTTCAAATATATTACCATCCCTGAGACTCAGTTCTCCTTTCTATAAAATAGAGTTAATCATAGTCTCTACCTTCCATGGTTATTCTGAAAATGAAATAAAGATATATATGTGTGTGTGTACATATGTGTATGTGTATTTGTTTGTATATATACACATATATATGGTATTTATCATATGGTAGATGTTCAAGAAATACCTAGAAAATCTTAGAGATCATTTAGTTTAGCCTCCTACTTAGTGCAGATAATTTCTTTTAAAATACAATGGCCATCCAACTTTGCCTTAAACTCATCCAGAGACAGGAAGCTCACTACCTTACAAGGCAGCCCATATCATATCAAGAAGTCAGACAGCTGACTTTTATTTTTTTAGTTGGGATCTGCTCCCTATAGCTTTTATTCATCAGACATGATGGCTTGTGGAAACACATGGAATAAATCTATTCCCTTGACCCTGCAAAAGTATCATCCATGTCTTCTTGAGTCCAAATAACCCCATTCCTACAACTAGCTCTATATCCTAATAATAGGCAGCTCTGTGTGACCCTAAGCAAGTTACTTCACATCTCTAACCTTCGGTTTCCAGCCATTAAATGGAGATAGTAATTTTTTTCCTGTTTCTCTGTCAGGCCTCTGCTAAAGATCAAAATGAAATGCTAGATGGGAAACTTTTAGAAAGTGTAACATACCACACACATTAACTAGTATTTATTATTACTTCTTCCCAATCATCTCCACTTAACCTTGCCCAAAGGGAGCAATTGGTTCTGTTTGGGACAGTGAAAAGAGTTGGACTTTCTTTGCTTAAGCTCTGCCCTGTATAGTCCCAAGGCCTGAAAACTGATTTGCATCTTCTTGGTTCCCCTTGCTGCTTTCTTAGCATGAGCCCTTGCCTCTCTCCCCAGGTTCCCTCGTTGACGTTGCTCACCCATTTAGTTAAATGCTGTTTTGACGAGGTAGCCTATTTTGGTAAGTGCCTCTGGGGAGCTACAGAAAGGTTTAATTCCCATTCTTTTCCCTAATGTTTATCTAATGGTAAGGGATTGAGAATAGGTTTGATATCTCTGGAGACTCTAGGCTGAATGATTCAATAATGCACGTGTCTAGGGGCTGGCTGAGAGACTTAGCTTTCTGAAGAGAGGAGAGGGCAGGTTGAAGACGCTCAGCTATTATAGCAGGAGGGGTGTCACTCATCAGGATGTATCCCAAGGGCTTAGTAAGGGGCAGCATGAATGAACTAGAGCATGTGGTGATCAGGATAGCAAGGCAGGGTGACCACATGTCTCAGTATGTATATCTGTTGTCCCACTGTGATTATTAATGCTATCACCTTTCACTCTCTAAAGTGAAATTGGGAGGATATATTACATGTCCACTTTAGACATAGAAAGGATACTTGGTGGATATCTAGGTCCTTTCTGTTCAGCTTCAGACCCAAATACACAACGGTATGCTAGACATCACCACCCAGATGTTCCCCAGTCATCTCAAACTCAAAGTAAACTATTATCTTCCCCCAACATGCTCTTCCTCCAGAATTCCTTATCCCAGGAAAGGGCATCACCACCCACCTGGTTCCTTAAGCCAGAAACCCAGGAGGTCTCTGAGATTTTAATTACCCTCATCCCTACAACCAGTCTCCATAGAATCCTTCAGACCATTCCCCTCCTTTCTATTCCCACGGCTGCTGCCTTAGTTCTGAGTCTCATTCTTTCTCCAGGATGCCTAAAACTTTAATTTGGTGTTGTTCTATTCAGTCCCTGGCTCCAAGTCTTTTAAGATCCTCTGTCCTTTGTTATACTAGCCATCTCTTCAAGTTTCTTTGTATGATCATGCTTTTGGTGTACTTACCTAACTCAATGAGCCCTGTACCTTGTCTCTAGAAGTCAAACTTCTACTTCATATTTTCAGTCGTTCATTCATTCATTCAACAAAGATATTGAAAAGTTCTGAGAGTACAAATGTATCAAAATTATAGAGACAATCAATTTTGGTTATAGCCTGCTGAGCAATTAGGAAGACATGAATTTGTACCAATGTCTACTGTACTTTAGATTCAAATCCACTTTCCACTTAATATCCCAGTGTTATTTCCAAAATATGCATTTCACTATGCCACGCTGCTGTTTAAAACACTCCAATATATTTCCATTGGCTATGGATATGTTTCAATATGGAGGAATTCCCACTAAAATAACATCCTGCCTGCCACCCTACTCACCCCTTCCCTTACCAGAGTGTCTTTAAGGGGTGGGGTAAATTGTCCAATGGTGACAGTGGGAAAATAGAGCTTTATGCTCCCTTTTCTCTGAAATCAGTCTACCTACAAACAGCATACACTCAGTTCTGCTGTCTGTGCTCTGCCGCACTGCTGCTCGTTATTGGCAAGGGGAGGTAGGTTTCTAGAGTTCAGTATTTGTTGCCACCCACTTCAACGATGCTCTCTAATCTAGCTTTTCTAAGTGGTAATTTACCTGACTTCATCTCTCAGTTGGGTCTGATCTTGGATAGAGAGCAGAGGTATAATTCATTGAGTTCCTCAAACCCCAACATGCAAGAAAATGTCAAGTTACCTGGTTTTGTAAACAAGTAGAAGATGGGCTGGGTGTGGTGGCTCACACCTGTAATCTCAGCACTTTGGGAGGCCTAGGTGGGCAGATCACTTGAGGCCAGGAGTTTGAGACCAGCCTGGCTAACATGGTGAAACGCCATCTCTACTAAAAATACAAAAAATCAGCTGGGCGTGGTAGCAGGCACCTGTGATCCCAGCTACTCAGGAGGCTGAGGCAGGAGAATCGCTTGAACCTGGGAGGCGGACGTTGCAGTGAGCCAAAATCATGCCACTGCCCTCCAGCCTGGGTGACAGAGCGAGACTCTGTCTGAAAAAAAAAAAAAAAAAAAAAAAAAAAAAAAAAAAAAGATACAAGATGGCTGGGTGTGGTGGCTCATGGCTGTAATCTCAGTGCTTTGGGAGGCCAAGGAAGAGCATAGCTTGAGGCCAGGAGCTTGAGACCAACCTGGGCAACATAGTGAGACCCTGTCTCTACAAAAGATTTTTAAAACATTAGCTGGGTATGGTGGTGCATGCCTGTAGTCCCAGCTACTTGGGAGGCGGAGGTAGGAGGTAGGAGGATTGCTTGAGCACCACTCCACTCCAGCCTGGGTGACAAAGTGATATCCTGACTATGAAGAAAAAGTACAAGAAATCTACTGCCTTCTGTTTTTGTAAAGTAAAGAGCATTTCCCTTTCTACAGTTTCTCGGTATCCTTCCTCTCCTTAGGTAGGCAACTTTGGAAAGCCACCCTCTATGATGACAATCCACAGGCCAGGCAAACCTTCACGGAGATAATGTCTGAGACCAAAAGAGACATGAAAAGCCAGTTGGAAGCAGTTTGGTTACAGGAGTACTGTTTGATTGGCAACTGCAATGGGCCCTTACAGTCCCCTCAGCTCCACACAGCTCAGAAGAACTGCACTCTGATGGTTGATTGTAACACTGAAGCAGCTTTGAGTTCTTGAGGAAGGCTTGAGTACTTGCTGGCATTGAAGTAGCCACCCCAATCTGGCTATGACATTTTCTTGGCTACATGGTGAGAATGAATCATCCCGGTCTTATTTGCAAATAATAGTAAAAGGGCATTTTACGGTTTGTTTGCAAAGATCTTTTTCCTTTATTTATTTCATATTATCAGAAAACCATGCTAAGTGCACAAAATTACCCTATTTTATGGATGGAGAAACTCAGTCAGGTTAAGTGACTTTCTCAAGGTTCTTCAGCAAGTTTGAGGAAAAACTTGGAAAATCCCCTCAGAATTAATCAGAATTGTAAGGGCAATTGGGAATCTCCCTTAATGATAACTTCAAAATCTAGCATCTTTTATACCCATGAAGAACTTTGTCCTCTTGAAAATACAAAATATCACAACTGAAAGGGGCCTCAGCAAACATATCATCCAATCTTCTTCCTTGACAGACAGGTAAATCAAGGCCGGAAGTAAGAATGTGACTTTCCTGATATCTTGAAGTGAGGCTGGCAGACATAGTACTTGAATCTAAGCATCCAATTTCCATCTAGGCCGTTTCTATTAAAGCTGCCTGCAGAAAGTATAAGCCCATTGTGCAGATGAGAATATTAACCTCAGAGAAGTAAAGTATATTGCTCAAGATGCCATGACTGGAGAATGGTAGAGCTATGATTAGCTTTAGAGTCAGATGATGACACTTGGCTGAATTGGTGGGAGTTATTATTATAATAACCAACACCACTCCACTGGATGGCTTTGTAGCCATCATAAAATCAGGCCATCAGTGATTCAGCTTCATTATTAGTCAGTTTCATAGATTTTTTCTTCCTTTGTTACTAGTGTTTTCATTGTGTGACATGCCTTCAAAAAAATAAGGTATATACAGACCCTAGACTCTGATTATGGGTTTCAAGTATATGCTGTTTCTCCATGACATTCACTAACTGCTACCCCAGAGCCCGGGATCTGTTAAGTTGCCTGCAAACATTTGACATTTGAAAGTGTTTTTTTTCCTCTTTTTTTCTTTTGTAATCAATAAATCACTTTTGATGACTTTAATGGAAATAAAATAACCAAATAAAATCAGGCTTCAGCACATTATTGCCTAATTATGAATTTCACATTTTTGACAGTAAAATGGAGGCTTGTCAGACTCAAAAAGCAGGCAACTGCTATAAAATTTTAACCATGTCTCTGGGGCTAGAACCCAGGTCCTTAGGAAATCACTGCTGTTACCTTCCATACCCACTACTGCTTTGGATTCTTAGTCTCTTTGGGACATTTCTAATCCCTTAAGCATTCCAGAGCACAGGAGTGGGAGCCAAACAGACCTGGGTTTTAATTGCAGTTCTTCGACTTATCAGCAGGGTGCTTTGGAGTAAGTAACCTAACTTCTCTGAGTCTCAATTTCCTCATTCCTAATATTGGGACTATAATATCTACATCCTACAATTACTGAAAGGATTAAAAATAAAGTACTGAAGGTGTATGGTTCATGGTAGGCATTCAAGAAGTATTGCTTTCCCTTCTCTGTTTAAGTGATTTACCAATATAGATATGCTATCAACCAAAATGTTTGGGCCTTATGCAAACAAAGCACTGGCGTCTTACCTGCCTATTCTGGCACATAACTCAATCATCTGCTCAACAAATATTAATGTCTACTATGTGCCAGGCTCTGTGCTATGCTGTGCACCTTATCCAGTGGTAAAAACAAACAAATATGATCCCTGCCATCACGGAGTTATACCCTAATGAAAGAGACAGAGATTAAATAAGTATATAAAATATGTAATTATACATTGTAATAAGTACTATAAAGGGGGGAACACAGCGTTCTATGACAATAGGATAATCTACTTTCTTTAGAAGGAGTAGTTGGGGATGGCTTCTCTGAGGAGGTGACATTTAAACGGGAATGATAAGAAGTCAGCAAAGAGAAGAGATAAAAGACTATTCCAAGTCAGGAACCCAGCAGCTGTGAAGGCCTGAGAAGCTGATATTAGGGCATCTTTCAGATCCAGCCCTCTGTCTATCCCCACAGACTTCTACATCCCGAAATAAATTGGGCATTTGTATATGTACGTAACTTTGCATATACTCTTTTCTCTGCCCCTAAAGCCCTTCTCCCAGTTCTCTATTTGGAACGCCAAACTCCAAGTATCACATTTCAAAGAACCCTTAATTAATCTCCCCAAAGCAGATCTAATGCCTCTCCTTTTGTTTTCCCCCAATATTTGTGTTTAACTTCATAATATGTGGTAATAAGTACATCATGCCTGTTACTGAACACTTACCCTGTGCCATAGACTGTGCTAAGTGTCTTACCTGAATTATCACATTTAATCTTCAAGGAAGCCCAGTGGAGGAGCGACTAGTATCATCACCCCCTTTTTACAGAAAAATACTTTGAAGTTGACTTACCCTGACTGTCAGAGGCAGAGTCTGGATTTGAACTTTAGGTCTTTTGCCTCCAAAACCTGAACTCTTAAACTCCTGTGCTATGCTAGAGCAACATCTCTTTATGTCTTTTCCCCATTGGACCCTGAGATTCCTGAGGGTGGGTTTTTGTGTGATTCATCAGTATATACTTAGCACACAGAACAATTCCTGGCACAAAGGAGTTAACTATTTGCTAAAAGAATGTCTTGGCAATTACAGATCCTGACTGATAAAGACAAAATCACATAACGTGTAGACAGGTCTGTCCCTTCAGCCTTCAGGCACAGCCTGTACTGTGGCCTCTGCTGATCTGATTTGTACAGCGATTGACAGGCTGGGTCCCTCTCCTTCAGTCCCGTTAATGGCATTAGCATCTAGTCAATAATGCTCAGCATTTCATTTTAGCACTTTAATTAACAAATTCAATTTGTTCAAACTGCTGTGAAAACAAATTAAAAGCTCAAGAAAGGGGCCTCCAGGAGGGGGAGGAAAGGCAGGGGCTCTGTAAGTATTAGGCTGGATGTTGATCTGCTCTTTGGAGGTTAAAGGCTGGACATTGCCCTTCAGCCATCTTCCTATCCCTGACGCAACTGAATGCCTCCGTGATATAGCCAAGATGAAGCAAATCAGCTTCTGTACCTTCTAGGTTTGTCCTTTCCCTCTCCATGTAGGCAAGTGGGGGCCCCACTCTGCCCTTCAGGTTTGCTCTCCTTCTTCAAAGAGGGCATTCTGCTTTGGATCTGAATTCAACAATGACAACATTAATAATGAACAGCTTCCTCATTTAGTGATTCTAAACCAGGGATAATTTTAACCCACAGCGGACATCTGATAATATCTGGAGATATTTTTAGTTATCACAACTAGGAGGAGGGTGCCACTGGCATCTAGTGGGTGGCCACAATGCTGCTAAACATCCTACAATGCACAGGACAGACCACCTCACCAAAGAATTATCTGGCGCAAAATGTCGATAGTGCTGAGGTTGCAAAACCCTGTTCTAGTCCCTTTACAGTTTTCCAGGAACCCTTGGTGACTGCAATGTCCTTGTGAGATAAGCAGGTTGGAGACTGCTAACCCCATTTAAGAGTTGAGGAAGGCCCGGGTGGGCAGATCACGAGGTCAGGAGTTCGAAACCAGCCTGGCCAACATGGTGAAACCTCTTCTCTACTAAAAATACAAAAATTAGTGGGGCGTGGTGGCACACGCCTGTAATCCCAGCTACTCAGGAGGCTGAGGCAGAAGAATTGCTTGAACCCAGGAGGCGGAGGTTGCAGTGAGCCGAGATCATGCCACTGCACTCCAACCTGGGCAACAAGAGTGAGACTCCATCTCAAGAAAAAAAAAGAAGAGTTGAGGAAATTGGCAGAGTTCAAGTGACGGGCTCAAAGTACACAGTAAGTAGTAGTGATGAGACCAGAACTAGATCCTTTCACCACCTCTAGTTGAATTAAAAGAGTGGAAAGCACCCTTTGTAGGCTACAAGTAGTGTTTTGGGAAATGAAAATGGTTTACAGATATGTGCCTGTCCCCTACATATTTCTTAAGAAACAGACACTGGCCAGGGTACTTACCCATTTGATAGGCTGTCTAGGTTTGGTGGCACCAGACCTGGGAAAAGGTGCTTATGATGAGTGAAGCTGGGAAACTTCCTCCTGCCTCCTACCCTCAACGGTTATATCCAAAGACTGCAAATCAGTGACAAACTTTTAAATAGAAGGCAGCTACTGAAAAGTTCAGCTTGCTCTCAATCATTGGTTATTCCAACCCTGAGATTCAATTGTCCTTTCTATCTTAGAAAGCAAGAAGGGTTAAGTAAAGTCAGAGCTACATATGAGTTTTGTGGTGAGCAAAAATCAAAACCAAAACTTAACATTTGAACCTTTTCAGGGGTTCTGACAAATACACAGACATATTAGATAAATTGGGAAAGGAGGGGAGTGGGCAGGCAGAGAAAGGGGAGAAAAGAGAAAAAGAAGAAAGGAGGAAGGGAATCTGATGTAAGTTATTGCAGAGGATCAATAGAAGCTTCAGAGAAAATGTGTCCAAAGGGAAGAGTCCAGCAGAATGAAGCAGCCATGGACCCTGAACATCAGAGGGCAGTGGTGGCTCCTAGTATAGTGAATATCAGATACTCTGGCAGCCTGAGCATATGACCCAGATTAATAGCTCTGAGTGTGTGAATCAAAAGAGATGGATCACTAAATTCTGTAACACTTTGGAACCCAAGGTGTTTGCTGTGGGACACTATTGAAGTGAGCATAACAAGAAGGGCACTTTGTGGGAAGAAGTGTTCTCTAGGGAGTTAATTTCTGGCACTGGGATACAGGATTGGCCTGTTACTTTCATTTCAATAGGTCACAATTTTCCAGCTCTTAAGATAATGGCAATGAACACAACACTCAAAGGAATAAAGTTTCAGCCTAGAAGTAGTTCCCAGGTAGACTAAGGCCTAGGATTACAAAGTGCCAGCTGAGTTTTTGTAGTGGCCAGTAGTAACCACAAGGAGTGTATAAACACTTGTAAGACTCCTTGGGATCCTTTAAGCTGTGTGGGGAAGAGCAATATTGTAAAAGACTAAATTTCCTGCTATGACAGGTAAGGGTACAGTGATGCAGAAATACAGTTAATAATGTTCTTGTGACCTCAGTGATATTAACAAGGTGATGAATTTAGGTTTTTTCATGTTATCTCATTTCATCCTCATTACAATATACAAGCTTGTTTTATTCTCTCCATTTTCAAAGTGGAACTCAAAGAGGTTAAGTTGCTTACTCAAAGTCATGTAAGAGTTGGGATTTGAAGCAGGATCTGTGATTCTAAAGAACAAGCTGTTTGTATCATACAAAGTCAGGACCTCTTATGAGGAAAAATGAATAGTGGCCAGAAGGGCCCAAGTCTCTTCATCTGGTTTCAACCCACTTTCCAATGCCTTTTTCTCTTGCCCGTGCAAACCATGGGACCTCTGGAGACAAGCAAATGACTATTTTTCTTTTGTGAGGACTGTTCTATAAAGTCAACAAAGCATGTTTCCAAGTTAGTAATCATAGATATAGTCCACATAGGAAAGCCTGAAAGTTGCCATTATAAACTCCAAGGATGACAAATCTCCTGCTCCTTGCCCAGAGAAAAGCAGGTCTTTGATGCAAGAAAAGAGATACTGAGAAGGTGCCTTTGAAAAGACAAAGGCCTACTGAAGGACTCTCTGCAGAAATACCCCCATTCCTCCAATCGTCTACTTAGAGCCATATGTTGAATTATTGTGGTGGGGGGGGGGGGTTGTGGTAAAAGAATATGGCTTTAGAGCCAGACTGGTCTGGATTTGAGTTCTAAATTAATAGCTCCCTAGCTGAGTGACCCTGGGCCCATGACTTAATCTCTCAAGTCATCAGATTCCTCATCTGTTAAATAGGATAACAATGAAACTATTAGAGGGCTGTTGTGATTATTAAATGAGATGATTTTGGGAAAGAATCTAGAACAATGTCTGGCATATAAGCAGATGCTCAAAAATGTCAGCTCTACTCCCCATATTCCTAAGTCTTCCACTTACTCTGGAAGCTGTGTCCCAATTCAATGTTGTATTCCTAGAATTTAGAATAAAGCCCTGGACATAGTAAACATTCAATAAGTGAAAGTTTGATGGGTAGATAAAGGGTAGGAGAGTAGTGAGAAAAAAATTAGGGCTTATAGTCAACTCAGATTTGAATTACAGCTCCATTGTTTTCTAACCACTAAGTGATCTTGAGCAAATTACTTACTCTCTTCCAGCCTCAGTTTCTATATGGGTAAAATGAGGATAGTACTAACTTGCCAACCTTTTTAAGGATAGAAGGTTACATATACAAGGCACGTATATACCATATACCTGGCATTTAGATGGTATTGGCTATAAGTATTCCTACTAGTGAGCTGGATTTTTTACGGATTCACTCATTTTAAGCAAATTATCTAATCATCATCTTTTCCCCTTTATCGTAGTTATTTCCTCTGATTATGCAGAAAGTATGTAAAAACAAGGGAACCAATCTTATTGAGCTTCATGGAATTTTAAGTCCCACTTTTACCCTTGTACAGTAAACAAACTCATAAAGATTGTCTGCAGCCGCATGCACCACGTTGTGTTAGGGCTGGGGAATCCATAAGGACACCACTGACAATGTCCCTGCCCCCATAGCGCCTAAATCCAGTGTGTGGGAGAAAGTGGGGTGGAGGTGGGCAAACAATAACCAAATAGATTAATAAAAAATGTCTTGCTTTATGAAATTTGCAAGCGCCTTCACTCATCTGTGCTTTTGTTCCCCTGAATAAAGTTTATCAGATGATGCCAATGAGACACTGAGCTTCTCAGATAAAAATGGTGGGTACATACAAAGGTTGAGATCTTTCAAGACTACAATGGCTATTTAAAGGTATTTCAGTTACATAATGAAGCAATTTGACTCTTATGGGTCCTTATACCCCCACATACACTCCCACTGAGGCATGCTCTAAGATATACTTAGTAACACTTGCTCAGAACATACTATGTTCCAGGCATTGTGCCATGTACAAAAGCTACAAAGATGAGTAAGACATAATTCCTGCCCTAATAAGACTTGGTCCTTACAGTTAATGGTCCAGTCAGGAAAACAGCTGATACAAGTAGGCAGCACCATGTAATTATAATTGGAATGAAGAGGGGCACAATGGGCTAACGGAGTCTGGGTGGTTGTTTGTTGTTGTTGTTGTTGTTGTTGTGGCTGGTGGTGGTGGTGTTGATGGTGCCTGTGTTGATGGTGGCAGTGGTATGTATACACGTGTGCGTGGTGTGGTATTAACCCTGCCTGAGGTGGAGGATGGGCTAAATGTCATAGAAGGCTTCACGGATTCATATGGCTATTTGGAGGTAAAGACAACAGAACAATAGCATGCCAGGGCTAGACGGGTTAGATGGCATCAGGCCTAGTCTCCTACCAGGATTGTGAGCAACATTCAACATCTGATTGCACAATCCCATATGCCAGGCCCTGTGATAGTCACTGACGAGACAAAAGTGAATAAGGCACTGGCCTGCCTCATTGAGCTCATGATATGGCATGTAGAAATAGTCAAGGTAACAGCATAATACATGACAGCATGGAAGGAAGCTCAGATGGTGGTGGGGTGGCCAGCTGGGACCACAGAGGAGACAGAGGTGGCTCAGTCTTCCCAGGGGTTAGGTGGGGCCAAGGAAGTCTTCACAGAGAAGGTGATGCTTATGTTGAAGCTTCAAAGCTGAGTTGAGTTTTCTCCTTCCATCCATCCATCAATCCATCCATTATACTGATTGATTCGCTCATACACTACTTGAAGAATTACTATCGCAGGCATGAGCAGGGCAGTATCTAAGTAAAATTCTGAAGTGTTCAGATTCTACTTCAGCACCATAGACTGTCAGAGGAAAAATTCTTATAAATGACATGGTCAAACTCCCACAATTTTATAGATGTGGAAACTGAGGCCCAGAAAGGCTATGAAAGCATTAACATCAAATCACTCAAGTAGCAACTAATAGATACAGATTTACATTAATATAACCCCAGCGTGCCCACGCCAGGCCTCATTCTGTTATAACACACTGCCCCTTCCTCAGCCTGTGTTTTCTGCAAACTGCCCCCCGCAACCCTTCTCCTACCCCCAGGGGATTCTAATACTGTCTTGCCCTTCCCCTTTCTTCTTGATCAAACATTTTCCTGGAGAAAGTTCAGAAAATAACTCATATCAAGGTAAACAATTCTTAGTGTTACATATGGGGAAAGCAGAGCAAGGAAATAACACCTCATATTATAACAATTCAGGACATAATACAGTTTCTTTATTTGTATTACAGAATCTAACTCCACCATAGGGGTTTAAGGAAGAGGGAAGATCTCTGATTAGGAGGGCCTTAAAATCTGATCCAAGCCATGTGGCTGGTTGGTGACCTCAGATGGTGACAATCATGGAAACTATGTGATTACTGCATTAGGATGATCCTCTTTATTCCATCCTTTCCTGACTTGAGAGTGGAGAGGCACTGGAGATGTCCTGTGGTGCTGCCACATTATTGAGGTCCCAACTGAAAAGCTCTTCAAAGCTCACAGAAGAGTTAAAACCCTGACAATAATAAAATCAGGCCAAATCTTAGGTTTTAGTAGTAATAATCAGGGATTCCATCCATATACACATCATATTTTCCTTGCAATGTCCTTGGAACACAGGGATAGTTATCTCCATTTTATAGGTGAAGAAACTGAGGCCCAGAGAGACACGGTTTGGAAATAGCAGGACCAGGATCTAAACCCAACATTCTATCCCACAACAAGATCCTGGGACCATACTGAGTCCCAGGGCACATTCTAGCTCAAGCATTTTAATGCACATCCCATTTCCTGCTGCATTTGCCCAAACACCTGGGGTAGACATGCAGACCCCTTCATTAGACCTAAAGCATGCTATGGAACTTCTTCGGGCCTTAGATCCAAATGATAAAAATGAGAATATTACTTATTTCATAGAGTTGTGAGCATTAAGTGAGAACAAGTAAGACACTGTATGAGAGAGCTTTGCCCTGTTCTGGTACCTGGTAAATACTCAGTTAGAAGGGGGAAAAAACCACAACAACTTTATTTTTCAAAATCTGACTCGACTCTGTATTGCCAGGTGCTATGTATCACACAGACCCTTATTTACTGTCAAGAGGCAATGTTAAGAGTCAGTAGAGCAGAATATTAAGAGCAAGGGGTCTGCAGCTATTTCTGGTTCAAATTCCTTGTCTACCATTAATTAGCTGTGTGATCATGGGAAATTACTTAACCTCTTTGTGCCTTAGTTTCCTCATCTGAAAAATGGGCATTATGAGAATTCAATGAGTTAATATATATAAAGTTCTTACAATAGTACCTGGCACACAGTAAGTGTTCAATTAGTGCTAGCTAATTATTATCATCACTCTTAATATGAGAATAGATATTCTTCCTCTGAACTTCTGTTCACGCTATTCCACCCACGAGGAACACCATTCTCTTCCCTATTGAAATTGAGCCTTCCATGTTTAGCTCAAGAACTACTTCTCCCGTTACTCCTTCTCATTCTCCCATGTCTCACAAGTTATCTTAGTTGTTAATGTCTGATTGTTTTAGGTATGTGTGCTCTATCACCCCACAGGCACTGACCATACTGTGAAGTGAATACTGTGTACTCTTGAACTCTGAATCCTTAGCCCAGGGTACAGGGGCTGCCCTATGACCCATGAACCATTCAGTAAACATTTGCTGAATGAATGGACAAATAATACCTTTTTGATTTGTCTGTGCATCCCAATTACAGGAGATATTCACATTACTTAGTGACAGCTTGATCGATAATGAGGGTGTAGGAGAAAGAGCAATGGACTAGGACACAGATTGCACTTGTTCTGAATTTGGCTTTGGCATCCCAGGTACAAGTCCTTAAGCAATTTGTTTTAGCCCTCTGTGCCTCAGTTTCTGCATTGGAAAATGGGTGGCTGAGCATTATAAAGTCTGAGGACCCTTCTGTCTCTAAGCTTTGTAATGAAAGGCAAAAAGTTAGCTCACTCTGTGTCGGGTTCCTTCCATAAGCACTTGGTGCCAGGTCTGTGCCAGACACTGGGGACACAAAGATAAATGACACTCATTCTGTCCATGAGGACTCATAGTTGAGTGGAGAACACAGACTTACAAACTGACGGTTACATGGACACGAGAGTAGTAGAGGGAAGCACAGAGCTGGGAGGGCTTGATAGCCCAGGGAAGGGGACTTAGGTGATGACATCCCGGAGGAAGTAAAAGTAAAGCCAGTCTTTGTGGAGAAATGTCCCATGTAAGCAAGAGAGAGGCAGAGGAGACAGGCCAACACTGGGGCCTAAGGGCACACCTGAGGTACCTGGAAAGGCTCTGCATCTCAGAGTCTAAACCTTACTTCTCCCCAGGAATACAGTTTGTCACTGGCCTTCTTTTCAATTCTTCCACCATACTGTGTTTCTTTCTCTATCCCCAGAACATGCTTCTCTCTTTCCTATCTGCACCTTCCCTGTTACTTCTCCTTTGCCTCCCTCCAGTTAACCCTTATTCTTTGAGTCCAGCTCAAAAGTCACTTTGTCAGAAAAGCCTTTCCTGATGCTCCAGGTTAGGTTAGGCCTCCCCTTGTATGTTTTCTTAGCACCTTGTGCTTCTCCTTCATTACATTTTAAAATAGCAAGCTATGTGTTTAGTGGCTTAATGTTTGTCTACTTTGCCAGAATGAAGACTTCATAAAGGGCAGGGACTCTTATCCAATGTTTTATCTCGAACAGTGCATCTTATATAGTAGAGTCTCAATAAGTATTTCCAGAATTAATGGAGGCACAAAGATGGGGTAGAGAATGGGAGAGGGCAGCATTCACCTTTCTCTTTGGTTACACTTTCAGGCTATTAATCTGTTTTCATTATATTAAAATCTACAATGCCTCTGAGGCTAGTGCTTTCCAGCTGTTCCATCCTCTCCTGTTTTTCTGCACTAACCTCAACAGAATCCTTAGAGTTTCAGGTGCTCAAAAGAGATTTGTAAAATGAAAGAAAAAGAAGAATATCAACCTAAATTTCTCACTGCATTAACTGCCCAAAGCTTTTCCTACTCCTCAAAACGTAACATACTCCTGCTACTTCCAGGATACTCTAGTCAGACAAGCCAGTCCCTCAATGTAACTGATTTCAGGTGAGGGCTGATAGAG